>NC_000011.10:3090303-3393333 GCF_000001405.40 Homo sapiens | reverse complement strand
CAACAAAAACAAAAACAAAAACAAAAAAAAACCCACAACTTTTTGAGAGTTGGAAGACCAGGAAGTATAGTACCCGGGACTTCGAGTCTGGCCATGAATTTTGAATACCACCCTTTCTACTTCTCTGTATGGCAAGGGGTGAGACGTCCATCCTCTGAGACTCAGCACTCTCACCTGACTTGATTTCCAGTTGATCCGATGGAAGTGAATGATGATTAAGCCGATCGTAGGCGCCCGCTGTGTGATCTCTAGGTGACGGATGCATAAAGTAAAGGCAAAGTGAATTTTAGATACATTCCTTAAGATTTTCAGCTTCAACTCCACACAATTCAACGGAAATATCCCCTGACCTGAAGTTCTGCTTTCCCTGCATTCCAGACAGGACATTTTGTTTTGTCCTTCTCTCAGTAAGTACTGAGTACTGTGAGAGGAACAGGGGAGTCTCTTTTGCTTCTGATTCCCCAGAGCCTATATCTTGCTTGGCACATAGGAGACAGCAAAAGTCAAAATCTATATTAATGATTGAATTGACACTTCCTTGCTTCACCAAAATTGGCTGTCATCAGCATGACTTTGACTTACTTGATTCTTTTTGTTTTTTGTGTTTTGAGACGGAGTTTTGCTCTCGTTGCCCAGGCTGGCGTGCAGTGGTGTGATTTCGGCTCACTGTAGTCTCTGCCTCCCAGGTTCAAGCCATTCTCCTGCCCCAGCCTCCCGAGTAGCTGGGACTACAGGCACGCGCCGCCATACCGGGCGAAGTTTTTGTATTTTTTGTATAGGCGGGTTTTCACCATGTTGGCCAGGATGGTCTTGATCTCCTGACCCCGTGATCCGCCCTCCTCGGCCTCCCAAAGTGCTGGGATTACAGGCGTGAGCCACCATATCCGGCCAAACTTTCTGATGAAAACTCTAAGTCCACCTAAGCTAAGGACAGGAGTTAGAGCTTCCATGAATTTTAAAACAAGACCCACCGATTTGAGTAAGCAATTACTCTCTCGAAGGAGAAAAGTCCGAAAACAGAATGATGAAATCACTAGGACCTAACTGGCATGTGGAACTATTTTCTGCTTATGAACTATCAACTTTCATTTCATTTCCAGATGGCATGGTCTCAGCTGTTACACAGTGTTTACAAATGTTCTAAATCAAGGGAATTTGTATCAATCTAGTAGAATAAATAAAATATTTGAGTTCTTAATTTCCTTTAATTAGGATAACCTTTTTCTTAAAGTGAAGACAGTGGTTTTATTATATCTTTTTCTTCGGAAAAGATAGGCTGTATTTTCTAGCAATTACGAATTTGTTATATATGATGATCTGGTTCTTGGAACGTTCTCGAAGCTAGTGTCTCTAAGGCAGGTGTGTACAGCAAGAGGAGAATAACACAGCAATCGATGTTGAAAGCACTATAAGGCAATTGAGCTTGTCAGAACTACAAAATATTGCTGAGTGTGGATTGCTCTGAAACCTGCAAACATTACTGGTGAATTGCTTCTATCCAAAATGCAGACACAATGCTGGGTATTGGTTTACTTGTTTCGGATTTTTCAACCCTCTTTTCCAGGCAAAAGAGGGTTGTATCCAAATGATACAGACCCACAGAGTCTAACAGATGTCTCTATATTCCTCCTCCTCAAACTCTCAGAGGATCCAGAACTGCAGCAGGTCGTCGCTGGGCTGTTCCTGTCCATGTGCCTGGTCACGGTGCTGGGGAACCTACTCATCATCCTGGCCGTCAGCCCTGACTCCCACCTCCACACCCCCATGTACTTGTTCCTCTCCAACCTGTCCTTGCCTGACATCGGTTTCACCTCCACCACGGTCCCCAAGATGATTGTGGACATCCAGTCTCACAGCAGAGTCATCTCCTATGCAGGCTGCCTGACTCAGATGTCTCTCTTTGCCATTTTTGGAGGTATGGAAGAGAGACATGCTCCTGAGTGTGATGGCCTATGACCGGTTTGTAGCCATCTGTCACCCTCTATATTGTTCAGCCATCTTTAACCCGTGTTTCTGTGGCTTCCTAGATTTGTTGTCTTTTTTTTTTTTTTTCTCAGTCTTTCAGACTCCCAGCTGCACAACTTGATTGCCTTACAAATGACCTGCTTCAAGGATGTGGAAATTCCTAATTTCTTCTGGGAACCTTCTCAACTCTCCCATCTTGCATGTTGTGACACCTTCACCAGGAACATCAGTATTTCCCTGCTGCCATATTTGGTTTTCTTCCCATCTTGGGGACCCTTTTCTCTTACTGTAAAATTGTTTCCTCCATTCTGAGGGTTTCATCATCAGGTGGGAAGTATAAACCTTCTCCACCTGTGGGTCTCACCTGTCAGTTGTTTGCTGATTTTATGGAACAGGCATTGGAGGGTACCTCGGTTCAGATGTGTCATCTTCCCCGAGAAAGGGTGCAGTGGCCTCAGTGATGTACATGGTGGTCACCCCCATGCTGAACCCCTTCATCTACAGCCTGAGAAACAGGGATATGAAAAGTGTCCTGCGGCGGCCGCATGGCAGCACAGTCTAATCTCAACATCTTCTTATCTGTTCCATTCCTTTTGTAGGGTGGTTTAAAAAAGGCGCCAAGGTCAAATAAGAATGACATCACAGGGTGAACACCCACTGTGACATTACGAGTAATACCTCCCTAGGATATAAAAAATACTGTCACAGAGTACACACACATGGGGTACACCCACGGTGATATTAGAAGCGCTATCTCCCTTAAATATTATGAAAAATATCACAGGGTGTGCACACTGTGTGATATGAGGAGTCATATTTACCCTGGATATCACGACTGATATCAAGGGTGTACACACACCGGGTACATGCACTGTGATATCAGGAGTTGCATCTCCCCAGGATATTATGAATAATATCACAGGGTATACACTACGTGTGAACATCCACTGTGATATTTGAAGTCATACCTCTCTATGAGATTACAAATAATATCAAAGTGTGTACACCCCTGTGACATATTAGGAGTAACATCCTTCTAGGGTATTGCAGATAACATCACAAGGTGCACACCTTCTGTGACCTTTTGCGCACACTTTGTGCCATTCAAGGAAACATCTCCCTAGGATATTACGAATAATGACACAGGCGGTTGACACACATGGTGTACATCTCCTGTGCCATCAGGAGTAATATTCCCCTAGGATATTATGAATAATATCACAGCAGGCGTACACATATGGTGTTCACCCCATGTGACATTAGGAGGAACATGCCCCTAGGATATTAGGAATAGTATCACAGGCGTTGAATACGCATGATATACACCCCCGGTGACACTGAAAGTAACATCCCCCTAGGATATTACGAATAATATCACAGGGAGTACACCCCGTGTGACATTAGGAGTAACATCCCCCGAGGATATAACGAATAATATCAGGGGGCGTACATACATTGTGACCTCAGTGGTAACATCTCTTTAGGATATTACCAATAATATCACAGGGTGTCCACTGACCGTGATATTAGGAGTCCCATTTTCCTAGGATATTATGGATAATATCACTGGAGGTGTTCACACACAATGTGTACACCATGTGTGTACACCCAATGTGATATTTGAAGTCATATGTCCCTAGGATCTTACGAATATTATCAAAGGGTGTGCACCCCATGTGACATTAAAAGTACCATCCCTTTTGGATATTCCGAATGCTATCACAGGCTGTGATATGAGGAGTGTGATATTAGGAGTAACCTCTTCCTAGGATAACCCATGTGATATTAGGAATAACCCCTTCCTATGATATTACGAATAACATCACAGAGTGTACACCCCTTTGACTTTAAAAGTAACACCCCCCTAGAATATTACAATAATATAACAGGGTGTACAACCCCTGTGACATTACGAGTAACATCTCCCTAGGATATTTCGAATGATGTCACTGGGGGCACACCATCTGTGATATTACCAGCAACATCTTTCTAGATTACGAATGATATCACAGGGTGCACACTCACTGTGATATTAGAAGGAATATCTCCCTAGGATATAAGCTATCACATCACAGAGTGTACACACATGGTGTACACCCACTGTATTATTAGAAGCAATATCTCCCTATGATATTATGAAAAATATCACAGGGTGTACCCTCTGTGGGATACTAGAAGTAATGTTTACAATGGATATTACAAATAATATCACAGGATGTACACACATGGGGTACACCCACTGTGATATTAGGAGTTATATCTCCCTAAGATATTACAAATAATATCCCAGTGGTTGTAGCCCATGTATGTACACCCACTGTGATCATTAAAGTAATATCTCTCCATAAGATTACAAATAATATCGAAGGCTGTACACCCACTGTGACATTAGGAGTAACATCCCCCTACAATATTGGGAGCAATATCACACGGTGTACACCCCTGTAACGTTAGGGGTAACATCCCCCCAGAATATTACTAATAATATCACAAGGTGTACACGCATTGTGACATTAGTAGTAGTATCCAGCTAGCATATTTTCAATAATATCACAGAAGGAACATACCTGTGACATTAAGAGTGCCATCGCCCTAGAATAGTAAGAATACTATCACAGGGTGTACACCCCCTGTGATATTAGGAGAATCATCTCATCAGAATATTACAAATAATGTCACAGGGTGTTATCTTCTGTGACATTAGGAATATAGACCCCTGGGAAATTATGAATACTATCACAGGGTGTACACCCCCGTGACATTAGGAGTAACATCCTTCTAGAATATCATGAATAATATCACAATGTGTACACCCCCTGTGTCATTAACAATACAATTGCCCTAGGATACTATGAAATAGAACACAGGGAGTACACGCCATATGACATTAGAAGTCATATCCCCCGAGGATATAACGAATAATATCAGAGAATGTACATGCATTGGGAGATCAGTAGTCACATCTCTTAAGGATAATACGAACAATATCAAAGGCTGTACACGCATTGTGAAATTAGTAGTGAACTCCTGCTGGGATATTACGAATTTTATGACAGGGTCTACACGCCCTGTGACGTTAGTAGTCACGTTTTCCTAGAATACGACGAAGAATATTAAAGTGTGTACAGGACCTGTGATTTACGAGTAACATTTCTATAGAATATTACACGTAATATCACTGTGTGTACACCCCGTGTGACGTTAGGAGTCACATCCCACAAAACTATAACGAAAAATTTCACAAGGTGTGCAACATCTGTGACATAAAAAGCAACATTTCCCTAGAATATGACGATAGTATCACAGAGTGTACACCCTCGGTGATATGAGGAGTGATAACTTATAAGGGTAATACGAGTAATTTGACAAGGTGTACGAACCCTGTGACATAAGGAGTGACATCCCTCCAGGATATTCCGAATCATACCAAAGGGAAAATACTCCGTGTGACAATAAAATCAACCTCCCCTTAGGAGATTAATAATAATAGCACAAGCTGTACACACATTGTGACATTATTATTAACGTCCCGCTAGGGTATTGCGAATAATATCAGAGTGTGTAGAGACTTGTGACATCAGGATTCACATTTCGCTACAATATCACGAATAATATCACAGGGTGTATACCCCCTGGAACTTAAACAGTGACACCTTCCTAGAATATGGAAAATAATGTCCCAGGGTGTTAACCAAGTGTGGCAGTAGAGAAAAAATACTAGGAGAAAGGGAGTAATATCACCCTCTCTCCCCCGCTGGATATTAAGAGCCACATCGCAGTGGGGAGAGGGCGCCCGCCGCGATGCGGGAAGTAATATCACCCGCCTCTCCCCCCCGGATATTACGATACAAATCGCAGGGGAGCGCCGCGCCCCCCGCGATGCGGGGAGTAAGAGCCAGCCCCTCTTGCCCCCCTGGCTCTTTTTTTTTTTTTTGAGACGGAGTCTGGCTCTGTTGCCCAGGCCGGAGTGCATTGGCGCGATCTCGGCTCACTGCAAGCTCCGCCTCCCGGGTTCACGCCATTCTCCTGCCTCAGCCTCCGGAGTAGCTGGGACTACAGGCGCCCACCACTACGTCGGGCTAATTTTTTGTATTTTTAGTAGAGACGGGGTTCCACCGTGTTAGCCAGGGTGGTCTTGATCTCCGGACCTCATGATCCACCCGCCTCGGCCTCCCAAAGTGCTGGGATTACAGGCGTGAGCCACCGCGCCCGGCCCCCCCTGGCTCTTAGGACCCCCCATCGCAGGGGGGCGAGGCGCCCCCCGCGATGCAGGGAGTAAGAACCAGCCACTCTTGCCCCCTGGCTTCTAGGACCCCCATCGCAGGGGGGCGAGGCCCCCCCCCCGCGATGCGGGGAGTAAGAGCCAGCCCTTCTTGCCCCCCTGGCTCTTAGGACCCCCCATCACAGGGGGGCGAGGCGCCCCCCGCCATGCGGGCAGTAAGAGCCAGCCCCTCTTGCCCCCCTGGCTCTTAGGACCCCCATCGGAGGGGGGCGAGGCGCCCCCCATGATGCGGGCAGTAAAAGCCAGCCCAGCATTCACCTTCTTCTGCTTTTCTTCCATGTGAGGACACCATTTCATGCTCTCTTGCCCTTCTGCCTCCCAACATGTAAGGACACAGTAAGAAGGCCCACACCAGACACCAGCACCTTGATCTTTGACTTCCCAGCTTCCAGGGCTATGAGAGAGTAACTTTCTGTTATCAATTACCCAGTTCAGATATTCTGTTATAACAGCAATAATGGACTAAGACACTCTGTAATCACCAAATCATTGCTAATAAAAGGCTACTTTGTTTAAGGGATGCACGTTAAACCCTGAGAAGAGCATAAGAGGAGCACATTGCTGAAAAGAAAACTGAAGTCTGCTTACTAGATGTACCTGCTCCCGAATTCTCCTGGCCATGCTCTTGGGCATTGGTTCCCATTGGCTGCCTTCTTCCTCAGGCCCCTGGCCCAGCTGCCCTTGTCTGGGACTCCTCCCTTTTGCATGAGAATTTCCCGCCTTTCCTTCTGTTTCTCCATCAGTCCCTACTTCTGATCCCAGTCCCAGTGAGGTATCCTCCAGATTGACAAATTATATGCTAATCTCTGCAGAGATGCACCTTGCTTCTCATAAAGGCAGACTTTTACCTGATTAAATGGTGAATTTAACAGCTCAGTCAGCAGCATCTGTGTTTGGGTTACTCATTCATCTCAGGGCCTCCCTAGAATGGCCACGTAGTTGTCTCTGCTTCTGTCTATTGAACTAGCTTTCCTTATATTAAACCATCCTTGTATGCCTGCAATGAATCCAGCTTGGTTATAGTGTATATGTATTTTGATTCCCTGTTGAATTCTGTTGACTAACATTTATAAATTTTGCATGTCCTTTCAGAATTAAAATTTGAAGGATGTTCTTGGAAGATGGTAGCTTGAGTAAATAGTACCTCTCCTGCTGACTTTCACTCCAACCCATTTCAGCCTCTGCTCTGCAGCACAGTGGGCAGAGAGGTCGTAAGGTTGTGGATAAGGTTTTAGGCTTCACTTGAAACTCTGGGTGGGATAGAACTTGGGTAACAGCATTGGAGACCATGGTCTGGGAGAAGATTGGAATGTGATGGGTCTGAAGAAAAACTTGGACCACAAAGAGCCACAGAACACAGTGAAGATCAGTGTCTGTCCTCTTCCCATTATACTTATCAAAATCCAAAAAAATGTACAACACGGAATGTTAACTCCAATGTGGACAATGGACTTGGGGTGATTATGATGTGTCCACACGGGCCCATTGATTGTAAGCAATGTACTGCTCTGGTGTGGCATGTTGATAGTAGGTGTGGCATGCTGATAGTAGGAGAGGCTGTGCATGTGTGGGGTCAGGTGGTTATGGGAGCTCTTTGCACTTTCTGCTTAATTTTGCTGTGAAGCAGAAATTGTTCCAAAAAATAAAGCCTACTGAAAAACGGTTGCAAATGAATTGAAGGTGATCATTAAGATTCAAATTAATGGCCTCAAAGATTAAGTAGAAGAAAAATCTTGAATTGACAGGAATACAAAGAAATTGAAAACATGAGAGAAAAGATTTGAAAACAGACCCAGGACATCAGGTGCAAATAACATAGGAGTTTCAGGGGGAGGAAAAGAGGTAGATGGAGGAGAGGCCGTGATTAAGCACAAAAAAAGAAAATTTCCTGAAACAAAGGAAAAGCTGAATCTGCCTGTTAAAAGGGCTAACCGAGTTTTGGGTAGAATTGATGGTGAAAATGAACCTTTAGGAATATTCTGGTAAACATGTATGAGTTGCTAGACACGAAGAACAAGAATATAGCAATATGTCACCAGTGTACTCACCTAAGAATACAGCAACATTTCAACAGTGTACTCACCCTAGAATACAGCAATACATCACCAGTGTACTCACCTCTGAATACAGCTACATGTCACCAGTGTACTTGTCCAAGAATACAGGAATATATCACCCACGTACTTGCCTAAGAATGCAGCAACATGTCAACAATGTACTTGCCTAAGAACATAGCAATATGTCACCAGTGTACACGCCCAAGAATACAGCAATATGTCACCAGCGTATTCACACAAGAATACAGCAACATGTCACCAGTGTACACGCCCAAGAATACAGCAACGTGTCACCAGCGTACTCATCCAAGCATACAGCAACATGTCACCAGTGTACGCGCCCAAGCATACAGCAACGTGTCACCAGCGTACTCACCCAAGAATACAGCAACATGTCACCAGCGTACTCACCCAAGCATAGAGCAACACGTCACCAGTGTACACGCCCAAGAATACAGCAACACGTCACCAGTGTACTCACCCAAGAATACAGCAACATGTCACCAGCGTACTCACCCAAGGATACAGCAACATGTCACCAGTGTACTCACCCAAGAATATAGCATCATGTCACCAGTGTACTAGCCCAAGAATACAGTAACATGTCACCAGTGTACTCACCCAAAAAGGCCAGTACTGTGACTACCTAAGCTTCCCCCAGCATGGCCACACTATGAGACCTGGGGCAGCCGAGACCCGGGAACTGCTCCAGGGCACCAGGACCCATCTGTCTGTGCTCACTCACCTTCCTCGGGTGCTCGCATGGGGCTGCCACTGACGACGAACTGCTGCAGCTCCTTGGTGATCTGGCCCTGGTCATGGGACAGGAACTGTAGGGTCAGGACCATAAGGAGCTTCACCACCTGTAGAATGGGAACAGAGGCTCATGATGAGTGGCAACCTATTTGATAATTTAAACAAATCTATTTGTTGAATGAGTGGAGAAACAAGGTGAGGTTTGAGTCCACAGTGGTCAAGAGCATGGGGGCTTCAGAAAAGGGCAGGACCAAGTTCAAATCCCTACACTTCGAATTTCTACTTCATGCCATGCAAAATTACTTTACCCCTCCTAACCTCAATTTCCTTCTGTGTGAAATCAGAACAATCAACTTTCCCTCCTCATTTTCTTTTTTTTTTTTTGGAGGTGGAGTCTCGCTCTGTCACCCAGGCTGGAGTGCAGTAGCGCAATCTCGGCTCACTGCAAGCTCCACCTCCCGGGTTGACGCCATTCTCCTGCCTCAGCCTCCCAAGTAGCTGGGACTACAGGCACCCACCACCACGCCTGGCTAATATTTTTTTGTATTTTTAGTAGAGACGGGGTTTCACCATGTTGGCCAGGATGGTCTCGATCTCCTGACCTCATGATCCCCCCGCCTCGGCCTCCCAAAGTGCTGGGATTACAGGCGTGAGCCACTGCACCCGGCCCCCTCCTCATTCAGTTTCTGTCAAGATTTCATGAGATAATACCTAGAAAACATCTAACCTGTTTACGTGGAAGATCATTTTTGTCATAATTAGTAGTGGGATCAATTTCACTGTTATTGTATATACAGCTCTGTGCCTCAAACCTGCAAAAAAAAAAAAGAAAATGTTAACTCTAAAAAGTGCTAGTGGTTTATAATGCTTATATTATTAATTATAGCCCTATTTAATCGCACAGACCTTGTACATGGCAGGTGCTCAATAAACACTTGCGGAATCAATGAATGTGGGCTCCAGAGCCACACTGTGTAGATTCTGTTCTGCCTCCACCACTTATTAGCTGTGCCATCTGGGCAAGTTCATTCACCTCTTTATGTCTCTGTTTCCTTTTCTGTAAAATATATCTAATACGAATCCCTAGCTTATTAAGTTGTTGCAAGGGGTGAATGATTTGGCATACAGTAGGGTCTTGTTAAACATTAGCTGTGATGAACTCCTTCCAAATCTTCATTTTCAGAGCCACAACGAGGCCACAGTGCCACCTGGAGTGTAAGCACACAAGATCACCAACTATGTTATCTTTCCACCATGGGTCCAAGGCTGGGTAGTGAAGGCCTGGAGGTTTCTCCTGCCTCTATCTTCCCAGTGCCCTCATGGAGACTTTTGTATTTTCCTCTTTACATCCCCACAGATAGGGTCCAGGTTGCCCGACACAGCTGGGCAATCCACAAGGCAGTGACCCCCTGTGCCAGCCCTGTGAGGTAGCTGGAGGATCATTGTTCCTTCCTTCTCAGGCTCTGGGCAGATGCCAGGGCTGGGGTGAACCACGCCCTCAAGTTTCTTGCTTTGGAGAGTCACATTTTCCCTTGGGAAGGAGGGTAAAGGTCAGAGGAGCCAGAGACCTGTGACCTGCTTGTGCCATGAGCCCTAACTATAAGGACCTGAACACTCTATATTAAAAGTCCAAAGCTTGGGGGCTCCACCGAGCTTCTCACCTCACGGCCTCTGCTAGGGAGGATGAATGCTTTGTCCTCCCAGAGCTTTGCGAGCTTGTAGCACACAGCCTCCCCAGCACAACATCTCTTGGAAACCTCAGACTTTGTCTTAAACATTCATGCAAATTTTGCATCTTATTTCCCATTATGTCAGCATGTTTTAGAAAAAACCCTCAACTTTCCTGAATATACAAGAGAATTTGACGTTGTAGAACATTGTGCCTTTTAAAAAAATTGTGTTATTTAAAAATTTTCCCCACCCCCCCTTCTGCCCCCCAAGACTGCCAAATCCTTTTTGAACAAATATTAGGAAATGCTTATTATGTGCCAGATATGATTCATGGTCTTGGGGATATAGCAGAAAACAAATACCTGGGTATGAAATAATCTGTACAACAAACCCCCATGATGTGAGTTTACCAATATAACAAATCTGCACCTGTGTCCCTGAACGTAAAAGTAAAAAAAAAAAAAAAAAAAGCAGTGGTTTGGGGTCTGGCCCACACTCTAATCCCCCGGAGACCTTTAAGCCACAATGTTGCCCAGGCCCCACTCCAGTGATTCTCATTTTACTGGTCGGTGGCAGCTTGGGTTTGGGAAATTCTAAATGCCATCCCCCCAGGTGATTTTACATGTAGCAGGGGTGAGAACAATTGATTCAGGGTAAAGAATGCATTCACTGTAGCTGGTTTCCATGCATACTGATGGGATTTGCCACATAGGAGCTTGAAAAATAGCTCTTCCTTATTAAAAATCAACGGACACCTCCAAGATGTACTTAGCTGTTCGGATAAATTGCTGCAGAAAAAAAGTCTTCTCAGCAGATGTATCTTTAAGTCACTTGATTTCAGAGTAAGAGGTTGTTTCAGTCACAGTACTTATAGTCAGTGTTGAAAATTATGAACAGCCTACAAATACCAAAAAGGAATGAAAGCATTTACAGACATATAGGATACATTCTGTTTTAAAATTGCTCCTCTGTTGTTGGGCTCTGATTTCCTAAAGTCATCTATCAGCCATTTCCCTCAAATTATTCCATGTCCTTCCAAGAAGCTTCTGCAATTTCTCGAGGTGATTGATTATTCCCAATGGTAAACAGCACCATATGGGTCCAAATCTAAAAGGAATTCTGCCTCTATTGCAGAAGAGTTACTCTCCAGAAACTTGCAGGCCTTGGAAAGCTGTATGAGCAGTGCAGTCTATGCAGGAGTAAGGGCTGCAGAGCCAGGCAGAGCTGATCCTGAGTACCAGCCCAGCTGCTTAGCAGCTGTGGGACTTTGGGCAAGGTTCTTGACTTGGAGCAGTAATATAAACCTCTTCTGCAAGAAAGGGTAGAATAATACTGATTGCAGAAACAGCAGCAATGCTTCATTACTCTCTGTATCTATGCTCTTTATTGTGTGCTCTTACAGCTCCTCCCATCAAGAGGCCGAATGTGTTTCCCAAACTTTGCATCTGGCTGGCACTATTTTCTCTGGCTATAGAAAACTGTTGTATTAGTTTGTTTTCACACTGCTGATAAAGACATTCCTGAACATGCGAACAAAAAGAGGTTTAATTGGACTTACAGTTCCACATGGCTGGGGAGGCCTCAGAATCATGACGGGAGGCAAAAGGCACTTCTTTCGTGGTGGCGGCAAGAGAAAAATGAGGAGAAAGCAAAAGTGGAAACCCCTGATAAACCCATCAGATCTCGTGAGACTTATTCACTAACATGAGAATAGCATGAGAAAGACCCGCCCACATGACTCAATTACCCCCTTCCCCGGTCCCTCCCACAACACACGGGAATTCTGGGAGATACAATTCAAGTTGAGATTTGGCTGGGGACACAGCCAGACCGTATCAACTGCGAATATGACAGCTTTTGTGCTAGTTTTGGGCCTAGGCTCAAAAGGTCTTAAATGCTTCTGTGTTTCTCAGAACCTTGCTATCTTTATGAGATCAAGCTATCAGAACCTTGCTATCTTTATGAGATTAGCCAGCTGGAGGATGACATACCATGGTGGGGAGAAGGAAGGTGCCACTGTTGATAGCCATCTCATCCCCAGAAGCAGAGCCACCTAGTCAACCAGCAGCTGGCCATACATACATGAAGCAGTCCAGTTGTGACAAGAATAGCTCAGTTGAGTTCAGCGTGAATGGCTGATGAACTCAATCATGAGCTATTAAGTTTTCGGTGATTTGTTATGCAATAGCTAACTAATACATGCACCCAGGGCAGATAGGGTGCCAGGATTCAATGAAAGGTTGATTCCTAGTTACCTGCAAGAAGAAAGCACTTTATAGGTACTAATTCTCCCCCCTTATTTAAAGTTGGATCTTTTGTAAGATAATGTTCCGTCATACAGAAATGCATGTACACATGTATATATGTGATTGGTGCTTTTACTCACACAGCCCCCCAACCACGGGAAGAAACAGACAATCACAGCTTGATCATTAGGGCTAAGGCCAAATAGCAAGATAAGTCTGCCTCTAGTCTATTTCCTCCATATCTAAATGTTGGAGGTCAAGGCTATGGACAGATCTGAAGATGTGTTCTCTCCTCTTAGGGCCCCATTATTGATGGGCAGCAGTCCTCTACCCGTGGATATTTTCTTTTGCTTTCCCCTATGCTCTCTAGGATCACCATCTCGTCCACCCTTCGACCGGAGGAGAGATGTTTGTAGCAAGAGGCTGTTCCCTCACCTCTGGCTGAAAAGGGACTTTCAGACCCTCCACTTCCTGACATAAGGGAGGTTAGACCTCAGAGCTGCACTTTAGTGTGGCAGCTATTGATCATGTGTGGCTATTGAATAACAGGAATACAGCTGGTCTGAACTGAAATGTGCTGAAAAGGTAAAATACAGAGTGAGCTTCAAAGATTTAGTACCCCAAAATATATACTTCCTTACCAATTGTATATTGACCATAGAGGAAAATGGTTACATACTGGGTTAAATTATTACAATCAACTTCACCTGTTTCTTAGTACATTTTAAAACGTGGCTACTAGAAAATTTAAGATTCACACATGGCTTACATTTTAATTCTTAGAGGCTTGAATCCTTTTTGAAATTTCAGGCTGTCTGTTCAAAGGACCAAAAGCCAGGAAGGCCATAAAATATAAAAATTCAAAATGATTGTCTTTATTTTCTTCTTTCCATTGGTGAATAACATATATTTATTATTTATAAATAAACATAACCGCAGTCACAAGATGAAATGTAAATATCCTCTAGGTGGGGCCGGACAGCGCAGGCAGGAAGCCCCGCTCCAAAAGATCGCGGCCAGCACCTGTCCTTGCTGTCTCATTCGGCCCATTGTCTGATTACAGCTCCTGTCACTCAGGGCCTGAGGGGGCGGGGCGTGATGCCCTATCCAATCAGAGGAGTAGGGGCGGGGACTGTCCAATCAGGCACATGTCTGGAGAGGAGAGGACGGCTTCCGGGATCTAGCGGGGCCTTTGTCCCGACAGAGCTCCACTTCCTGTCCCCGCGGCTCTGTGTCCCCTGCTAGCCGTAGGTCGTGTGACCCGCAGGCACCGGGAGATCCAGAAGTGAAACGCCAGGCTCTCTGGAGGCCAGGAGATGGTGAGTGTAGGGGCCAGGCCTCCTGAGAGACAGGGAGGGGCGGACTGGAACCCGCGGTACCGGCTCGGGAGGAACCGGGCTGCCCGGGTGGGTTCCGGGCTCCGCGGACCCGAGGCCCCTCCAGCTGCACCATGGCGGCCGGGCCCCGCGCGCCCCGGCGCATCCCTGCAGAGCGGCTTTGGCCCAAGCCCAGAGCCATGTCCCCCCGGCAGCTCTTCGCCCGCAGACCCTCGTCTCCCCGAGTCAGGAAGGGAGAATCCCGACTCCGTGGGTGGTTTGTGCATAAGAGGATGATCTGTAGCCCGTGGGGGCCCCAGTCCCTCCTTTCTCTCGAGGGAGTCCTTGCAAAAATGTGAAAGAGTTTTATTTGAGCAAAGAGCGATTCATGAATGGCAGAGGACCCAACCATGTTTTTTGGGTTTGGAGGTCCCACCAGCCGGCCTTGAAGGAAAGGCTTTTATCAGGTGCATGAGGAAGCAAACCACATTCATTCATTAGTTCGGTACAGTTACGTCATCTCCTGATTTCAGCTATCTAGGCTGAAATTTTCTGGTCCTGTAATCAGAAGTTAATTAGAGGTTTGTGGTTGACGAAGCCTGAATTTTGTTTCTGCAAGATAGTCATTTGCAAGAAACGCATCTGAGTTAGATTTTTTTTTTTAACCTAAGAACCCAGGGCACTAGAGCCACCTCAGTCGGATTGCCTGCTATTTAATTATTATTATTTTTGAGATGGAGTCTCGCTCTGTCCCCCAGGCTGGAGTGCAGTGGCGCGATCTCGGCTCACTGCAACCTCTGCCTCCCGGGTTCAATCAATTCTCCTGCCTCAGCCTCCCGAGTAGCTGAGATTACAGTCCTGCACCACCACGCCCGGCTAATTTTTGTATTTTTAGTAGAGACGGGGTTTCACCATGTTGGCCAGGCTGGTCTTGAACTCCTGACCTCATGTGATCCGCCTGCCTTGGCCTCCCAAAGTGCTGGGATTACAGTCGTGAGCCACTGCGCCCAGCCTGGACGGCACTTTTTAAGAGATTTGTTTTCTGTTTGTAATCATTCCACGTGACAGGAAAGCAGAGAATCATCCCCTGACGCTATTGTAAAAAGTCTTTGTGCCTCTCCTCCTTTTTATTTTCCCTAGGCACAGACACCTTACCAGAATGTCTTTGGTTTGAGGTTCCACTTTGGAAACTTGACAGGGTGATTTGCTCTCAGCCACCCTCTGGACTTTTTCCTCAGTTTCAGTATTGTCCAGGGATAACACAGGATGCCCACCATGGCCATGTCTGCTGGAGCATCTAGTGAATTTCAGGCCCTGGGTTATTTCTCAGAGGACAGCCTGAGGTATGAAGTGTGGCCTCTCCAGGGAGCAGCTGGATGCCCTGGGCTGAGAGAAATCTCCTGGTCTACTCTTCCTCTAAAGAGGTAACCACTTAGGACATTAAGATTGTCTTCACCCAACCCAACTTTCAATCCCTGGAGACACATGGCTGATCAGCCAATCACATGCCCCTGTCAGAGGGAAAAGACCGAAATCATTTCTGCCCTTTGGACTCTCAGATTTGTGAAGGGAGACAGAATGTTTCAAAGAGCAAGAAAAACTCCACCCCGTGAGATGGTGCAAAACCTGTAAAGCAAAATTCACCTGGGACACTCAGCGGGGCACAGTGCAGTGTATCATCGGGGGTGGCCGGTGAGCACTTCGGTGAACAGGATGGAGGTGGGAGAATCTCCCAAGGAATAGAATAGCCTGACTTGACACAAGTCATTAGCTGTGTCTGTGTTCCAGTCGGCACTGCCACTCTCTGTGTCTCCTTGAAATAATTTATTCACTTACTGCAATGTTGGATTTTTAATTGTAAATTTACATTTTATCAGTAGAGCTTGAAAGGTAAGAAAATACTTACAAAGGACATGAAATAGGTCAATTTCAGGAAAAAAGTTAAATATCTAGTCATACATACCTTTTTCTTCTCCAGAGTGATTAAGGGTAGAAAGTTACTTAGGTCTGTTCTTTTGTGGAAGATGATTTCCAACAGAATCCCAGGGCTTAGCTTTGGGAATGCTACCAGGGAACATAAAATGCTTCTTGGATGGCTGTGGAGAATGTTTACATTTTCTACAAAAAAATTATGGTAGATTACTTGGTAAATTGCATAGATTCATCAGAACATGAGCTCTTTTTGCAGGATGAATTTGTTGTCATGAGTATCTCTGTTTTATATCCTGTTCTCTAGATGTCTGAGCTTAATGCTAAGTTGTAGGAGATGGAACTTAGCACTTCTAAAAGTGTTCACATGTGATTGTTTACTATATGATTTGTTATGGAAATAGTTAAATGACAAGTTCATTGTCTGAAAGCAATAAATAATTTTGCTTTTTCTGTGGAGGTGAAAGTGTAAGTGCTTACAGTTTCCTTTTCTTCTGTAAACTGTTTCAGTGATTTTGTTGGATGTTTCCAACACTGGGTATTTTCTTATTTAAACCTAAGTGGATAACCCTGATTGGGAAGTTGAAGCCCAAGAACAGTCATTCCAAGCTAAGGCTAATACTGAGTCTGCAAAAGAAAGCAATCGAAGGCCTGGCTCAAGCTTGTCCAACCCACAGGCCTGGGCCACATGCTGGCCTGGGCTTTGAATGTGGTCCAACACAAATTCGTAAACTTTATTAAAACATTATGAGACTTTTTTGTGATTTTTTTTTTTTTTCAGTTATCAGCTATCGTTAGTGTTAGTGTATTTTATGTGTGGCCCAGGGAAGCCAAGATCGGACACCCCTGGCCTAGCTAGTGCTTCCCAAGGAGCCTCCCCTGCGGGTGCGCCAGACTGCTCACAGCAACCATGGAAGGAGCCTTTCTACAGAGAGAAGCTGCAGAGCCCGGGAGCACTGGGGACCCACAGGCAGATGCAGTTAGAGTTGGGATGGAAGGAAGCTGGGGAGGACTTCCTGGGTATGGAATCGTTATTATCCTGGGGCTGTTTCTAGACTTCGTCAAATAAAATAAATTTAGCTTTAGATAGGAAGTTATTGAACTCTAAAGGAGGATTGCAACAGGGAGAAGGTAGCAACTATCATGGATCTCATGGCCATAGAGGGCATCTGTGCAGGGTCACCAGGAACTCTCTCACCAGCACCTGGAGTCTTTTGGACATTCAGGAGTGCACTGTGCAGACGGGGCTCAGGCTGACAAAACGGTCTATCTGTGCTTCTGTTGTAGAATAAGAGAAATGAGTCACCCAGGGTTTGTTCCTCCCCTCAGAGAAGAAACCTCATTGGTATCCACATGGGAATTACTCCAGTTTTTCTGGTACTTCAGTAAAAAACAAAAATGAGATCTGGAGATTCAAACTGATAAACTAATTGATTCCATCCTGTGTAGCCATTAGGAAAACAGAGAAGGCAGCCATGGTCCCCGCAAGCCAGAAACTTTTCCATTTCCAGTAACTGGATAAATCATTGAATTCAGCGTCTTGGGGTCAGCATGAAGAAGGGAGTGGTCAAAGGGACTTCTGCTTCATTTGGGCCATTTTCCTGATGTGGTTGTTGTGAGTTCTGATGTCATATTGAAGGGATATTCAGACAGACAAGGTGGTGGTGGTATTATTTCTGTTGCTTTTGCCCGGCTAAAAATAAATATTTAGCTTCTACCATATCTGTCCTAGAAAATCCTAAAGGTTTCGGTTAAATTGCTTGTTATTTTATGTTATAAAATAGACAAGGAAGTGGCCAAAATAGATTAAAATTATACAAACCCTGGGATTTAAATTTTGGGGTGGGGGGCAGTTTTAGGAAAAACAGAATTGTAAATACTCTAGTAGCATAGAGAGCAGAATCCTGCGTAGGGCCCTCTCCCTGCCCAGACATGCCCAGACTCTCCTTCTCTGAGTCTCATCCAGGTCTGGCTTCACCCTGGACTCTCCTCCGACAGAGTTAACTACAGAATTAAATCAGAGTTTTGGGTTTAGCTACAGAGTTAAATCAGTTTGGAGTTTAACTACAGAGTTAAATCAGAGTTTGACTCCTGCTGCCTCTCCGGAACTGATACACAGAATTTTCGGAAACCCCAAAGCAGATAAATGGGATCAAAGGACTCTCTATTTTGGAGCCTTAATTTTTCTTTTTTACTAACACCAGCGCTGTTAGAGACATCGTATCCAGCAAGCTCTTTCTCAGTCCTGTGGGTCTAATAGTTGCTTCACAAGCCACAAGAAAGTGAAGATAAACACAACAATGGAAAGTGCCTTTGCACTACACTTCATCCCCTCTGTATCCCTTCCATTGGTCTATCTGGAGCTTTTATCACTACACTTTTAAAACGTTAATGATAGGAAAATAGAAGAGGAACCACAAAGCCTGGTCCCTTCATCTATATCTTGAGAGTTGCAGGACACTTGGTTCCATCACCCAGGGTGTGGTGAGGATTAACTCACATGACGTGAGGTGCCCAGCACAGTGCTGTCACATACATCCGAGCACCCCGTGCCTGCTTAATAAACACTGCATTCATACGTGTGTACACATTGTTTTCCAAATGCAGACAGACTCAGACATTGCTTCCTTCTCCAGCCCTGGAAAACTTTAAAGAGCCAGGAAATAATGTAATCTTTCAGAATAGAGATTGGCTGTCTCCATTTGCACCAGAAGAACTTATGTTGTGGTCAGAGGGTTGGGTGTAAGGGACTGTGCTGGGGCTGCTTTCTTTAGCTGAGTGTTAATGATCACAAGTCTTGGGGGAGCAGCATCACCATTAATGGCAGAACTGTTAAAAAATCCAACCCATGAACCCCTTTGAAATCTTCAGAATCACATGACTTAGAGTGGGGCCAAAATTACCAAAAGATTCATATGCACATTGAAGCTTGAGAAGCAAGGCTTAGCTAAATGGTTCTCAGCCTGGCTTCTAATTAAATCACATGGACAACTCAAAAAAAGGCCCTCACCTTTGCCCTCACAGATTCTGCCTATTGGTTTGGGTGGAAGCACCAGTGCTGTTTAAGTCACATGCATCATGGGATTCTAAGGTGTGGCCAGAATCAGTGATGGGGGGTTTCAGATGCATTTGTACGAGTTGAGCTCAGCCTTGGTTCCAAAGGGAGGTCACAGGGCCTTCTTTGCCTAGGTTTCAGAGGCCAGCTCAGTGCAGCTTATACTCCAATTGCTGAAGCAGAATTGCTGTTGTTTAGCAGGAGAGGGAACCTGAGAGCAGGAAGAGAGAAAGTCACATTTTGATCTCCATGTAGAAGTTTACTGTTCCTGAATCTCTTTTATAAAGAACAGAAAAGCGTGGACTTTTTCTGTATTTCTTGGTCTTTCTGTTGATGGTTGTGGTGGTAGCAGGTGAAGGGGTTGTGCTAACACCTTTAAAGGCATATTCTCACGATGCAGGTGTGATTTGTCCAGAGAATCTTTCCTAAGAGGAAATCCCAGAGAAGCAGGAGAAAGAGAAAGAAATGGCTGGTGCTCAGGTAAATGCATCTCAGGTCAGGGGTTGTGTCCACTTTTGCTCCTGAAATGTCATGTGTTTAGAATTTGGAAACCTTTACTTCTCTACTTGTGGTGTTTCTCCATAGTAAGTTTGTTTCAACTACTTTTTTTTCTTATAATAATGAAGGGTCTCTGAAAATATTTGTTTTCTATATACCAAAGCCGTCTCTCTGTTATCTTCACCTTGACTTCTTATATGCCATGAAGAATTCTTACCATGACTTTATGACCTGCAGTATTAAAAAGTTCACTTCGTGGCACTGAACTTGTGGATACCCAGGATTCCTCTTGAGGATGGGGTGGGTTTTTGGATATCAGCAAAGAAGGGAAATGTGCACTCTTTAGGTTTCATCTGGATGCTCCATAAGCTGCATGCAGAACAGGACTAAGAAAATAAACATTTAAACCAGATGACATTTATCTCTCAGAATAACTCAAAGCATTCTGGAAAAGAGAAAAATGAAAAGACACTTGCTTTTTAGAATGCTAAAGAAAGACTCTTTTAATACACTATTAGAGATTACTGCTGGGCATGGTGGCTCATGCCTATAATCCCAACACTTTGGGAGGCCTAGGTGGGCAGATCGCTTGGGGCCAGGAGTTCGAGACCAGCCTGACCAACATGGTGAAACCCCATCTCTACTAAAAAAATACAAAAATTATCCAAGCGTGGTGGCACATGTGGGTAGTTCCATCTACTCCGGAGGCTGAGGGACGAGAATTGCCTGAACCAGGGAGGCAGAGGTAGCAGTGAGCCGAGATCGCGCCACTGCACTCCAGCCTGGGCTACAGAGTGAGACTCAGTCTCAAGACAAAAGAAAACAGATTACAGAACCTGGGAGATATTTGTCAGAACCTGGGAGATATTTGTCAGAACATAGGAGATATTTATTTGTCAGAACCTGGGAGATATTTATTTGTCAGAACCTGGGAGATATTTGTCAGGACCTGGGAAATATTTGTCAGAACCTGGGAGATATTTGTCAGAACCTGGGAGATATTTATTTGTCTCTTGAACTTTGCATAACACTAAGGTTTCGGTATGATTTGATTCAGATTATAATTGACCTTTTGGCCAATATCACACCAGTAATATGTCCTTCTCTGTGCATTGGCACGTGATAAAAATCTGTCCTATTACAGTTGATATTAGTTTTATTCAGTTGTTTAAAGAGCTCCCTGACAGATTTTCCATTGTGGAGTTTATTTTTTTCTCTTTTAAGTACCTTGAGGAGATTTACTAATTAATGTGCATAAATAATCACATTTAATCTGAAAGGTTTTGCTTCTTAGATTCTTTTTGCATATGCCTTGCTTTAGAAGATGAAGAATCTCATCTCTCTTTATGGTTTAGAAAAACTGGGATAAACCCAAGCTTGCCACTTACAGGATTTTTGACAAAATATTGTCCTTGGGCCCAAAGGACTGGCATCACTGGTGAGCGCGTTAGAAATTCGGAAACTCAGCCTTGACCTCCGATTTCCTGAAGCAAAATCTGCACACTAGTTTATTGGACACATGAAAATTGGAGAGGCAGCTTCTAACTCACCATGACTTTTCTGCCTGCGAAATATACACAGCTTATTCATGTGACGTAAATGTAGCACTCAAAAATGGACATGCCTTTGTTGATGCCCTTAATGTTATACTTGTTATCAACCAGAAAAGTATTGTATATACACTGCTTATGTGGCTCTCAGGCAATTCTCTTTCCTCAGAGTTAGAGAGTATTCTTCTGCTAAGAATTACCTTATTGTATAATTTCAGTCACTTGTGTAAGTCAGAACCAGTTCTCTTCACTCGCTCATTTCACCTCGAATCAAGTATTTGTTATTGTTGTTGTTTCTTCTTCAGACTCTGTTGACGTTCAGGGATGTGGCCATAGAATTCTCCCTGGAGGAGTGGAAATGCCTGGACCTCGCTCAGCAGAATTTGTACAGGGATGTGATGTTGGAGAACTACAGAAACTTGTTCTCCGTTGGTGAGGATAACTTCAATACGTAGTTCCTCCTATGCCCTAAAGAGTTCCTTTCGTTCCTCTGCGGAATGTTTTTTGGGAGTTTCTGCGTTGCATGAATGAGTTTCAGATCCCTGCTTTTAAGAAAAACATGGGGAATAGTTGATGTAAAAAAAAAAAAAATCTTCAAAATGTGGTTCATCTTGACATAAACCTTCCTTTTTTTTCAGCTGATCTGTATCTTTCACTCTAGTGACAATTCCAGAAATTCAGTGGCATGAAATATTGTTGCCCACAACTTAAAGTCAAATTTCCACCACCAATTTTTTATGTCAGCAGTACTGAGTGGTGAAACTAAGAACCCACAGATTTAAAATACTTACTGAATATTCTAAAGGTGATGTCAGGAAGCATAATTTTGGGATTAATTTTCTAGAATCTTATATAATGTTCACTCTACTAAGCACAGTACAAGGTTGATAATTGGAGAATTTCAGCAAGAGTAATGTCACTTTTTTCTAATAAAACAGGTCTCACTGTCTGTAAGCCAGGCCTGATCACCTGCCTGGAGCAACGAAAAGAGCCCTGGAATGTGAAGAGACAGGAGGCAGCAGACGGACATCCAGGTGGGTGGGAATGAACGAAGCAGGTAACCCAGGTGAGAGGTCCAGAGGTCGAGGAGGAAGCCAGACCTTAAAATGTGGTTTGAGAAGCTCTGCCCTAGTGGAGATGGTTTCTGAGAGCCTGGGTGTCTTTCTCTTGCTGTACCCTAGGAGCGTCTTCTGTCTCATTCTCTCAAATTTTGTATAGACTCTGCTTCCTGTTTAGTGATCTTCCTTTATAAAGGTTACAGTAAAAATCAGAGTCCTCCTCCTGACGAGTAAGGGCCTGTGTGGTCTCATGGCGTGCTCCGCCACTGCTTTTGGGAACATGCCTGTACCTGCCTGTTTTTGAGGAACTCTGTTAAATGTTTTTTGATTTCCTTTGCATCATGTCTGAAGTGTGCGAGAGGCGTGGTGATGGTGATTGGTTCAGAAATCCCAGAAGTCCCGTAAACAGATGTTGTATGCTTTCTGCTTTATGATTTCGTATCCTACAGAGGTTTCAAATGGGAGTCTACAGAAATGTATACTCAGCAGTTTTCTCCGAACACTAGGCATCTGCCCAAATATGAGATAATCTAATGTTATTTTACTTCAACATTTTATTTTATTTTTTTTAGTATGAGCTGAGGTTGGTCATTTAAACTTTATATTCCCTAACTCCCAACTGTAATAGTTATAATATTATCATTTTATAATTTCTTCTTTTTTAGTATGAGGCTTATCAGGACTCTGTCATTCATATGTATGTATGTGTGCATATGTATATATGTGTGTATATATGTGTGTATATATGTGTGTGTATATATCATATATGTGTGTATATATAATATATCAACATATCCTTTTGAAATGATAGGATTTCATTCTTTTTTATGCTGGAGTAATATTCTGTTGTCTATTTAAATCATATTTTCTTTATCCATTCATGTATATATACACACACATATATACAGTGTGTCTATGTGGGCATATGTGTAACAGATTATTTTAGAAATAAAAATTGTGTATATATTGTGTACAATGTAATAATTTGATATGTGTATACGTTGTGAAATAATTAGTGCAATCACTTCAAGGAACAAATCTATCACTTCACGTAATTACCTTTTCTTGTAGTGAGAACAGTTAATGTCTACCGTTGGCAAACTTTAAGCATACAAAAGATTATTAATAGTATTCGTGAAGCTACTCATTAGATTCCCCAAACTTACTCATCTTACAACTGAAAGTTTGTACCTTTTGAACAACAGCTCATTTTCCCCAACTCCAGGCCCTGGCAACTGCCATTGTCCTCTGCTCCTGTGAGTTCAGCCACGACAGATTCCACGTCTGAGGGGGAACGTGCAGTCTCTGTCTTTGGGGCCTGGCTGAGTTTATTTAGCAGGATGTCCTTCAGGGTCATCCACGTGGTTGAATGACAGGATTTCATTCCTTTTTTATGGCTGAGTAATATTCTATTGTCTATTTATATCACATTTTCTTTATCCATTCAGCATCCGCAAACGTTTAGCTTGTCTTTATATCTTGACAATTGTGAATAATGCTGCAGTGAACATGAGGGAGCAGATAATTCTTCAAGATGCTGCTTTTATTCCCTTCAGTTATTATATACACAGAAGTGTGATTGCTGCGTTGCAGGGTAGGTTTATCTTTTTCTAACTTTTAAATAACGCCCCCCCACCCTGGTTTTCATAATGACTCTACCAGTTGAGAACTCTGAGCGTTCAGAATTGTTTTTTCTTTACATCCTTATCAACATTGTTAGTAGATTGGCGCAAAAGTAAGAGTATTTCTTACTATTTAGAAGGCAAAAACCACAATTACTTTTGCACAGCCCTAATATGTTACTTATTTTTGATATTAGCCATCCTAGTATCCAAAAGTTTGATTGTAAATTGTCTTTGGTGTCACAAGCTTTTTAGCTTAATGTACTCCATTTTGTTTATATTTACTTTTGTTGCTGTACTTTTGGTGTCGTGTCTAAAAAATGATTGCCAAGACCAATATCAGAGGTTTTCTCTCAGAGTTTTTAAGGATACATGTTTTACATTTTAGGCTTGATTTCAAGTTAATTTTTGAGTATGGTGTAAGAAAAATGGGCTATTTCATTATTTTGATTGCGGGTATTCTGTTTCTCCAGGACCAAGTGTTGAAGAGACTATACTGTCTGTATTGTATCTTCTTCGTGAACTTGTGAAAGATTAGTTAAGTGGATATGCATGAGTTTAATTCTGGGCTCTCTGTTCTGTCCCATTGGTCTCTGCGGCAGTTTTCCTCTCTGTTCGCATACCATCCTGTTCTTACTACTGTAGTCCTAAAATGTCACTTGAAAACAGAAAATATTATGCCTCTTGCCTTGTTCTTTTTCCTATAGATTGCTTTGGCTATGCCAAGTCTATTGTAATTCCATATAAATTTTAGAATTCTATTTTCATTACTGTGAAAAAGGCCACTGGAATTTGATAAGAAGTTTATTGAATCTATAGTCTTGGTCTTTAGCAGAATTTTACAACCCCCTCCCTGGATTACTAAGCTCTATTAAAGGCATTTTTGTGAGATGAGATCTCTCTGTGTCACCCAGGCTGGTTCTGAACTTCTGGCCTGAAGTGAGCCTCTCACCCCGAGGTCCTGAATAGTTGGGATTATAGGCATGAGCCGTGGTGCCTGATTCTCTTGGAAAGGCATTTCTGTACAAGAAGACTGACACATTTTTGTTGCTGTCGGGGAATATATAACCCAGGGTCCACCTATGTCACCATTTTTCTATGTCACTGTCCTGTACATTTTCACTTTCTCTTTTGTTCCATTTCAAATTTATCTCTAATTTCAAATTCTAATATGCAGAACAATATGCTAGAATTAATGTGTTATGTCTGAATTATTTAGTAAGCACTATTTGTTTGTTTGTTTGTTTGTTTTGAGATAGAGTTTTGCTCTTGTTACCCAGGCTGGAGTGCAATGGCGCGATCTCGGCACTGCAACCTCCACCTCCCAGGTTCAAGCAATTCTTCTGCCTCAGCCTCCTGAGTAGCTGGGATTTACACACAGGCATGCACCACCACGCCTGGCTAATTTTTTGTATTTTTAGTAGAGATGGGGTTTGTCCATGTTGGTCAGGCTGGCCTCGAACTCCCGACCTCAGGTGATCTGCCTGCCTTGGCCTCCCAAAGTGTCAGGATTACAGGCGTGAACCACTGCACCCGGCAAGCACTCCACATTGATTAAATTATCCTATTTCTTCAACCTGTATATAAATAATAATATGATTTATTCCCAGATGTTTATTTTATATATCAGTGACTCTCACCATATTTTACATAATTTATATTTTTCTCTTTATTTAGAAATATAAGGCTATTCCTTGCTTCTAAAAGTTGGATGGCAGCATTTTAAATTTGCATAAGAATAGCATCGGTATAGTAAACATATAATAAAAATTACCTTTAGTATCTCTTAGTCATTAAAATGTTCTCAGTAGAGTCTTTTCATAATGATTGTAGTGCATTTTCTGTGAAATGTTACTGCTGTCCACTGCATGCCAGTGACTCAAAATACCTAGTTTTCATGACTACACAGTCACAGTTGAATACTGTAGTTATCTAGGCAAATTCTTTTTTAATGGTACATCAATGTTTCATAGCAGATTTTATGACTAACATCTCTTAGTGTTTTGTAATTCCATATTACTGTTTTTATGGTTGAATAATATTCCTTGTATGTATATACCACATTTTTTCTGTGTGTTCATCACTTGAGGCTTCCCCCATTTGACTTTTCTGAATAGTGGTACAGTAAACATGGGTGTGCAAATATCTCTTCTAAGTCCTGAGTTGCTTTGTATACTTTTGATATAGATCTAGAAATGGGATTGCTGGATCATATAATTCCATTTTTAATTTTTTTAAGAAAATTATGCTTTTTTTTTTTTTTTTACACAGAGTTTCACTCTATCACCCAGGCTGTAGTGCAGTGGTGCCATCTCAGCTCACTGCAACCTCTGCTTCCTGGGCTCGAGCCTTCTTCCCACTTCAGCCTCCTGAGGACCTGGAACTACAGGGGCACACCGCCACACCCAGCTAACTTTTGTGTTTTTAATAGAGACAGGGTTTTGCCATGTTGCCCAGGCTGGTCTCGGACTCCTGGGCTCAAGTGATCCACCCGCCTCGGTCTCCCGAAGTGCTGGGGTTCCAGGTGTGAGCTGGTGTGAACCAGTGTGCCCGGCCTATGCTATCTTTCATCGTGGCTGCATCCTTTCTTTCCTACCAGCAGGTTACGTGGTTTTCAATGTCTTCACATCCTTGACAGGTCTGGATTTTTTTTTTTTACTGTGGCCATTCTAATAGGTGTGAGGAAATATCTTAATTGTGATTTTGTTTTGCATTTCTCTATAGATAAGTAATTTGAGCATTCATTCAAGGCTTGTTGGGCGTTTCCATATCTTTTTTGGAGAGATTTCAGTTAGTCCTTCATCTATTTTTAAATCAAATTATTTAATTTTTGTTGTTTAGTTGTAAAAGTTCCTTATATACTCTGAATATAAGGATACACTCCTATCAAATGTGTGATTTTTACCCATTTCTTAGGTGGTATTTTCACTTCACTCATTGTTTTCTTTGATTTGCAGAAAGTTTGAAGTTTGATGTAGTTCAGTTTTTCTGTTCTTTTGTTGCTTATGCATTTGCTGTCCTATATTTTCTTCTAAGAGTTTTATTCTTTTTTTTTTTTTTTTTTTGAGATGGAGTCTTGCTCTGTCGCCCAGGCTGGAGTGCAGTGGTGCGATCTCTGCTCACTGCAAGCTCTGCCTCCTGGGTTCACGCCATTCTCCTGCCTCAGCCTCCTGAGTAGCTGGGACTACAGGCGCCCGCCACCACGCCCGGCTCATTTTTTGTATTTTTTTTTTTTAGTAGAGATGGGGTTTCACCGTGTTGGCCAGGATGGTCTCGATCTCCTGACCTCGTGATCCACCCGCCTCGGCCTCCCAAAGTGCTGGGATTATAGGCGTGAGCCACCACACCCAGCCTATTCTATTTTTATGTTTTTCATTTAAAATATTTTTGTATATGGTGCAAGGAAAAGATACCACTTCATTTTTCCATGTAGATATCTGGTTTTTAACATTTGTTGAAAGGATTCTTTTCTCCATTGTGTGGTCATGGATACCTTGTGGAAAATTACTTGATTTTATCCACAAGGGTTTATTTCTGGGCTCTCTGCTTTGTTTCATCATTTAGTTATCTGTCTTTGTGTCAGTACCACATTGTTTTTATTTTCGTAGCTCTTTATATGTTTTAAAATCAGAAAGTGTAATGCCTCTTTGTTCTTTTTAAAGAATTTTGACTAGTTATTGTTCTTAAACTAATTTTAGCATTAAAAAATCAAAAAGTAGCTTTGGGAATTTGATAGAGATTACATTGAATGTGTACATTAGTGTGGGCAGTATTGACATCTTTAAAAAACTAAATTATCTGACCATTGAGCAAGAATGTGTATGTTCAAGGGTTTTAATTTCCATACATTTTTGGCATTGCCAGTTTTACTTTTGCTTTTGATTTCTAGTTTTATTACATTTTGGTTAGAAAACATGTCATGAGACTTTCATCTTTAAGAGTTGTTATTTGTTGTAACACAATGCACTATGTGTATTTGAGAATATTGTATATTCTGCTTCTTTGGACTGGAGAGTTCTATGCATGTCTGTTAAATTGATTTGGTCTGTAATGTTGCCCAAGCTTTCTTATTGATCTTCTGTGTAATTTTCTATTCTGTATTGCAAATGGGGTCTTAGAGTTGATAATTATTGTATTGCTGTGTACATCTTGCTTCACTTCTCTCCATATTTGCTTTATATATCTGGGAGCCCTGATGTTAGATATAAATATAGACAGATAAACAGTTACAGGTTCCTGGTTAATGTACGCATTTTGCCATTACATGCTATTAATCTTTATCTCCTGTGACAGTTCTGACTTACAGTGTATTGTGTCTAATATAAGGATAACCACCCCACCTGATTGTGGTTACTAATTGCATGGAATTTTTTTTTATTTTCACTTTCAGCCTATTTTACTATTTAAGGCTAGAGTCTTTTGTAGCTAGCATATTGTTCTTAATCCATTCAGCTATTTTATTTCTGTTCAATAAGTAGGTTAATTTATATTTAAAATAATTTCTGAAGGAAATGAAGTTACTATCACCATCTTGATTGTTACTGTTTTCTGTGTTTCTTGTAGATATGTTATCCCTCATTTCCTCTTTGACTGTCTTCATCGTTTGTTTTGTTGATTTTGTGTGGACAAGCTTTCATTCTTTTCTCATTGTGTTTTGCAGACCTTGTATAGGTATTTTCTTTTGGATCACCTTGAAAAATGGAGAGTACATAAAACACCTTAAAATTATAAATACAGATTTTAATCTCACAACTTCATTGAATACAAAAACTGTAACACCCTCCAGTGTGCTGTTAATGTAACAAATTATTATATATTTTGTGTCTGGTAGCAAAGATTTATGCAGATATTTTTTCAGATATTATAGCAGAATTTTGAATTTTTTACACCATCATTATGATAGTAAAGTATTATATATCTGCTTATATACCTTTAACAGAGTTTTATATTTTCATATGGTTTTATAATGCTGTCTAGCATCATTGTCTTTTTTAATACGATGAAGTCTTTTGAGTATTTTTTCTGTATTTTGTAGAGATTGGGTCTTGCTCTGTTGACCATGCTAATTCCTAACTCCTGACCTCAAGCAACCCTCCTGCCTTGGCCCACCCAAAGCTGGCATTATGGGCATCAGCCACCATGCCTACCCAACCTTTAGCATTTCTTGTAGAACTGTACTAGTGGTGGTGAACACCCTCATCTTTTTATTTATTTTGGAAAGTCTTTATTTTCCCCCTGTTCTTTTGAAGTGAAATTATTCTAGATCAAGTGTTCTTGGTTAGTAACATTTTTATCATACTGAAATTTGGAAAGTTAACAACCTTTTTTTCTTCAAATAATACCTCTACTGCTTTTCTGCTATGTATTTTTTGTAAGACTTCTTTCATGAATATGTTAGTTTAGATCATAGTGTTCAATAAATCCCATACTTTAGCTATTATATTTGTTTTACAGTTTTTTCTGTGTTTTATTTTTAAATCTGTGCTACATTCTGTTTTATTGGTCTATTTGTCTGCCTTTATACCAGTACCAAACTGTTTTAATTACGGTCGCCTTGTAATGTGTTTTGAAATCAGACAGTGTGATACCTCCAACATTGTTCCTCTGTTTGAAAATTGTTGGGTGCTTTACAGCCCCTTGAGATGTCTTAGGATTTTTAGGTTGTTGCTTTTATTTCTGCAAAAAGAGGATTCAAAATCTGAAAGAGATTGCCTGGAGTTTGTAGATTGCATTGGACAGCGTGAACATCTTTGCAATATTAAGTATTTCAACCTTTGAACAAGAGCATGCTCAAATGTGTTGTTTAATTTCCATATATTTGTGATTTTTTTTGTTTTTCTTTGTTATTTCCAGGTTCATTTCATTTTGGTCATATATAGTAATGCAGAAGACTTCAATTTTTTGAAATTTGTTAAGACTTATTTATTTGTTTAACAGGTGGCCTATCCTAGAGAATGTTTTCTGAGCTCTTGGGAAGAGTGTGTCTCCTGCTGTGTTGTGTGGAGTGTTCTCTCTATATCTGTGAGGTGGAATTGTTTTGTAGTGCTTTCAAGTCCTCTCTACAATTATTAAGTCTTGCTTTATCATTTATTACTGAAAGTGGGTTGTAGAAGTATGCCAATATTATATTGCTGTCTGTTTCTTGCTTTGATGCTGTAATTGTTTATAAAGAACTTGCAAAATTGAAGCAAAAAATAGCAGTATAATAGGAAGTTACTTCAATACCTAAATATATATACGAATATGCACCCACGCTTGTCATAGGTTCCCAGTTCATTCTCCCTTCTGTTACTGTTTTATGTTCTTGTTTTTTGTGAGCTCTGACTTAAAGTATGTTTTAGGAAGTATGACATTTTTTGACTTAAGATGTATTTTGCATAATACAATTGTAACCTCTTCTGCTCTCATTTCATTAACATTTGCATGAAATGTCTATTTCCATCTTGCCACTTTCAGTCTCTTTTTGTCATTAGATCTCAAGTGAATCTCTTGTAGGTCAGCTGTAGTTTGATCTTAGTTTGGTTTTAAATTATTTAGCATATGCCTTTTGATTGAGTAGTTTAGTTCCTAAATAAGCAATTTACTGAAATGAAAAGATGTACTTTAGCCATTGTATTTTTTTTACTTGATTCTTGTAGCTTTTTCTTTCTCTCTTTCCTTTTTGTGTCTTGTACTTTGTATAATAAGCTTTGACTCTTTTTAAATTTTCTTTTGTGTGTCTTATAGGTATTTTCTTTGTGGTTACCATGGAAATTATATAAAACATCTTAAAGTTACAACAAGGTATTTTACACTGGTAAATACTTAACTTTAGTTGTATACAAAAATTCTTTCTTATTAAATCTGCCCTCAACTTTGTTACTGATATCCCTAAATCATTTAATGTTGTATATCCATTAACAGTTATTTATGATTATTTTTCTACTTTCATCTTTCAAATTTTAGATAATAATTAAAAGTGATTTCTGCACCATCATTATAGTACCACAGAATTTTATTTTTCTGTATATGCGTATCTTTTCCATATATTTATTTTGATATGATTATATATTATTTTATAGCATCGCATTATTTTCAGTGGAAAGGACTCCTTTTACCATTTCTTGTTTGACATGTGTAGTGGTAATGTAGCCCTTGGTTATGTTAGAAAGCCTTTATTTTTTATGATTTTGTAGGACACTGGTTATATTATTCTTGCTTGGAAGTTTTGTGTTCAGCAATTAGACTATCTCATCCAATTCCCTTCTTGCTTCAGGTTGTACTTTTTTTGAGACAGGGATTTATTCTGTCACTCAGGCTGGAAGTGCAGTGGTGTGATCGTGGCTCACTGCGGCCTCCACTTCCCAGGTTCAGGTGATTCTCCCACTCCAGCCTTCTGAGTAGTTGGGACTACAAGTGTGCAACAGCATACACAGCTAATTTTTTTGTATTTTCTGTAGAGATGGGATTTCACCATGCTACTCAGGCTTGTCTTGAACTCCTGGGCTCAAGCGATCTGCCTGCCTCAGCCTCCCAAAGTGCTGGGATTACAGGTGTGAACCACCGTGCCCAGCCAGGCCTCAATGTTTCTGTGGACAAATTCACTGGTAATCTCCTAAGAGCATGTACCTTGCTTTTCACTTGCTGCTTTCAGGATTCTTTTCTCCTTTGACTTTGGAAACTGTGGTTATAATGTGTCTTATGTCCCTTTTTGTTTATACTAGTTGATGTGTTGAGCTTCTTGATTTTTTTGTATTTTTTTCTTACTTTTGAGAATTTCTCAGTAATTATTTCCTTTCATACCTCAGTTTCTCAGTCTGTTTTTCATACTTCATGTCTTTTTATTGGTATCCTTATTTTCCTAATTTTACTTAGTTTGCTGTTTTGCCATTTTTACTCATTGAGCATTATTCAAATGGTAATTTTATTTTCTTCAGTTAATTTATGCATCTCCATCATTTTAGGGTTGATTTCTGAACTTTTTTTATTTCTTTGATTATGCCATGTGACCCTAATACTTTGTACATGTCATCTTTGACTGAGATTCAGGCATTAACAACAAGCCTCCTGCCACAACCTTTATAATGTGCCTTTCTCCTGGGGTCATCTAAAACAAATAGGCCCAGATTCTAGAGGCCTCTTAAGCCTGTTCTGGGATGTGTCTTGTGTGGAATTGTGTGTGTATTTTTCATTTAAAGAGGGTTTCTCAGCTTTCTTTGTAGTGCCCTGGAATCACACAATACACTTGTCGCCTGGTGCTGCTGCTGCAGCCTTCCTACCGCTGTCATGGGTATTTCCTTTCGGTCTCAGCAGACCCAGCCTGTCACTCAGAGTACCACCATTTCTCTCAGCACTCCGTGTCACAGGGGGCAGAAACCAATCTTTGCCAAAGCTTCAAAAGGCCAAAAGTAAAAACACTTGTGCCAGTATTTGCTTTCTCTTTTGAAGGAGAAGCCAAGAGCTGAGGGTGTACTCTTAAAGGCATGATGCTATACTGCGGAGGAGCGGGGGCTGCAGTGGGTAAACGTAACAGACTGTTTTTCTTCTTATCTGGCTCCTAGCACTGTGCTCACCTGGGGTGCTGCAAACTGTGAAATGGTTTTTAGAGTTCAGATGCATCTTCTCACTAGGTATTGTTACATTTATATGTTTATACAGAAATTAGGGCCTGTGGTATTTTTTATGCCATTTTGCTAATGTACCCAGTATTATTTTATAGATTAGATTCATAAAGTGTATTCATCTGTGTCTAGTAAGTCGGATAACTTTTTTTTTTTTTTTCAGCTATGTCTTCTCATTTTACCCAAGACCTTCTGCCAGAGCAGGGCATACAAGATGCATTCCCAAAAAGAATACTGAGAGGATATGGAAATTGTGGCCTTGATAATTTATATTTAAGGAAAGACTGGGAAAGTTTAGATGAGTGTAAGTTGCAAAAAGATTATAATGGACTTAACCAATGTTCATCAACTACCCATAGCAAAATCTTTCAATATAATAAATATGTTAAAATCTTTGATAACTTTTCAAATTTACATAGACGTAATATAAGTAATACTGGAGAGAAACCTTTCAAATGTCAAGAATGTGGCAAATCCTTTCAAATGCTCTCATTCCTAACTGAACATCAGAAAATTCACACTGGAAAAAAATTCCAAAAATGTGGAGAATGTGGCAAAACCTTTATCCAGTGCTCACACTTTACTGAACCTGAGAACATTGACACTGGAGAGAAACCTTACAAGTGTCAAGAATGTAACAACGTCATTAAAACTTGCTCAGTCCTTACTAAAAATAGAATTTATGCCGGAGGGGAACATTACAGATGTGAAGAATTTGGCAAAGTATTTAACCAGTGCTCCCACCTTACTGAACATGAGCATGGTACTGAGGAAAAACCCTGCAAATATGAAGAGTGCAGCAGTGTCTTTATCTCTTGCTCAAGCCTTTCTAATCAACAGATGATTCTTGCTGGAGAGAAGCTCTCCAAATGTGAAACATGGTACAAAGGTTTTAACCACAGCCCAAATCCTTCCAAACACCAGAGAAATGAGATTGGAGGGAAACCTTTCAAATGTGAGGAATGTGACAGCATCTTCAAGTGGTTCTCAGACCTTACTAAACATAAGAGAATTCACACTGGTGAGAAACCATACAAATGTGACGAATGTGGGAAAGCCTATACACAGTCCTCACACCTCAGTGAACACAGGAGGATTCACACCGGAGAGAAACCCTACCAATGTGAAGAATGTGGGAAGGTCTTCAGAACTTGCTCAAGCCTTTCTAACCATAAGAGAACTCATTCTGAAGAAAAACCCTACACGTGTGAAGAATGTGGCAACATCTTTAAGCAGTTATCAGACCTCACTAAGCATAAGAAAACCCATACTGGAGAGAAGCCCTACAAATGTGACGAATGTGGAAAAAACTTTACCCAGTCCTCCAACCTTATTGTACATAAGAGAATTCATACTGGAGAGAAACCCTACAAGTGTGAAGAATGTGGCAGAGTCTTCATGTGGTTCTCAGACATTACCAAACATAAGAAAACCCATACTGGAGAGAAACCCTACAAATGTGACGAATGTGGAAAAAACTTTACCCAGTCCTCAAACCTTATTGTACATAAGAGAATTCATACTGGAGAGAAACCCTACAAGTGTGAAAAGTGTGGCAAAGCCTTCACCCAGTTCTCACACCTGACTGTACATGAAAGCATTCATACTTGAGAAAAAAATAAACAAATATAAAAATAGGCAAAGCCGTTAGTATCTGCTCGCATCCCACTTTACATCAGAGTTCAGACTTAATAAAGTTATCATAAATGTAATTACTATTGAAAGACCTTTCATGAAATATAAGTCTCCAGAGCACACAAGAGTATTTCTTCTGAAAAAAATGTTACAATTATACTAGATGGAAGACTTGCATCAGTTGCTTAAACTTTCAGAAAATTTGTAGAGAAACCCAACAAATCTCATAAATGTGGAATAACATTTGTTCAAAAATGATAGCTTAGAAAACACTAGAGTTCATACTAAAAGATATTTTGCAAATACACTAAATGGGAAAAATAAGCAAGGACACGTTCAGAAATGACACTGAATCCCTGTGTTGAGTCTACAGAGACATCTAGACTTAAAATAGATCATTTATATTTAAGTTTAAAAGGAGGATGAGACTGAGTTTTTGTAGAGTTATAATTACATTCAAAATATACTTTTTTGCATTGAAAAAATGTTAAATTTTTGAAAAGCGAATATTGATGTCATTCTATTCTCAAATCAGTAGATGCTGTGTCTTCATTTCTAGTGCTGATGTGAAAACACATGGTCAGTTGTTGCTGCGTCAGAGATATGAGAAATTCTTTTCTCTTAGGTGTGCATCACTGATATACTTGTCCGTGAAAGGTGAAAGACACTGAAATGTAAGATGCGTGAGTAAAATCTTGGTAGAGAGGCTCTTTGTGGTTGTTTTATATACTTGTAAGTGATTTATGAGATAGGTGTTTAGAATAATACTCTTCTGTTAGGGTCACCCTGATCAGACCGTTCCCTTCCCCTCCCACAGGACTTACAATACGGTCCCTTGTGCTCTCTGCACAGCTACCCCAGGGCAAAAAACAAACCCCCCTTCACTGATCCCTCCAGTAACTGTGCAGACAGTTACAGGATGCGGTTAACATGTCTGTTCACCTCGCATAACAAAGCTGGCAAAAAACATCTCCAGGATGCAGACAAGACACCTGCACCCTCGACTAAGCTCCCCCACCCCAACCCAGTTCTCCTGCACCCCCAACTCAGCTCCCGCACCCCGACCTAGTTCTGGCCCTATAAAAACCTGCTATAGTCTGTAAGCAGGGCTGCCTCCTCTAACTGTGGTGGAGCAGCCAAGCAGCTCAATAAAGCTTGCTTGCCTGACTTTGGGTCTCTTCATCCTTTCTCTTGGCTGACCTTACATTTCTGGTGCCGAAACCCGGAAAGGTGATAGAGTTCGGCCTCCCTTTCTCCCTTTCTCTTTCTCTCCCTCCTTCCCCTGGCTGAACTCCCCCTTCCAGAACCTGCTAGAGACCCAAGGATCTCATACATACTTTCCATTGCTGGCGAACACATCCAACACCAGGGCCTCCTCAGGGTTGAGTAAAGGAGACTTTCGCCTTGTGTCTGGAACCCTTGTCTGCTCTTTCCTTCCTAAAAGACCCAGCACTGGGCCAAGGGTTTCCTCCTCCTGGCCTCCAGGAGGCCCTCGATATCTCCTATCAAGGATGCCTGAACTGGGGATTATCGCACTTCTCCGACTTGAACTGTGGGACAAGGGACGCGTTCTCCCACCATTCTAGTCTCCGGCCAAGTCTCCCATCTCTACCCCTCCCTTTCTCATTCCACTATGGGAGCCTTCCAATCCCCTCCCTCAAAGACATCCCCGCTTCGGGTGCCTCCTCCATCATAACCTTAATGCCCTTAGCCTCCATTCCGAAATTCAGCCAAAAAAAAACCTCATCTTTTATTGTAACACCGCCTGGCCACAATATAAACTAAACAATGGCTCCCAATGGCCTGAAAACGGCACTTTAAATTTCAACATTCTCAGGTACCTAGACAACTTCTGCCATCGCAATGGAAAGTGGTCAGAGATTCCTTATGTTCAGGCTTTCGTTTGCCCTCCATAGCCATCCCTCCCTCTGTCAGTCCTGCTCTACTTTCCAAATCCTCGCCTGCTCCAAACCTGACCCATCCTCAGACCCCCACCCCCGTCACCGCTCCTCCCAATGATTCTTCCTTCTTTGATCCTGCCAACTTTTCCCCAACAGCACCGTAATCCTCCCCCAAATCATCACAATCCTCCACCATACAATCCCGCTCCTGCCTTCGTTCTCTTCCTCTCTCCAACCACCCAGCTTCTGATTCTGATTCTTCCCCATCTCCACCTCATACCCGCTCTCAGACTCAGCATGCCCAACACTCGGCCCCCTTACTTCCCCTCTGAGAGGTGGCTGGGGCTAAAGGAGTCGTTCGCGTCCACATTCCCTTCTCCCTCTCTTAACCTTTCGCAAATTAAGAAACATCTCAGGTCCTTTTCCTCCAATCCTGACACTTATATCAAAAAGCTCAAATACCTCACCCAATCTTACAGACTCACTTGGCATGATCTCTATATTATCCTCTCTTATACTCTCCTCCCAGAAAAAAAAAAAAAGAAAAGAAAAGAGTGGCTTGCAGCTCAGGCATGCCAATGATCTTCATCCACAAGACCGTACTAAGCCCATAGGGGCTGCTGCAGTTTCCTGGGAAAAACCCTCCCGGGAGTACCAACCCACAGACCCCAGCCGGGCATCTCATAACCACATGATCACTTGCCTTATCTCAGGTCTTAATAAAGCTGCCCATAAGGCTGTAACTTTGAAAAGCTCAAAAAAGTCTCCCAAAGGGCCGACAAAAATCCCACCAAATTTCTTTCCCACCTTACAGAGGCCCTCCAAAAATACACCCATGTTAACCCCACCTCCCAGGAAGGTCTGCTTCTGACTTATGGCGCAAGCTCAAAAAGGTAGAAGACAGCCCTCAAACCCCTCAACGAGACCTCCTTAACCTGGCCTTTAAGGTCTTCAGCAACAGAGATGAGCAAAATAAATTAGATAAAGCCCAAGGAGATTGTGCCAAGTACCAGCTCCTAGCAGCAGCTATTTGTCAGCCTACTCGGGCTGCCCAGGGGCACAATAGACCCCATAGCAGTGACCCTCCTGGGCCCTGTTTTAAGTGCTGCAAAGAAGGTCACTGGGCCCGAGCATGCCCTAACCCATGATTGCCAAAAACTCCTTGCCCAGCCTGCCAACAAACTGGTCACTGGAAGTCTGATTGTCCTCTTAACAAGCAGACTAACAGGCCGGTTCCTCAAGGCCCTGGCAAAACGAAGAGTGAAGAGTCACTCCCACTCCCACAGCTCCTTGTCCTGGCCACTGAAGATTGACAGAGCCCAGGGCCCCCGGCCCCATCTGCCGTCACTGCATCGGAACCCAGGGTAACTCTGCTAATGGCAGGTAAGCCAGTCTCTTTCTTAATTGATAGTGGGGCCACCTACTTGGTTTTACCTGAATCTTTAGGACCCACTTGCCCTTCCCAGGTCTCTGTTGTAGGGGTTGATGGACTGGTCTGGTGTCCACGTGCTACTGAATTATTTATTTGTTCCCTGTTTAATACTGCTTTTTCACACTCCTTCCTTATCATGCCTCATTGCCCCACCCCAATGCTAGGCCAAGACATTTTAACCAAATTCAAAGCTTCTATCATGTTTTCCTGTCCCCCTCAACCAGAGTCCCTCCTGCTCCTCTCTGCTAGTCTGGCCCCTGAACCCCACTCCCCAGCACCCGCTACCCGCCTCCCTCATTAACCCAGTAGTGTGGGACACCATCACCCCTTCCATAGCTGCTCACCAGGACCTCATCAAAATCCAGTTAAAAGACCCCTCTAAATTTCCCAACATTCCCCAATACCCCACTTCCCTAACACACCAAAGGACTTACAACCCATCATAAGCTCTGCTCACACAGTCGTCTTAGACCAACACTCCATATAACAACCCCATCCTCCCTATTAAAAAATCTGACAGCTCATACCAACTCGTTCAGGACCTCCGAGTTATCAATCAGGCTGTCCTCCCTATTCATCCTGTAGTCCCTAACCCCTATACACTTCTCCCTCTCATCCCCTCCAGCACCACCCACTACACCACAATTGACCTGAAAGATGCCTTCTTCACCATTCCCCTACACCCCGATTCCCAAAACCTCTTTGCTTTCACCCAGACTGACCCCAACACCCTCCAGTCACAACAACTCACGTGGACTGTCCTCCCTCAGGGCTTCCAGGATAGCCTTCTTTTCTTCGGGCAAGCCCTAGCCCAAGACCTTGCCTCCTTGGATCTTTCCCCCAGCCGCCTTCTTCAATATCTAGATGACCTCCTTCTCTGTAGCCCCTCCCTAAAAAACTCCCAAACTCACACTGCCACCCTTCTGAATTTCCTTACTAATAAAGGCTATAGGGTCTCCCCTCTAAAGAACAGCTTTCCACCCCTACCGGGACCTACTTAGGAGTTCAACCTTCCCCCAGGTCTCGAGCCATGACCCCGGCATGGGCAGCCTTAATAGACAGTCTATCTCCACCTTCTTCAAAAAACTAAATCCTTTCCTTCCTAGGGCTAACAGGCTTTTTAAAAATATGGATTCCCAACTTTGCCCCCCTAGCTCACCCCCTTTATAAAGCAGCCAAAGGCCCCCTCAATAAACTCCTAAACTCCTCACATAACATACTCCCCAACTTCCGCAAACTCCAAACCACTCTTATCACTGCACCGGCTCTGTCCTTACCTAATATCTCCCAACCTTTCACTCTCTATACTGCCAAAAAACCAAAGAATAGCCCTTGGTGTCTTAAGACAACAAAAATAAAATCCTCCTTCCTTTTCTCCTGTAGCCTGCCTCTCTGAACAACTCAACAACACAGTCAAAGGGTGGCCAACCTGTCTTACAGTACAGCAGCAGCAGCAGTTTTAGCTCTAGAAAGCAAGATGCTAACATTCAGCCCAAATACCACCATCTACAGTCCTCATAATCTACATCTCCTCTCCTCCCAAGCATTAAGTTCTCCTCCTCCTTCCCAGATTCAATTACTCCATGCCCTCTTTATCAAAAATCCCAAATTCTGCCTTGCCAAAAGTGCTCCCCTCAACCCAGCATCCTTACTCCCCATATCCTCTTCCCTTCCTACTCATTCTTGCACTGACATCCTAGACCACCAGCAGCCACACTTCCCAAACATTTCCTCCAAGCGTCTCGCCAACCCCAATGACCAGCTATTCATAGATGGCTCCTCTTCCAGGCCCGCTGGCTCCTCCAGAATTGCTGGATATGCAGTTGTTTCTCTTGACCAAGTAATTAAAGCCAGGCCCCTACCTTCAGGAACCTCCCCCAAAAAAGCAGAACTTACAGCTCTCACCAGAGCCCTAACCCTTTCCAAAGGCAAACAAGTCAACATTTATACAAACTCCAAAGATGCCTATCACATCCTTCATTCCCACGCTGCCATCTGGCAAAAGAGGATTCCTTACTGCCAAAGGAACCCTCATCACTAACAGCTCCCCTTATTTACCAGCTACTTCAGGCTGCACACCTTCCAACCAAAGCAGGACATCAAACAGGTTCAAATAAAATCTCAAAAAGAAGCACGAAAGCTGATAAGGCAGCAAAGAAGCTCTCCCTTTCTTCTCCCCCTGGCTCTCTCCTCCTCATTACCCCTACAATCCAACCCCAGAATTCCCCACTAAAAAAAGGGCTCACTACTACAACAAGGAACCTCCTTCGAAAGCAACTAGATAATCAAAAACTCATCCTCCACCAAAAACAAACCAAAAAAAAAAAAAAAATTCTAACATCCCTTCACCAATCTTTCCACGTTGGTGTGCACCCCCCGTACCTTCTCCTTTGCCTATATTTCTCTTCCCCCGACCTATTTACCTTATTAAAAAACATAACCTCAAACTGTCATATATGCTCTGTCACTTCCTCCCAAGGGACCCTCCGCTCTCCATCTATTCCTACACACCAGTTAAGAGGATCCTCATTATCATATTTCCAGGCACTCTCTACAGACTTACAGGCTTTCCTGAAAAAAAAAAAATTGTAGACTATTACCCACCTCCAAAACCAACTAGACTCCCTAGCAGCAGTTACCCTACAAAACCGCAAAGGCCTTGATTTGCTTACTGCAGAAAAAGGAAGTCTCTGGATCTTCCTAGATGAGGAATGCTGCTTCTATTTCAATCAGTCAGGCCTGGTTCAGGGTGCAGTCAAACAACTAAAAGACCAAGCCCTCCCCCGCACTCACAGAAAAAAGAAAAATCACCTCCTCTGCCTGGCCCTCTTGGCCCCCTTGGTCTCTCAGCTCTTAGGCCTCCTGGTTACTCCCACTCCTAGGACCCGTCCTAACCATTCTCCTTCCAGTCTTTGGGCCCTGCCTCTTACGTCTCTGTACCCAGTTTTTACGGAACCGCGTCCGAGCTTTCACCCACGGAACCATGAAAGACATGACGCTACTGCAAGAATACCGGCAATTTCAAAACCAGTACCAGGACCAACCCCTACCTTCCAGCCTTCCCCCTAAACACTGCCCCCTCTCAGCTTGAAGTAGCCAGGCGAAAAATGGCGTCCCCTTTCCTATCATCGATTAAAAGGCTAAAATGTTAGGGTCGCCCCGACCAGACCACTCCCTTCCCCTCCCACAGGCCTTACAATACAGTCCTTTGCGCTCTCCGCACAGCTACCCCAGGGCAAAAGACAAATCCCCCTTCACTGACCCTTCCAGTAACTGTCCGGACAGTTACAGGATGCGGTCAACATATCTGTTCACCTCGCATAACAAAGCTGGCAAAAAAACATCTCCAGGATGCGGACAAGTCACTTGCACCCCTGACTCACTCAGCTCCCCGACCCTGACCCAGTTCTCCTGCACCCCCAACTCAGCTCCCCAACCCCGACCTGGTTCTGGCCCTATAAAAGCCTGCTATTGTCTGTAAGCGGGTCTGCCTCCTTCAACTGTGGTAGAGCAGCCAAGCAGCTCAGTAAAGCTTGCTTGCCTGACTTTGGGTCTCCTCATCCTTTCTCTCGGCTGACCTTACACCTGCATTATAGGAAGAGGGAAACATTTTGAATTTTATAAATTAATAGTTTTACCAGTATTTTGTTAAGGTAATATACCATAAATTTTGAAATGCTTTTTAAGATTCTATGTGAACTTCATTTGTTTTTAATTAAACACAACTGTGTTAAACGTGTTAAGCCTGCGGTTCATAGAATAAAGGGTTATCCTACCAAAAACCAATTCCATGTTAGTGGAAGATGTCGATAACAGATGGTGACAAGGTGCTACTGGGTGGCATAGTGGAATAGCATCTCCCAGGGATTTTTTAAAATCCTTTCCCTCTTTTTGTAACTACAGAGTCACTATTATTGCTATAATAAATATTATACAGGTGTATAAATAAAATACGTATATTTCTGAGTATTTTTAAATTTTTTCCTATAGTCTTTGTTGGATGTACAACTTCTCTGCCCTGCAGAGCACATAGATTCAGCTTTGATTTACATGGAGTTAAATATACAAATATATTACTGTAAAGATAAACTAGGCTGGACATGGCGGCTCACATCTGTAATCCCAGCACTTTGGGAGGCCAAGATGGGAGGATCACTTGAGCTGAAAAGTTTAGGACCAGCCTGGGCAACATAGTAAGACCTTGTCTCCACTATAGATTTTTTAAAAATTAGCTGGGAGCGGTGGTGCACACTTTCAGTCCCAGCTACTCAGGAGGCTGAGGTGGAAGGACCACGTGAGCCTGGGAGATCTCAAGGTTGCAGTGAGCTATGATCATGCCACTGCACTCCAGCCAGGGCAGCAAAGCGTGCCTTGTCTCAAAAAAAAAAAAAAAAAAAAAAGAACAAAGCAAACACAATAAAGATGGAGCAAGTAATTGTGTGAGTGTGAGTGTGGGTGTCTACCTATTTTGAAGGTACACACAACAAAAAAATAAGATTGGATTGAAACAATTTTAATAGTCTTGATAATTTACTAGAAAGCTGTAAACCTCAAAGATTTAGAAAGAAACCTCTATTCTCTCCTTTGTATTGAATTCATTTCTGTAAAATATTCTGGCTCCTTGTTCAGAATCTCCTCATGCAAACCCTCTGTTTTTACTTGCCTGTTATTCATGCTGGACCTCACATCGAATGTTCCTATCCCATTGTTCATGCAGCATTATTTCCATGACCTGCCCAGGGATGAGAAGAAGAATATCTGTAAAACTTAGTGATGCTCCCCAAATCATTTCCAGATGTGAGTAACTTCACAATGAGTATATTAATTTATATTTTTATTTAATTAGTACTTTTTTCTTTCGGTTAGAGAACCCGGTTTAAGCCTATTTTTCTTTGATTATCCTTTTGACTTTTATAATGGACATAGTTGAGTTTATGTACTTTATTGGGCCCACTTGTTCAGGTAAACACTGGGGATGCTTCATAAGTTGTTGGGCTTTGATGTATAAATGAAGTAAACAAATATAATGCTAGGCGAATAACATACTTCATAATTAGAAGTAAATAATTCTGTTGAAGTGAGTTTGTGTCTTCAGGTTAGAGACTGAAAACATCCATGGTGAAGAAATGGTATTAATTTTGCATGTGGAGAGAGGACATCTGTTCCCAGGCTACACAACTGGCTTTCTCCAAACGTATGAAGAGGAATTCCACTTGTTTTATTTTCTAATAATCTTCAGCTTTCTGCTGTCTCTTTTCATCCCTAATTGTGCATTGATCACAGCCCTTCTTTGCCTGTCTTACGGCTACAACTTTCTCACTGTTTTCCCCACCTCACATCGCTCCACATAGCACTTTGCAGGTTCTGAGGAGAGGTTTGGAATTTTCTAATGTGGTGAGAAATTGCTTTTCACTGGAGTGTTTGAGGCCATTTATAGCTATGAATACAACATTTGGATCACTTAATTGGGACAAGAGCCGTGCACTGTCTGCTGGCCAGAAAATTCAATCGGTCAGTTAGCATTGCCTGGATTTATTTGTAAAAGGTAGATGTTATTAAGTCCTAACACAGTGTGGTTACTATAACATTAGTTTGAATAGTAAAAGCATTAATACCAGTGGGTTGTATATGGTAAGCACTGTATTAAGAAACTTCAAATTTTGAAATGTCTTAAGAGAAAATATATTTTGAAATAATTTTTAGGAGAGTTTATGGTAACTAAAAAGTTTTACATTTTCTGTGAAATACTTATAGCACAATGTATGTTGTCATGCAGAATGTATTTTTGAGTGTAAGTGGAGCAACAGGAGAATGACCTCTGTGGACTTAAGATTTTGAATGGGTGGGGCGTGGTGGCTCACGCCTGTAGTCCTAGCACTTTGGGAGGCCGAGGCGGGCAGATCACCTGAGGTCAGGAGTTCGAGACCAGCCTGGCCAACATGGTGAAACCCCATCTTTACTAAAAATACAGAAATTAGTTAGGCATGGTGGGGGTCGCCTGTACTCCCAGCTACTTGGGAGGCTGACTCATGAGAATTGCTTGAACCTGGGAGGTGGAGGTTGCAGTGAGCTGAGATCACACCACTGCACTCCAGCCTGGGTGACAGAGCAAGACTCTGTCTCAAAAATTAAAAATAAAAAATGAAATTTTGAACGATCTTTCCTTTCCAGATATTGGAATCATGGAGGATTTTTCAGTTTCATGTCATAGTATTTTCCTATACTGTAATCTGTGTAGTTCACAGTTTACAGTCCTCAGTCTTAGCTACCTAGCTGTATCTAACTCATTGGTCATTGTTTCTAGATAAATCTCTGGAGTCCTGGCAGCTTCTGAATTTAAATATTTGCCTGTGAGTTGGAATGTAAACCTGTTTTCTGTGTTCATAGCGTAGCTAGTGGTGGGACTGTTAATGCCACCTGCGTCTTTAGTATTTTCCATTCCATCAACATGAGTACCAGAAACTCTAGGAGTCCTTGGGTTAAAGGCGCCTGCCCTTTCCTGTGCTCTGTGCTGGGTCCTGCAAGTGCTGTAAAAATACAGAGTTTCTATGCTTATGGCTGACAAAGGGTAGAACAAACACTTCACGAGGCCGGGTGCGGTGGCTCATGCCTGTAATCCCAGCACTTTGGGAGGCCGAGGAGGGTGGATCATTTGAGACTGGGAGTTTGAGACCAGCCTGGCCAACATGGCAAAATCCCCATCTCTACTAAAAATACAAATATTAGCCAGGTGTGGTGGTGCGTGCTTATACGCCCAGTTACTCAGGAGGCTGAGCCACGAGAATCACTTGAACCTGGGAGGCAGAGGTTGCAGTGAGATGAGATTGTGCCACTGCATTCCAGCCTGGGCAACAAAAAACAAAACAAACAAGAGAACAAACCCAAACCTTCACAAAAACTATATATTTTTGATACTGTTTAGCTCAGCTTATGACTAAGAAAGAGACTTCATTATTTGGAACATTGCTAGCCTTCTATAATGTTTATTTATTCTTTTAATTGACATAAAAGTGTATATATCATGTAAAATATGATGTTTTGAGGTATATACGTGTCAAGTGCTTTATTCTAGTTAATTATCATATGCTTTACCCCATATAATTTTTTATGTGGTAAGAACTAAACATTTGACTGTCTTCTCATTTTTAAAAACACAATACATCCTTGTTAAGTATAGTCAACATGCTGTACAATAAATCTCTCAAATTTAGTCATCCTATCTCACTGTAATCATGTCTTAATTTGACAATCAACTCCCCAAACCCTCTGCCCTCCTAAAAACCCCTGCCTCTGGTAACCATAATTCTACTCTCTACTTTAACAGGTGAACTTGTTTAGATGTCACATATGAGAACATATGGTATATTTCCTTCTACACCTGGTTTCTGTAAATTAACATAATGTGTTTCAGGTTCATCCGTGTGATTGGAAATGAAGGGATTTGTCACAGAATTCATGATTTCGGTACATTTGGGGTGATTTTTATATCATGACTATAGTAAATAGTGCTGCAGTAAACATGGGCATGGAAATGTCTCTTCAACACACTGATGTCCTTAAAAATATATATATAAACAGTAGTGTGATTGCTGTAACAAATGGTGGCTCCATTTTTAATTTTTTTGAAATCTTCATTCTGTTTTCCAGAATGGCTGTACCAATATACATTCCCATCAACAATGTGCAAGCCTTCTCTTTCTTCACACCTTTATCAACCCTTGGTTTGTTTTTGTTTTTGTTTTTGTTTTTTTGTCTTTTTATTAATAGTCATTCTGAAAGGAGTGAGTTGGTGTCTCACAGTGGTTTTGATTTGCTTTTCCTGGATAATTATTTATGTTTAGCATTTTCAAATTTATCTATTTGTTATACGTATGTCTTCTGAGAAATGTCTAAGTTTTTTCCTCATTTTTAGTACTTACTTGTTTTCGTTGTACAGCTGAGTCTCTTACATATTTTGGATATTAACCCCTTGTCAGATTTATAATTTTAAAATATTTTTCCATTCCTAGGTTATCATTCCATTGATTGTACGTGGTGCTGTGCAGAAGCTTTTTAGTTTGAAGTAATCTCATTTGTCTACATTTACTTCTATTTCCTGGCATTTGGAGGTTAAATTCAAAAAATAATTGCCCAAACCAATATCGTATTTTCTTTTCCCTTATGTTCTCTTGTAGTAGTTTCAGACTTTCAGATACTACATTCAAGTCTTTATTTCAAGTTGCTTTTTATATGTGGTGTGAGATGTGGGTCTCACTTCTTTGTTCTGTATGTGGATGTCCATTTTTTTCCCCAGCACCATGTATTAAAGAGTTTGTCCTTTAACCATTGTACGTTCTTGTCACCTCAGTTAGCTGTAAATGCATGGATTTATTTCTGGGATCTCTATTCTGCTCTATTGGCCTATGTGTCTTTTTATGCCAGTACCATACAGTTTTGCTTATTGTGGCTTTGTAGTATATTTCAAAGGCAGATTCTGTGATGCCTTCAGCTTTGCCCTTTTTTTATACTCAATTATTTTGACTATTGATGGTTTTCTTTTGTGGGACAAGATGAATTGGGGTATTCCTTTTGTATGTGGAGAATGTCACTGGTAGTTTGATAGGGATTGCATTACACCTGTAGATCATTTTATGTAAGATAGACATTTTCACAATATTAATTCTACCAATTTGTGAATAAAGAATATCTTTCTTTTTATTTGTGTTTTACTTAATTTAATTTCTTTTATTTCAAGCAGAGTCTTCCTTTGTGAGGCTGACGTAATCCTCCCACCTCAGCCTTCTGAGTAGCTGGGACCAGAGCTGCATGCCACCATGCCTGGCTAACTTTTAAAATTTTGTAGAGATGAGGTCTCTGTTTTGCCCAGCCCAGGTCGGGGAGCGGAGGGATGTTGGAAGAAAACGGGCACCTCCAGGAATGTCCACTGTGAGGCACCACCCACCAGGGCCGGGGATTGGTGGAGAGGGAGGATAAAGCCCCAGGGTTGCTGACGCAGCTCCCAGACAGGAGCTGGTTTGGTGGAAACCAGAGCCCTGGTCTCCCTCCAACTGCTCCGGAGCCTCCCGCTACTCTACCCCATGCGTCCTGCTGCTCTGCTGATCGACTGTCCCACTGACCTGTAGCTGAACCTCCCACCAGGGCTTGAGGACTTAGTTTGAACTGGTTCCTTTCCCAGACCCCTTTCTCCTCCACCTCCTCCTCCTCCAGGTGCCCAACAGCCCCCCTTCAGTCCCCTCCCCTCCTCTCCTCTCCCTTCCCTTCCCCAACTGCGATCCCATCCCCATCCCCATCCCTATCCCCTTCCCTCCCCCAGCCCTAAGCCACCCCCACCTGTGCCCTGGCCACCTCAGGGCGCCCTGAGAGGACCAGGACATGCGGCTGCGGTGGCTGCTCTTTTGGTTCCTCGTGCTGGGGTTTCCCAGCCATCAGTCCAGCCACGTGAGTACACTATGGACCCGCGGGGTTCCTTCCTTTTCGTTGGGCTGTCACGGGGCATGAAATAACACAGCTCACGCCCATAATCCCAGCACTTTCGGGGCCCAAGGTGGGCAGATCGCTTGAGTCCAGGAATCTGAGACCAGCCTGGGCATCATAGCAAAACCCCATCTCTACAAAAAATTCAAACAATTAGACGTGGCAGCGAGCGCCTGTAGTCCCAGCTACTTGAGAGGCTGAGGTGGGACGATCGCTTGGCCCCAGGAGGTGAGGGTTGCAGTGAGCCAGGATCGCCCCACTGCACTACAGCCTTGTCAACAGAGTGAGACCTTGTCTCATACAAAACGAAGTGAAATGTCATTTGAGTTCTGTGTCATCTGGTTTGATGACTTTCTAGGAACTTCTGAGTCATCTGTGTCTTCTGCTCTTGGGAGCTGCCTCCAGGGAGTCCGTGTCCAATCAGAGTGATGGGGCCCCAGAAGCCCATCGGATGGGAGAGAAAAGAACTGCACCCTGCTGGGATGTTTGCAATGCGGAGTCACCAGGAGTGACATGACCAGGATGTGAATGAGGACTCTATTGTCCTTTGTTCTGTAAAACGTGTCTTGTGCAGATGGTTGATTTACCCAAAGCAGAAAGGGTCTTAAAGTCCTTATAATTGTCCAAATGGAAAGAAATCACAGGTTTCTACTTTGAAAGGTTTCACCCTCACATTATAAAACCTCTCCACTATGCTCAGGAGAGGGCATCTTATAGAGATGAGGGTATTTGTTCTGAGTGGCATGCACCAGATTCTCAGAGAGGGAGCTGGAGAAGCCCAGTGATGGGGAGCAACCACTGCGTCAAGGCAGACTCACCCCACATGAGTGCCTCCAACTCCAATCAAAGAAGAGTCTCTTGATTCTTTTGAGTCTATGAAGGAGGAAGTGTCTTGATGATCTTGGTTGGAATGTTCTTGCCTTTATCTGGCTGCCTTTTCATAGATCAGTTACACTCTCTTTCCCTACCTCACCTTTGAAGACTTGGATACATTTTCCTCATTGCATTTTCCACGTCCACCCTTGCTCATGGCCGTCGACTGTCAGAACCTAAGCTTTTCCTGGCCCCATTGGACCTAATCTGGGTAGGAGCCCGCTACTGATAACCTGCATCCAGATAATTGTCAGATGTGACAAGAGTGCCCAAGACGGAGGATGTTTTCCTGGTCAGTGACAAGATGACCTTTGTCCTTCTTGTGCATTTGATCCACATCTTTAATTAACCATTGTGCCCAGAGCTCCTGCCTCCTTTCAGATGGAGGCTACTCAGCGACAGTGCATCTCTCCCAGGAGCCCAGGCTGCACTCACCTCCGCTGTGAGGCTGAAGACAAAAGTGCCACAGAGCTCAGAGGCTGCTTTCTAGAGAGGTTTGATTTGCACAAAACTGAGTCTTGGTATGTGGATTGGTCTTAGTTGCATTTTGAATTTATTTTCTCCCCCAATACTTGTAAATCCAGTGTTTGTAAAATAATATGTGTGCCTTGTGTGGTGGTGGCCATACATTCCAGGAAGTTTGTATTGCCTTCCATGTGGATTTCCAAGGGTGCTCCTGAGTGCTTCAGGTGCAATGCTCTAAAATATGAAGGTGAACTCTTTTTAGTGGTTACTTGGTATCGTGTTTTTAACTGACCTCAATTCTCACAGTTTCAATCATAATTCCAAGGAGACTATGTTATGCAAATCTGTATGGACTTTGAAAATCTGACATGAAGTTCCCCGTTTCGGCAGAGGTGAATATTGGTTTTCAAAAGTTAATGTTTATAGATACTGGCTAAACAACAATCTGTGATTATTTTTCTTGGAATGTAACCTAGGTATTCTTATTATAACAGCTGTCCACTCTCAGTTTTATGTATATGTAAATGTATCTTTGTGTAATATTTTCATCTGTAACTTTTAAGACTTTTTTCTTATATTTTTTCTCATTTTTCCATACAGTGTGGACTTATTTTTGGATATATTTCAAAGAATATAATACAAATTTTTAAATATATAAAAGCAGACCTTGGCTTCCTGACCATTGTGAATTTGTATTTTCTTATCTCCATTTTAAATTGAATTATAAATTTCTAGGTAAAGTTCTATAATTTTTTTAAATATTTGCAATGTTTGTCAGATCAATAAAAACTAATAGTTTGTGTCTCAAATTTCCTTCCTACTCTTTAAGTGATGTAAACTTCTGTATATTAATAGCCTCTTTGTAAAGAATACAATTTGCTGACTTTTATATATGGATACAGCAATGAAAGCATCACCACATTCCAGATTCAAGATAATAAACACATTCCTCCCTCTTCAAAGTTTTCTCCTCCTCCTCTTGAATCCATCTGTCCTTCTCCCTCCATCCTACTGTCTTCCCCCTGTACTGCCATTTCATGTAATGGAGTCATATAGGAGATGTATTCTTGTTGTTCTGAATCCTGTAAAGTCAGGAGAATCATGTTCACATTGATTCATATTGTTTTAAATATTAATAGTTTGTCTTTGTTTTATTGCTGAGAAAAATTCGTTTGTATGGACATATGAGAGTGTGTCTATCCTCTCCCTTGGAAAGAGATAGAAGGCTTGTTTTTCCCATTTGGTTTTTGTCCTGAAAACGAAAACCAAGAAAGCAGCATGCTTTCTTGTGTATCCTTGCATTTTCCTCTACATGCTTTCCCTGTGTATCCTTGCATTTTACAATGCCGAGATCAATTGACATAAAAAAGTCCAATTGATATTGTGTGTAAAATTGTTCAAACATATAGAACATAAATAATTATTTTGGAACTCTTGTTTAAAGGGAAAAAAATTACTGATATGATACAAGTGGTTTTGGCAATTACCATCAACATTTTATTATAAAAATGTTTATAAATACAGCATTGATATGTTAACATTTTAATGAACATGACTTAACACATATCTATCCATCTTTGCATCCCTCTATCCATCCATCAGCCCATCTTATTTTAGATGTATTTCCAACTGAATTGGAGACATCAACATACTTCCGAGGAATAGTTTAGCAAAACTAACATTAACTAGAATTCAATATTTCTTTGTAAAATTTTCTTCTAAACAAGAATTACACAGAACAACCTATACAAATCTTAAGTGTAACATTGCTAACTTTGGAAAGTACACACACCGCATATCCAAAGCCCCTTTCAAGATCTACAATATTACATCACCCCCAGAAAGTGAACTCTCCCTCTTCCCAGCCAATCCCTTTCTCATCATAGGCTGATTTTGCTTCTTCTGGAATTTCACGTATATAGATGCATGCCATGCCATAGATACTCCTTTGTGTCTGCCTGATTCTGCTCAGCACGATGTTTTTTGAAATCATTCCCATTGTTGCACAGATCTCTAACTCAGTCCTTTCCATTTTGGACTCAACATATGCTGAGTCCAACCTGTTGAATGCCTATCTCTATTTAATTCACCATCTTGAAAGAAGCACTTAAAATTAAGATGTTTTCAAGAACATACAGTTAAATCCTGAGGAATCTATGTAGGAATGTTATCAGAAGCCATCTGAACTTACTCAAGGGAAGTCTTTGTCTTCATTCACATAAGAGTCTAATAGAATTAATATCAAGAAATTCCCACACTATTCATGCCATATTCATGATCTCCACTTTGGTTATTATTAAGCACTAAAATTTGATAACTTATTTCTGAATGAAGTCATCTCTTTATTGCAGTTTTTTGACTTATGGTGATCTTTAAATGGCAGAGATTCATTCATTCATAATCCAAGAGAGAAATGTGATTCACAGGGATTCTTTTATCATGTGATACATGATAAATACACCCAATGTTATATGTCAATTTAAAAAGTAAGTAACTTAAAAAATGATAATTACTTTATACCTAGCTTGTCCAACCCACAGGTGACAGGCCGCATGCAGCCCAGAACAGCTTTGAATGTGGCCCAACACAAATTTGTAAACTTTCTCCAAACATTATGAGAGTTTTTTGTAATTTTTTTTTAGCTCATCAGCTAGTTCTAGCGTTAGTGTATTTTATGTGCGGCTCAAGACAACTCTCCTTCTTTTAATATAGCCCAGTGAAGCCAAAAGATTGGACCTCCCTGCTTTAGACCAAGAAAAAAGACACCCCATATTTGCAATGCTTAAAAACACTACCAGCCACGCAAGAAACATGAGACTGTCAACTTCCAATCCTTCTTGAAGCAGTGGAATTCGCTGGTGATATCTGACGGGTGCGGTTACTTCTTGGAGGAGGTTGAGGGTTTCTAAGGATGAGTCTTTGTGACTGAAATATTGTCAATGTCATTGAGCCTTCTCATTATTTCAACTATTATTATTCCGGGTCATCGATGTTCTGCCTGACCATTTTCGTCCTGGGCCTGACTTTCCTGGAATTCCCTGGATGCTTGTTATTATTGTTGTTTCGCTGGGAATTTGTTCACTTGGCATTTTTCTTCCGGAAAACTAGCCTTGGTGTGAGTATACTCACTTCCTGTAGAGGTATACTTGTAATCATAAATGAGAAGAAATTATTTAGAACAATTCATGGTTCTGGACTTCATTAGAAATATTGGGTTTTACAAAAAAAAAAAATCAGGGAAGTGATTTATTAGCGTAAGAATTATGAAGATATCTACCATTTACATTACGGAAATTAGATAGATTGGTGTTTGTCTAACAGGACGTCAACGGAGCTTTCGGTCAAACATCTTTTTTACCTTTGTGCCCTTTGTCAGAAATGGATAAAAGGTAAATGCTGGAGTCATTTTCACTCTATTTCAGGACACTTTTGTCTTTTCCGACAGCGCCCTCTCCTGGCCTGGCCTCTGCTCTGTGGGTTCTGGGGTGCCTTTTCTGTTTTTCAAAAGCAAAATCGTCCTTATGAGCTTCCAGGCTTCTCCATTCCCAGCTAGTCATCTTTGGTGGCACCTGCAGAAGCCATGAATGCTCAGGGCCCGAGGGCTGAAGGGCTTTCACTGTTCTGTTTGCAGAAGTAACACGAGGAGATGCCACTGACCTCCACTGCTGTAGGTCTCATGACCCAGGGGACCCTGACTGACCCATTTTACTCCAATATGCTGGGGTCCGCTTTCCAAAATATGTAGGGTGTTCTTTTTTGCGTGAGTTTATCTCTCTTCTGCCATAAGGTAGGTGATTAACCTTTAGAATATCTGCTGTAATCCCAGAAGTAAAAAAAAACTGAAAACTCATTAATCCAACATTAGTATGTGCAATTTTGAATACTCTTCGAAAAAGCCAATTCCATAATTCATTGTAGTCCCAGCTCTGTTGGTAGCTGCGTTGTGCAAAATCGCCCCCACCACCACCCAGTGGTGCCCTTGATCTCATATTCTAGGTGTCAGAGGTTCTATATTTGCAATAGAAAATGTGCCCTGGCTGTGAGGTAGTGAAGAGTGAACGTCCCTCATTGCCTACAAGGACAGTTCCCAATGAAGACCTTCAGTGATGCTCAGTGAAGCTGATTCTCATGTGGCCTCTGTAGTTTCGACAGCTGCTGCGTCCTCTGATCACACATGATGGGACTTGTACACTTGAAATCAAACACATTTTTAAAACTTCTGTTGTTTAGAAATCCCCCCTCATTTTTCCATGGACAAACTTATTTTTTATGTCATAGTGTACTTAAAATTTGGTATTGCCTGAGAGTTAAAAGCAATATGATAGCTGTGCCAAACTCACCTCTCTACATAGGATCATCCTGTGAGAAAACCCTCTCCCAATTCCCCTGCAGGTCTTCAGGAATCCACATCTCCCCAGAGACCTTTGTGCCCACAGGTGGCACCTCCAGAGTGGAGAAGACCCTTTGTCAAGAAGGGAAGCGGAGGGGGGATGAGAGGGTCCTGCAGGCAGAGCTGGAATCGGCTTCCTCTCTGCCTCTTGCAAGCTGTGTGACGCTGGGTGAATTTTCTCCTTCCTTTGGGAGCCTCCATTTTCTTAGGTTTGGAGCAGGGTGGTCACACTGACCTTGCAGAGTTCTGAGAATCAGTGATAGGACATGAAAGGCCTGGAGAACATTCTCTTAAGAATAGCTGTGACTCATGTGTGAGCAATGGGCTTTCCATTCCTCTCTTTCTGTTTATCTGATGCAAGGAGCATGCTCCGGTGATGGTGATGAGGGAGGAATGAGGATAGGCACAGACACCCCTGTGTCAGAAACATGCTGCTTTATCACTGCGGAATGACTCTGTCTTCCCTGGGACAGGTCCCCATCCTTCCTACATTTGCAGACAGACACAGTGACGTGTGGGGACAGCAGTTTGTCCCATGAGTTTTTTTCACTCCTCTGCTGTTAGCAGGACTCAGTGGAAGGGAGACTTTATGGCACTGATGCTGCTGTTGAGGAACCTGAAGAAGGGGAAGGTGCAAGAGACCATCACCTGCAGCATGAGGTGCAGCTTGTGTTGGTCTTGGTGTTTTGTCCCTCATATTAATATGTTTCAAAACATTTCTTCCTCTGCCTTGCAGGTCAACATGGCTGAACAGGAGCCTCGTTCTCTGTCAGAATCGCCCTACTTGCCCTACCTCATGGCTGGCCCTTCCGGACCATTGATGGGCTGCCAGCCACCCCCTCCACCTCCGTGTCCTCTGGGACCTCAACCACTCTCTGCAACTGAAGGTTTTCTGGGACCTCTGATACATCCTCCACTCGAACATCCTCTGGGACCTGAAACACCTTCTCCAGCTGAAGTTTTACTGAGAACTCAGATACCTCCTCCACTCAAGTTTCCTAATGGACCTCAGCAATGTCCTCCACTCGAGTGTCCCCTGGAACTTCAATCATCTCCTCCACTCTAGTGTCCTCTGGGACTTCAACTACCTACTGCACTTGAGTGTCCTCTGGGACCTCAACCACCTCCACTCAAGTGTCCTCTGGGACCTCAACCACCTCCTCCAGTTGAGTGTCCTCTGGGACCTCAACCACCTCCTCCAGTTGAGTGTCCTCTGGAACCTCAACAACCTTCTTATTAAAGTTTCCTCTGGGACCTCAACCACCTCCTGCACTCAAGTGCCCTCTGGGACCTCATCAACCTCCTCCACTCGACTGCCCTCTGGGAACTGAAGCACCTCCTCCACTGGAGTGTCCTCTGGGACCTCAACTATCTCCTACAACTCTCTGTCCTCTGGGACCTCGACCACTTCCCGAAGCTCTTTGTCCTCTGAGACCTCATCCACCTCCTGCAGCTGCCTGTCCTCTGGGACCTCATCCACCTCCTGCAGCTGCCTGTCTTCTGAGACCTCATCCACCTCCTGCAGCTGTTAGTCCTCTGGGACCTCATCAACCTTCTTCTGCTGTGTGGCCTGTGGGACCTCAGCCTACTCCTCCACTTAGTAGCCTGTGGAGCCTCAGCCACCTCCCCTACCTGGGTGGCCTCTGGCCCCTCCCCTACCACTTTCACATGAGTCTCCTCTGGTACTTCAATAGTCTCCACTCGTGGCCTTGGGACTTCAGCCACCTTCTCCACCCAGGTCTCCTCTAGTACATCAGCGACCTCCTCCACTTGGCTGGCCTCTGCTATCTCAACCGAGTCCTTCACCTGAGTGTCCTCTGGGACCTCAGCCACTTCCTATACCCATGTGGCCACTGCGACCTTGACCACCACCTCCACATGCACCATTTGGTTTGTTTTTCTGAACAGTAGAAACTGACTTGTGAAATGGATTCCTGTTTCCTTTGTTTAGGTGAATGGAAATGTCACAGATGGTACTGCAGGGCTCTGTAGCACCATGGTAACACTGGCTGAAGATGTGGTCACTTTTCTCAAGTTTCCGAGGATACACTCTCGGTTGCATTAGTTCCTCATCATGACCTTGGCAGCAGGGTTCTCTTGTAGATGAGGAAATAGTATTTTTTATTTTAGGGGGACAAAGTCTCGCTCTATCACCCAGGCTGGAGTCCAGTGGTGCAACCCTGATTCACTGCAACCTCCGCCTCCAGTGCTCTGGTGATCCTCCCATCTAAGCTTCTGGAGTAGCTGGTACTACAGGCCTGCGCCACCATGACTGGCTAATTTTTTTCTTTTTAATTTTGTGGAGACCATGCTTCACCATGTTGCTCAGGCTGGTCTCGAACTCCTAGACTCATGCCATCTGCCCACTTTGGCCTCTCAAAGTGCTGAGATTACAGGCATGAGCCACTGTGCCCAGCCAGAGATTGCTTATAGAATCCAGAAATACCAGTTCTGCAGGCGTGTATGGAACCTGGGCCATAGGACCAGCTCTGTGAGGGATGAGACCCATCCCTGACTTGCAGGGTATCCTGTGTCCTGCAGGAGAGAGACCCACACAGAAGGGCACAGAGCCTCTGACCACTCCTAATGGAAGCACAGGTGAAGGGACCCAGGGTGCAGAAGGCAGAGACAGAATCTCTTGGGAATAAACAGGAGGCTGTGGAAGAGAAGGATGAAGCAGGGAGGCGTCACATGGGGCTTTGTTGCACTCAGGTGGAGCTGGAAGGCTGCTTCTGGCCGAGCAAGCACTGTGAGCAGGGGTGTGGAGGCTGCATGAGTGCCACACAGAGCCCCCGTGGGAGAGCTCAGATGCACCGTGCGCACAGGCAATTACTGCCCCCAGCACTTACTTGTTGCACTACAGCCTTTAGTCCGTTACCTGTAGGAAAGATGAATCTTTCCCCGGATGTGTGAAGGCTTTGAATCAGGGTGAGTAAATGCCTCAAGGTCTGGGAAATTTCACTTCGTTGTCAGGGGGCCCTGTCTCCCTGAGTTTTTAGGCCCAAGGAGACTAACAGTGAGGATGGGTCAGGTGCAGTGGAGCTGTGGCCTTGGCCTTCAGAATGAGGCCACCTCTGGTGGGGAAATCAAGGCCCATGCTGAGCTGCTCTGGCATCGTCTCATCCCCAGCACCCTCTCCTTCCGCGACGCCCAGCTTTGCATCTCCCATGCTTGGCGTGCAAACTCCTCGCCCTTCCCTGTGTCCCTGCTGCCTGAGCCCAGACACCAACTCTCAGTGGGACTCAGAGCCCCAGCTTCCTTATAAATGAGCCAGGAATGATGTGGTTATGAGGTCTTTGTGAGCACTAAGAGACCAAGCCTATAAAGAAAGCATCTTGCAAAACAGCTGGTAGGTGTTAGACCCTCACCCCTCTCGCTGGTTAAATGAAAATATTCCCACTCAGAAGATCAGCAAAAGATATTCACCGAAGTTCATTAAATAAACCTTAGGGTGTAACAGCTCAGGCCTGGGATTTCCAACCTCTGTTATAAAAGATAAGGGAAAGCGCCTATATCCAAGATTAAAATTCAGATCCTTACGAGATGAGGAAATTACGGGAATGCATACACAGTTCACCTCTGAGATCTGTATCTGTGATCTGTCGATAATTATTCTCCATGACATACAGACACAGATGCAGCCACCCACAGATGCATTCAGCAGGGGCACAGATATTTTATAGAAGACAAAATGTATGTTGGGCAAAAGAAGATCACATGGAAATAGACCAGAATCCTGTTACCTTACAGGACCGTTGGAAGACTCTCCTGAGCCGTGATATCTTGGAAGAGTATCCAACGTGTTTTGTGCTCCGTGCCCGGTGCTGCCTCCTCTCCCTCTCATTTCCATAGTGTTTCCCTTAATAAACATTCGCAGTCCTATCTGTCTGGGCATCTGCTTCCTGGAGGACCAGCCCACACCCCAGGGTGTACCGGGTGTGACTCCTCATACACTGTTCAAACCCAGGCAGATACTGCCTTGCTGGCCACAGAAGCAGGGTTAGCCGTTGGGTAGTGTTGACTGGGAGGGGCCCGAGGGGGCCTTCTGGGGCGGGGGAACATCCTGCATCAAGCCATGGGTGGAGGTTGTGCTCATTCATTCTAGATATAGTCACTGTGTGCCTAGTGGCTGCCAGTGGTGCCTTGTGAGCAGATAGACAGGAAGATATCCCCATGAGGTGGCCAACGTCTCATGATAGGGAATAGAATGGGGCCCAGCAGCAGCTGTGGAGCCAGCGAAGAGCCACACAGAGGCTCAGCGTTTGTCATAGCCTTTTCCCCACTGAGCCAGCTGCCCCTAGGAGCACCAACTCCAGGCAGCTCTGAGGAAAGCTGAGCTGGGAGCAGGCATTTCTCAATAAGTCCTCTACCCCCCACCATCTTTCTGTAATGTTTTTATTACAGCACCTGCACACTTGTGGCCCGCACCTGTGCTGCCCTCAGGTCCATGTAGAGTGCACCAGCCAGTGCCAAAAGCCACCTGCGCTGGCTCCATGCTTCAATGCCACCAATGGCCATGAGCATAGCCACCAATTTCCACCTCTTCAATGCCACCAGCGGCCGTGAGCATAGCCACCAATTTCTCCCTCTTCAATGCCACCAACAGCCATGAGCATAGCCACCAATTTCTCCCTCTTCAATGCCACCAGCGGCCGTGAGCATAGCCACCAATTTCTCCCTCTTCAATGCCACCAGCGGCCGTGAGCATAGCCACAAATTTCTCCCTCTTCAATGTCACCAGCGGCCGTGAGCATAGCCACCAATTTCTCCCTCTTCAATGCCACCAACAGCCATGAGCATAGCCACCAATTTCTCCCTCTTCAATGCCACCAGCGGCCGTGAGCATAGCCACCAATTTCTCCCTCTTCAATGCCACCAGCGGCCGTGAGCATAGCCACAAATTTCTCCCTCTTCAATGTCACCAGCGGCCGTGAGCATAGCCACCAATTTCTCCCTCTTCAATGCCACCAGCGGCCGTGAGCATAGCCACCAATTTCTCCCTCTTCAATGCCACCAGCGGCCGTGAGCATAGCCACCAATTTCCACCTCTTCAATGCCACCAGCGGCCGTGAGCATAGCCACAAATTTCTCCCTCTTCAATGCCACCAACGGCCATGAGCATAGCCACAAATTTCCACCTCTTTTTGGTACCATGAAGATGAATCTTGACAATGAGAGCTTTTTTCAGAATGGGAATTGGCAGAATGGCTACAGAGACCTCTTTCTGCACATCAGAAGACCCACACAGAGGCCCCTCTGGAAGCTGCCATCTCTTCCAAAGGATCCCGCCTTGGCCAGCCTGAGGAGCCTCCTGAGGCAGATGCACTCTCTCAACACAAAGTGTCTGCCAGCCTCCAGCCTCCACTTGAATGGAGGCAATTACCCCAATGAGTGATTTCCTCTGAGCTGGAATAACCAACTGAAGGAACAGGCCCTCGGTAAAATGTGGATGACCTGCCTGCATGATTGCTGGGGCTGGAGGCTCCAATCATAAGCGCTTCATACTCATTAGATACCTGTAGCTTCATATTTGTTATGAACAATTTTTCTTTGTCAGATCCATTTTGAAATTTTTCATCTAAGGGGTTACTGAAAACATTTAGTCCCATGAATATCAACAATATAGTAAACATATGGGAAAGTGCATCCATATGTCAACTCTGAAATAATTACAGAATTTACATATTTGAGGAAAATCTCATAGCTCTAATTAGGTAGAATTCACATGGAGGCAGGTATCTTCATGCAAACACATATAAAGAAACAAGCCGAGCACAGCTGTGGTATGAACCCCAAAAGTTGGGGTAGAGATGAAAGGGCGAGGGGGAGTGTGGTTACAGACTGTGATTTAAGGGGTTCCAGGAAGGACTTACTGAGGATTAGGAGGTTTTAGTAATTATAAGATGGAGAGCAACTGAATAGTTATACAAAGAGTAATCACAAAGATATAAATGTAATTTGTTGTAGGGTTAAGATTTGACGACCCTACTAAATGAAGTATTAGGTCTGTGCAAACGTAATTTCTGCTTTTGCCATGACTTTTAATTGCAAAACCAAAATTACTTTTGCATCAACCTAATATTAATTCATCTACTCCAATAATTGCCATATTCTTATCATTACTCTTGTCTCCGTTAACTAGTACAGACAAATTGTGTTGCCACCCACATTAGGATATTATTTCTATCTCTACTTCATCTAACTCTCAATAACAAAATAGATCACCTGTTATGATTACTCCTGTTTTATAGATGGAAAGAGCGAGGCCCAAAGAATCTGAGTAATTTGTCAAAGGTGTCCGTTTAATTATCAAGATTTGTTTCAGGCCCCTCCTCAATTCCACCTTCCTCTCTCTTTTTAACGTCCCATCTATTTTGTCACATTCTCAGCCATAATGCCAGAACTGTCTACATCTTCAATTCCCATCACATGGATAATTTGATGTTCCCCTTTTTTTCTGTAGTTCTTCTGAGATGCCTCTTGTCACAATCAGGACTTACCCCTACATCACCACAGCTGATGATCACTTTCTTGTTCTCGGCTTATAGGGCCCTCAGAAGCTTTCAGCACAGTTGCCAGCTCTCCCCTGATGATATGGTTGGATTTGTGTCCGCATCCAAATCTCATGTTGAATTATAATCCCCGGTGTTGGAGGAGGGGCCTGGTGGGAGGTGACTGGATCATGGGGGTGGATTTCTCCCTTGCTATTCTTGTGACAGTGATGAGTTCTCACAAGATCTGGTTGTTTAAAGGCATGTGGCTCCTCCCCTTCACCCTCTCTTCCTCCTTCTCTGGCTTGTAAGACTGCCTGCTTCCCCTTCACCTTCTGCCATGATTGTAAGTTTCCTGAGGCCTCCCCAGCCATGCTTCCTGTACAGCCTATGGAACTGTGAGTCAATTAAACCTCTTTTCTTTATAAATGGCCCAGTCTCAGGCAGTTCTTTACAGCAATGTGAGAACAGACAAATAGAAGCCCTCACTCAGGCCTGCTTCTCTCTCATCAACACTTCCCTGCACTGCACCTGCCTCTCACCCAACTCTCATGCTCAAGCTGACAACCAATGTTGATCCAATGTTTAACCTCCAATCTTCTCCAGTTTCGCTTCTAAAGAAATGCAAATCCTGCTCGCATTCATGATTCATCTGTCTGGTATTCAATCCCACTTGGACCCATTAATTCCACTTCTCGATATACATCTAAAGGATTTGAAATTAGCATACCAAAGACGTCACTAGACTCCCATGTTCACTGCAGCACTGTCCACGATCGCCAAGATATGGAATCAACCTAAGTATCCATCAAGGCATGAACGAATGAAGAAAATGTGGTACATATGCACAACGGAAGACTATTCAGCTTTTAAAAAGAAGAAAATCCTGCAATTCACAACAACATGGATGAGCCTGGAGGACATGATATTAAGTGAAATAACCCAGGCACAGAAAGACAAATACCACCTAACCTCACTCATCTGTGGAAAATTTTTAAAGTTGAACTCATAGAAGCAGAGAGAAGAATAGTGGTTACCAGAGGCTGAGGTATGGAGAGTGGGGTAAGAGGTTGGGGAAATGTTGGTGAAAAGATATAAAATTTCAGTTGGACAGGAGGAATAAATTCAACGGACACATTGTACAGCATGGTGACTCTAGTTAATAACAACATACTGTATTTTCAAAAATAAAAAAGAGTGAAAGGGTATATAATATGATGATAAGAAGGACAGAAAATAAACAAATAAAAATAAATCCTACTTGTGCCATGATTTGGGCTATGCTATTCCGAGGACAGGGGGAATGCCCAAAGAAACCCTGACCTGGTTGAGACAATAAATTCTGTGTCTTGTGGAAGAGAAAAACCATCGTGAGTTGAAATAATCAGAAAGGCTCAGAGGGAAAGTGGAAACTAACCTGGGTGGTGAAGAATTAGACAGACACTGAGCAAGGTCAGTGACAATCTTGGTGAAGAAAACAGGATAAGAAAAAAGCGAATAAATAGGCCAGGCGCAGTGGCTCATGCCTGTAATCCCAGCACTTTGGGAGGCTGAGGCGGGCAGATCACGAGGCCAGGAGATCGAGACCATCCTGGCTAACATGGTGAAACCCCGTCTCTACTAAAAAATACAAAAAATTAGCCAGGCATGGTGGCGGGCGCCTGTAGTCCCAGCTACTCGGGAGGCTGAGGCAGGAGAATGGCATGAACCCGGGAGGCAGAGCTTACAGTCAGCTGAGATCGTGCCACTGCACTCCAGACTGGGCAACACAGCAAGACTCCATCTAAAAAAAAAAAAAGGAAAAAGAGAATAAATGAGATGTGTTCAAAGGCCAGAAAACAGATCATGGTGGTGGTGTGGTAGCTGCCCCAAGCTTGGCAGCTTAAAACAAAGCACATTTAGGCCAGGCGCCATGGCTCAGGCCTGTAATCCCAGCACTTTGGGAGGCCAAGGCGGGTGGATCACCTGAGGTCAGGAGTTTGAGACCAGCCTGGCCAACGTGGTGAAACCCTGTCTCTACTAAAAATACAAAAATTAGCTGGGCATGATCGTGGGCACCTGTAATCCTAGCTACTCGGGAGGCCGAGGCACAAGAATTGCTTGAACCCAGGAGGCAGGGGTTGCAGTGAGCCAAGGTCTTGCCACTGCACTCCAGCCTGGGTGACAGAGTGAGACTTTGTCTCAAAAAAAAACAAACAAGACACATTTATTATCTCACAGTTTTTGTGGATCAGGGATCTTTGTGTGGCTTAGCTGGCTTGGGTCACTCACTGGTCCTCACTCAGGTATTGGCCAGAGGCAAGGGCTCATCTGAAGGCTCAGCAGGGGAAGGGACTGCTTCTGAGGTCCCCTATAAGTGCACTGACAGAACTCCATTGCTTGCAGGCTGGTGGGTTGAGTCCTCAGTTCCTTGCTGGTTTTTGGCTAAGCCTGCTCTGTTTGCCTCTAAGTGGCCCCTCCATCAGAGCAAATGCATGAGAAAAGCCAGGGAGAGAAAGTGTGCAAGAGAGAAGTCACAGTCTTCTATAACCTCATCTCTGAAGTGGCCTCCCCTCACTGTTGCTGTATTCTGGTGATTAGAAGCAAGTTACTTAAAAGGAGGGGATGGCACAAGGCCATAAACACCCAGAGGTGGGGATCACTGGGGGTCCAAATATTTGCCCCAGACCTTCCAGACTTCAGCACCAGATGCAGAAACTACAGCCTACACCAATTATTTAGCCAGTTTGCATCCTGGCCTAAGCTCAGTTCTCCGTAATCCATCCCTTTAAATATATGTGTGCATATCTTACTGAATCATCTTTGACCAAACCCTAAATGGCCCCACTTGACTGGCTTCAGCAGAGCATTAGGACACAACTCCAGATCTTTCAGAGGTTCGGATTGAAGAGCAAATTTACTGAGTTTGGCTAAACTAAGAGGGAGGATACAAGAAGGTTATTCTGCCTTCCTTGTGGAAACAGTTACAATGCCCCGTGGAGGCTGTGGAACATTTTTGGTTTTCTGGGACATGGAAGTGAAAGAGCTTTAGGAAATGTTGCTATCACATGGAGATCTACATAAGCCTTACTGTCTCTCCAGCCCTCCTGGAAAAGCTATGGTCCTGCTTTGCCTTGTCCCAGCCTTTCCACATACAAAGAAAGGCTAGAACTCATTTTGCAAGAAAGGCTAGAATCCATTTCCCCTGGGCAGACCTCAGGTAGACACAAGCTGCTGCACAGCACCCTACTGCCCCAGGTATAAATAGAGCTTAGCTTTAACTGTGGCATAGAAGGCTACTGTGAGTCACCGAGGCCTTATTCCAAATGCTTTAAATCTACCTGAATGTTGTTTTTTATTATTATTTTTTCTGAGACGGAGTCTCACTCTACTATCCAGGCTGGAGTGCGGTGGTGGAATTTTGGCTCACTGCAACCTCCACCTCCCAAGTTCAAGCAATTCTCCTGCCTCAGACTCCTGAGTGGCTGGGATTACAGGCGCCCACTACCACGCCTGGCTAATTTTTGTATTTGTAGTAGACACGGGGTTTCACATGTTGGCAAGGCTGGTCTCAAGCTCTTGACCTAAGGTGATGCACCTGCCTTGGCCTCCAAAAGTGCTGGGATTACAGGCGTGAGCCACTGCACCCGGCCGTGAATCTACCTGGATGTTTTAATGCATAGTGTGTGCAGGACAGGGAGAATATGGCTTCAGATGGATTCTGCCTGAGGAAAATGGACCTGAAGAAGCTGGCCTGCGGCAGCCACGTGTCTGGAGGGAGTGACTCAGACCCGCCATCACACGTCCTGCCTTCCTGGAGTTTTGTTCTTATCTTATTGGACAGGAAGCTGGCTGTGACTAAGTGGTGGGGTTGTCATATTCACCTTCACCTGGGCCTTATGGAGATGATCTAAGTCAGTAGGGTCACCCCACTCAGAGGAGTTCCACACACTGCACTGGGAAGTCAGTCGGGCGTGGGAGGGCGTCGCTGTTTCTGGAGGGAATTTGCCACGGCTTCTCCCTGCCGGTTCCATTCCACTCGGTCGGTTGTCCTACATGTAGGCTTATCAGGGGACAAGTCCTCTATGGGAAGGGACAAATGTGACCGTCCTGAGCAATGTCATGTCAGGTCCCCGCACGCTTAAATCCTGATGAGCCATTTTCCATGCTCTCCCTGGCCAAAAACAAAGTAAACAAAACAAACATGGGAAATGGTTTGTCTGGTCACTGATAGAGGCAAGGCACCTCTGAGTTCAGTGTCGTGCTCGAGGTGAGCCTTCCTTCCTGGCCATGTCAGAACGCATAGCGGGGAAGGTGCATGGAAAGCCGATGATGCTGGTGTGTTGCAGCCCAGATGGCCCAGCCAGGTAGCGTGAGGAAAACCACTCTCGCAGCGCAGGGGATGTTCCCAATCACAGGGCAGGTCGGCAGCCCACGGGTTTCTGCCGCTCACTGGCTGGCTCTGGGAACCACGGTATCCCTGTGCCATGCCACGGAAGGTACCATTCCATGTGCCACGTGGAAGCCGGATGCCCTTGTTAGGAATAACGCTTAAACTTCTAAGGAAATTGAATACTTGAACAAACGATTTTTAGCAAAGCGATTTTATTTTTGCACAGAGGGGTGCCTCATTGGCCAGTCACCATGAGAGCTCACCTGAACAAAGCGGCATGAAAGTCTTCATTTTTGACCAAGTCCTGCCTTTGTACTCTTTTTCTATTGGCTGGGATTGGGTTATACAATATAAAATAATCGCGGTTGGCTAAACATTTTATTTTTTTTAAGATAAGGTGGGCACGTAAAAGAAAGCAGAGAGGAAAGGGGAAGGGGTGTCTGTTAATTAGCTAGAAAGTTAGTTGTTGTTTTTTTTAATAAGGAAAGGAATGTGAGCCGGTATTGATAATGCCTGGTATCGCGGCGTGCCTGGGCATCTAACAAAGGCAGGAAGAAAAAAAAGGAGAAAAGGGAAAAAAGGAGGGAGGGGGGTACCAAGAACTAAAGGATAAAAGATTGATCAGGTTATTTGAAGAGAAACCTCATCATATCCCACACCCTCTTCAACACTCATTCACTGTTGCTTCTGTTCATTTGGTCCCAGTTCAGGTGCAAAGAGGCATAACTGATGCTGAGGCAACTAGGGTTTCTCAAATTGTAAATTTTGTAAGTGGACCCTGCAGTTCATTCCCTTCTCTAAGACTCTGACCATAAACAAACTGTCCTGGAAACTTGCGGAAAAAAATCTTTGGTTGGGTTTGGCCTAGTTGCCAGATGAATGAGTTCATGTGTGAGGTGCTAATTTGGTGGTTTTGCCTTTACAGAAAATCAGTCACTTAGGGGAAGCCCAATATTGTTCGCTTAGATTGTCCAAAATAGAAAGTCCACAGCCCAGGAAGGGGCAGGTCCTTACTGACAGGTCTCTGGGACCTGTGGTCTTCTGCTCTTTAGCTGTCAGGGTTGGAACTGCAAACTCTCTGCCTCCGTCCTGTCTCACGGATGGAGCCCATTCCAGCTGCTATTGGTTGAAGACTCCATGGGGACAGAGCACCCCAAAGCACCACCCTGAACAGCTCCAGACAGGTGACTGGAACATGTCGGCAGCCGCATGGTGGAGCAGCCCCAAAGCCAAGGGCTTGCCTGTGTTACTTCAATTAATTCTCAAAGCAACCCCATGGCATTGGCCTTACCCTCCTTCTGTAGGTATGGAAAGCAGAGATTTTATAGGTTAGGAACATTCTCGAAGTCTTGCAAGCAGTGAGAGATGGAGCTGGGATCTAATTCATGTCTGTCTGTCTGTCTGTCTCAGATCTGAGTCTGTCACTTGCACTGATGCTGGGCCAGTGGCCTGTCACTCACAGACACCGCAATGACCATGAAAGGGCAATGCCCTGTTTCTTTGTCTCTTCCGCCCATGAGCTTCCATGCTAACCACCCCCACAGTCTGTGCTGGATTTTTATGGCAACTGGAGCAAATCTGTCACAGTTTGTAATCAAACATGACTTTGTGATTTTTTGGATGATCTTTCTGCCCCATAAACTGTAAGCCACATAAAGACAGAGATGGTGTCTTCATGTGTCCAGCGCTAGAGTCCTCATTCCTCACACAGTGCCTTGCACGTGGGAGGTGCTTCTACTAAATCTTTGTTGATCGAGAGCTGAGGTCTAAAGGAAATGGGTGATGCAGAGGCCTCCACCTGAACACCCTCAATGCTTCTTTTTTATAGTTAAGGGAAGCCCAGACAGAAAGCTGATAAATCCTTTACCTGAACTCACTCAGCAGGTGAGGGGCAGGCCAGGCCTGGACGGAAGGTTCCCCTGGGCTCCCCTGACCTTGGACAGCCTAAGCAGGAGAGAAATGGCCCTGGGGTGCGCAGAAGGGCTCTGAGGTAGGGAGCACCCACACCTTTGCCAGGCTCTGTGGGAATGGCTTTACTTAGCACAGAAACCTGGAGTGGAGATCATGTTCCCATTTCACAAAATCAGATTTCACAAAATCAAGATTGGGAAAAGAGAAAGAGAGGGAGGAGGAGAATCAGAGAGGGACAAAGCACAAGTAGGATTTATTTTTATTTGTTGATTTCCTGTCCTTCTTATCATTGTATTATACACCCTTTCACTCTTTTTTTTTTTTTTGGAAAATACAATATGTTGTTATTAACTAGAGTCACCGTGTTGTACAATAAGTCTGTTGAATTTATTCCTCTTGTTCAACTGAAATTTTATATCTGTTGACCGACATTTCCTCAACCTCTCACCCCATGCCCTAGACCTCAGCCTCTGCTAAATACTTCTGGGAGAGCAAAAGAAAGTCCTAGGATCAGCGTCATGTCTGCAGTGCCCTCATCGCCTGATGAGCCTGGGGTTTTCCCAGGTGTGCCCCAGACGCCGCACTTACTCACCCTCTTCCCTGCAGGTGAGGCTAGGTCTTCCTTTTACATGCTTCCATCAGCGCCTCGGCTCTGCTTCCTCCAAACCCGGCCCCATCAATGGGCTCTAGACGGCCGATTTCTACCCTGCCAGGTCTGTGCAAGGATGAGACAAGATATTCCAGGTGAGGCTCTCCACATGGCCCCCAGTGCCACCTCCTTCCAGGAGTGTTGGCTCTGGTGCCTGCTTCTGCATGAGTTTCCATCTGTCACTTGCGAAAGGCGTGCTGGTGGAGAACACGGCACAGGTGAGCAGCCTGAGACCAGTTCTTATTGGGGGGAAACGTTTTCCTCTACCATCCTAGCTTCAAATGTTTGGGGTCTGCAAATGAACTGACAATAGAAAGGTGGACAGGAGAGAGCAGGTCCATCTACTTGTGCTCATGCACGCTTGTGAGGGCTCAGGAATGAGGAAAAGGCATGCATAGCAATGAACACGGTAACAGGAGGGGCTCAGGGCTTCCAGAGAAGTTTGGAAGGTCCACGTGAGGACTCAGGAATGAGGAAAAGGTGTAATACCAACGAACATGGTAACAGGAGGAGCTCAGGGCTTCCGGAGGAGTGTGGAAGGTCCATGTGAGGGCTCAAGAATGAGGAAAAGGCGTACATACCAACGAACACGGTAACAAGAGGAGCTCAGGGCTTCCGGAGGAGTGTGGAAGGTCGTTTCCTAGTCTTGATGCTAATGGGCAGCTGAACGCGCATCTCGGTGAGGGTTCAACCCTCTTCCAAGCAGGAAGTCCCCCCAGAGGGCGTCAATAGCAGCTGCCTCTGTGTTCTGGGGCAGCTGCTTATGTAGAGGCAGTGTTTCCTTTCTGCAGTTGCTGACTGTTCAGGAGTTTTCCATTTAAAGTAATTTCTGTCCCTTCATTCTCAACTTGAGTATGCACCAGCATCACCTGCAGGGCTTGGAAGACAGAGATCATCCAGCCCCGCCCCAGGTGTCTGAGTCAGCAGGTCAAGGGAAGTGCCTGTGCGTGGACAGCCACTGCTCACTGGCCGTACCCTTACATCTGCCAAACAAAGATACAGCCTGAGAAATTCATGGTGAATGTGTGTCCACATGAAAAGAAGCTCAACATCACTGATCATTAGAGAAATGCAAATCAAAACCACAATGAGATACCATCTCATGCCAGTCAGAATGGCTATGATTAAAAAGTCAAAAACCAACAGATGTGGCCAGGTGCGGTGGCTCATGCCTGCAATCCCAGCACTTTGAGAGGCCAAGGTGGGCACATCACCAGGTCAGGAGTTCAAGACCAGCCTGACCAACATGGTGAAACCCCATCTCTACTAAAAATACAAAAGTGTGCACCTGTAATCCCAGCTACTCAGGAGGCTGAGGCAGGAGAATCACTTGAACCCAGGAGGAGGAGGTTGCAGTGAGCCGAGATCGCGCCACTGCATTCCAGCCTGGGCGACAGAGGGAGACTCCATCTAAAGAAAAAAAAAACAGATGCTGGCGACATTGTGGAGAAAAAGGAATGCTTTTACACTGTTGGTGGGCATGTAAATTACTTCAACTATTGTAGAAAGACAGTGTGACAATTCTTCAAAGACCTAAAGAAAAAAATACCATTTGACCCAGCAATCCCGTTACTAGGTGTATACCCAAAGGAATATAAATCATTCTATTATAAAGATGCACACACACTTATGTTCATTGCAGCACTACTCACAATAGCAAAGACATATCAACCTAAATGCCTATCAATGATAGACTGGATCAAGAAAATGTGGTATATATACACCATGGAATACTATGCAGCCATAAAAAGGAACAAGATCATTTCCTTTACAGGGACATGGATGGAGCTAAAGGCCGTTATCCTCAGCAAACTAACATGGGAGCAGAAAACCAAATACTGCATGTTCTCACTTGTAAGTGGGAGCTGAATGATGAGAATGCATGGACACATGAGTGGGGGGAACAGCACACACTGGGGCCTGTCAGAGGGTGAGTGGGGAGGAGGAGGAGCATCAGGAAGAATAGCTAGAAGATGCTGTTTCTCATCCTTAATGCAAACAAGACTTACATATTTGGGGGATGTCAAAGGATAAATTTAGGCACATTTAAAATTTAATGGGTTTATTTGAGCTGACAGCAATTCATGAATCTGGCAGCAACAAAGCTCAAGTGAGAGTTCCACAAGAGGGCAGGAGAGACAACGTTTACAAGGTGTTCCTGGAAGTAGCTCCACAAGAGGGCAGTAGAGACAACGTTTACAACCTTTACAAGGTGTTCCTTGAAGTGAGACAAAGAAAACATGTGATTGGTTGAAGTGGAAAGTCCCCAGCTGGAGGTTAGTTAGTGGTTTCTAATTGGTAAAGTCTCCACTTAGAGGGCGCTTGGCAGTTTCTGATTGGTTGAGCTTAAGTTCCATTTTATTGTTTGAGTTGGGTTTTAGTTTTCTTGTGTAGGAACCCAAGGCCCTGGAATGTCTCAGCCCGATGGCTAACCAACTAATTATTTGAACAATATGAAAATGTCCTCGGTCCTTAGTTTTATGTTCTTAGGCCCACCCAATTTTATTTCTTCTTCGTCAGCCTCTGTAGCCTGAGAAATAATTAATTACCCTCCCTCCCCATCCTAACCTCTTCTACCTCCGGCCTCAGAAATTCTACCTCAGGCTCAATTGAGAGAACCTGAATCAGGAAGGTTGACTACTACATTCTTTCTGCCATTATTATCCTGTCAGTCTATGCAGAGACTATAAAATTTAAGCACACAAATCTTGAACTGCTCTCATAAATAAAGCTCAACTGTGCACCATGCAAAAGAAGGTGACATATTTGTGCAGTGTGTTGAAGGGCGTCCCTCTGAAATGAGATCCCAGATTATCTGCCAGTTCCTCACCCTTGTCAGATGATTTGTTCACTAATAATTAAAAAATAAAAGCATGGAGACTAAGCTATGTTCTGAAGGGATTTACTTGGCTATATTCTTTATGTCCCAGAACAATGGGGTGATTCTGATTGGAGTTTAAAAAGAAACATCTGTTTGAGTGAGAAAAGCGCTCAGATGAGCTTAACCATAAAAAATGAGGAAACAGAAATGCCCCCGGGAGACAAGATTAAGCTGTTCTTCAGGATCTGTTTGGAGCTGTGCCCTTGGGTAGGTCATTTAGTTTATCAGTGCCTCAGGTTAGTGTCTCAAGAAATTTACCTCTCAGAATTGTTATAAAGCTAAATAATTTAGCATCTGTAAAATCCTATGAGATGAAAGGCACCGTAGAAATGCAAATTATTATTTTGTTATGAGACACCATCAATAGGACAGAAAGTAAAATGCTCTCTTTGATCGAAGTCCAGTTCAATTGACTGATGGCCTTGTGTGTCCATCTCAGAAATGGACGACATTTAACTGCAACAGATAATAGCCTGCTGTCCTACACTGTTTCACCTGTTCTCCTGAAGAATTATCTTTGGTGGTTATTTTTTCAGGGGTTACCCCTGTCATTTCATCCTGACATTCCTCAGCAAATTGAATAAAATAGTTGCCATAAATCCCCAATGAGAAGCAATGCATCTTCATTACAATAATTATGTTTTATGTGGAGGCTTTTTATAAAGAGGTGTCAAAGTTTTAATTTAAGTTCAAAGGATGGTAAATTGCTAGTGGTAATAACGTTAGCTAAAGCCCAGTTGTTAAATGGAGAAATTTGTTTTTTAACCGAGAAGAATGTTTCCAGTAGGCTCCTTGTCTGGTAAAACAAAAAGCGTGGTCTTACTGTTTCACCTCCAAGATCAGAACCAGGAAATGCAATCCCTCCAGCTAGGAGACTGGCAGCCATCTCTCTCTGATGTAGGGAGCAAGTTGGTTCCGTAGCAAAATGTCTGGCTTCTTTCTGGTTTCTTCAATGGAGCACCTGGGGAGTTGCGGGGTGGGGGGTAGGGGTGTTAGAGGGAACCTGGCTTCTCATCCAGCCTCTGTCACTACAGCCTCCCATCTGGCCAAGGTCCACAGCCTGCAGTCAGCCAGTTACCCAAATGCAGGGAAAACCTAAGTGCTCTGTCATTTTAGGAACAGGGGGAAATAGGAAGGAACTGGGCAACCTTTGAGGTTCATAATTCTCACATCTGTTGTGAATCACCCCATTTTCTTTAACCCAAATCTGGAAGATGGAGTGACAAAGAATCTTGGTGATATTTCCTGTACAAGGTAGTCTAGGAAAGAAACAATTTTTTAAATTGGATGTCTGGATTATTTTTATTTATTTGGACAAGAAGCAAAATGTTTAGATTTAGGACTATTTGGAGAGGGAAATAGTCCCATATGTAAAACAATCTTAGAGAGGAAAAAAGATGAAGGTAACTGACAAACCATCTGAATAATACAAATGCTATGGCATTGTACACAAAGGTGCTATTTTAAAATAAAATGACATTTATTCTGGATTTTGTAATCAATATATGAACATATATTTAAATTTAACTTTATATACATAAGATCACAGCCAAGGAGATTAAGCATAATTTCAAATTTTATCACCAGTCACTTGTGTTATTTTATCACATTTGAAAATATTCGCTCTTATTTACTTTAAACAGTGATCTATAAATTTGTTTAGACAGTAATCATTAAGGATCTTTTCTTCTTCAGGATAATTTTTAAAATTAAATGATGTATCGAACATACTACCAAAGAAACTTTCCTTTTTGATTATGGCCTCTACATTGAAGATCTGTAGGAATTTTTTCTAATTAATTTTCAAATCTTCTCCTGACCTTTGCTGTTCAAAGAAATATCTTTGAAATAATTTTTGTGAATACTTCATAAATCAAAATTTTATTCACAAAACCATATTGCCATAATCACTAATTTTAACAATCCCCTAAATATTTTCTATATCCATTTTCTTGATGATAAAATGTCAGTAATATGGACACACTCTTATTTAACAGAATAATTCCATCAGTTTGCCACCAACCTTCCAAGGTCATTTAATAATTATGCTAGCCATTTCCACAGATTGGTAAGAGGCTCTCCACTAATGGCTCCCAGGCTTTCCACGGCCTCATTTTTCTTGCCAGACTTAGTTCATGTTCAGCCTGAAGAATCACCTCTTCTATTTGACCACCTTGAAGTTGGTCTTCTAATTTTTTAACATCTGTTTCCACTTTAACCACAGCCGGCTTCTCATTTGTAATCTGTTCTATGTACTTTCTATATGCTGCATTTTTAGGGATTTGCTCAAGAACATCAAGAATCTCTGTGTACAATATTCTTAGCCTCTCATGTGGACTCTGAATATAGCCAGTCCCACAAGGGCAGTGGTCTTCTTCAGCACACCTTCAAAGTCACTATTTTAAATACCCACTTAGGCCAGGTGCAGTGACTCACATCTGTAATCCCAGCACTTTAGGAGGACAAGGCAGGTGGATCACTTGACATCAGGAGTTTGAGACCAGCCTGGCCAACCCTGTCTCTACTAAAAATACAAAAATTAGCTGGGCGTGGTGGTGGGCGCCTGTAGTCCCAGCTACTCGGGAGGCTGAGGCAAGAGAGTCGCTTGAACCCGGGAGATGGAGGTTGCAGTGAGCCGAGATCATGCCACTGCACTCCAGCCTGGGTGACAGAGTGAGTCTCTGTTTCAAAAAATAAAAAAATTAAAAATTAAATACCTTCTTATTTCTAGTCTCGGGAGTCAGCATGCTTGAAGGAAAGCATCTCTGGCTTCTGATCTGTGCTCTGCCACTCACCAGGATAGGAGGCCGGCGAGGGACAGGAGCTCTCTACGCCTTGGTTTCCTCATTGCATTGTTGAAAGAAAAACTTTAGACAAATTAAGTTTAACAGAGTTTATCTGAGCAAAGAATGGGTCACAAATTAGGGAGCTCCCTCGAACCAGAATAGGTTCTGAGCAATTCTGGGGCTGTCTTGGGTTTGCAGAGAAAAGTGACATAAGGGGAATGGAAGTAAGGCACAGAAACAGCAGGATTGGTTCCAGCTCGATGTTTGCCTTTTTTTTTTTTTTTTGACAGGATCTCACCCTGTTGCCCAGGCTGGAGTGCAATGGCGCAGTCTCGGCTCACTGCAGCTTCTGGCCCCCAAGTTCAAGAGATCCTCCCACCTCAGCCTCCCGAGTAACTGAGATCACAGGCGCCCGCCACCACGCCCGGCTAATTTTTGTGTTTTTAGTAGAGACAAGGTTTCACCATGTTGGCCAGGCTGGTCTCAAACTCCCGACCTCAAGTGATCTGCCCACCTCAGCCTCCCAAAGTGCTGGGATTACAGGAGTCACCACCAGGCCCAGCCACGTTTGCCTTTTATGAACAACTTGAACAGTGGCCACTGTGAGTGGTTGAGAGATGGCTCCTGGAATTGGGTGAGACTTGGCTATTTGTTACAAGAGCAGGTGACAGCTTGTGGACGTGCCCAGGTAGGTTACACTTCACTATGTATGGAGAAACCTTTAGGCTGAATTTAAAATGTGTAAGGAGGCACCTTTAGGCTAAAGGTAACAGCCTTATCCCTGTAGTCACATATGTAAGTTACATGCACAGAAGGGTATCTGGCACCAAATAATATTCAATAAATGCTACTTCCTGCTCCCATTTCTTTCAGCACATAGAGAAGGAAAAACCTAAAGACATGGGTGGATAAGGTATGAATTATTTTAATGAGGGAGATTTTGAAATTGAATGCCTTATAACTTATCACACGTCACATCAGTCTGAAGCAACAGAGTGAATTTGTTTTAGGCATTTCTGAAGGTGGAGGTTTATGATCCTCTAGAGGAAAAGTTATAAAAGTAATTGCCAGATATAGTTCTTCATTAGGAAAGTTGGTTTTTGAACTAACGCTATTTGTAATCAGGTAGCAAAAGAGAGAAAGTGCCAGGAAATTCAATTCTAGTCTTTGCTTATTTTGTATAATATTTAAAATATCTTGCATCTCAATACGTTATACTTACAGTACAAAAATATACTTTAAAAACACCTTATATTTGCATAGTTTTTACATATCCTAAGTACTTCGGTGCATATTATCTTATTTTACCCTAACAACCACCTTGTGATCTAAAGAAAGAGGAGTTTTCTTCTTCCCATGTTTGGGGTAAAGAAACTTAGACTCAGGGAGGTAAATGAGTGTTTAAGAATCAACCAAAAAGTGGAGGCAGATTGATCCTTAGACGGATCAGTGTGCCCAGGGCTAGGAAGTCTGTGACTGGAAGAGCCAGAATTCTTATCTAGCTCTTTCAGACTCCGCTTCCCTCCTGAGCAACACTCTCCTTATTATCAGCCAGAATACAGGGCCTCACATTGTGAGACTGGTACAGCGCCCGCTGCGTGAAAATCAAAGCTGCTGTGGTCACTTCACCAACCAGAGGTTACCACCCTGTGATCAGCCTGCTTCCGGGCACCAAGTACTGGTTCCAAAGATGGTGAGAAATAATAAACGCTTGTTGTGTGAGCAGGCTGGTAGTGTGGCTTTAGCTCGGTTTGCAAAAGGGACATGCGTTATGGGAGACCTGGTCACATGGGAGGTCTGTCACTGTGTCCTCCGGGATTTCACTGCACTGGAGAATCACAGGGTTTGAGCTGGAGCCCTCCTGACATCCAAGCATGGAGGCGTTTCACTGCAGTCAGCAGAAAGCCCTGGCACCTGTTCTTTCAGAGAACACCTGCTCTGATCCACGCAGCCCCGCACCTGTGCATGGAGCCTTGGCAAGACATACAGAGGTCTCAGGGAAAGAATGGATTTCCCTTGGTGACTCCCATGGAGGAGGCATCTGATGCGCATGGGCTGTCGTCAGGATGTGCCTCGCCTCAGGGAGGCTGGCAGGAGTGCAGCAGGGAATGGCAATCTCTGTTCTGAGCACCCTGGCCTTCCTGAGGACCAGCCGGCTGCCCCCACAGGCTGGTCTGTGAGCGGACGACATTCCACAGGCTCTCCACACTGGTGGAAAAAGAAGCCCTCAGAGCCTGGAGTGCACCCCACTGGCTGGGGTGTCTCCAAGTACACAGGCCTTCTTTCCAGAGCCACTGTAAGCCGGGCACTGCTGTTCTACATAGAAGAAGAAAGGTTACCGTTTTCAGAAAGAAATACCATGAACGGCCGAAATATTTAAAAAGTATGCTTTTTCATCTCCTTTAAGATGAACTGTGGTTGCTTTTACTATTTCCCACTGAGGAGTGATCAACTGCTTATCTATCGAATGCTTCAAAGGTGCTTCTCATCTTGACCTGATTTCCCCACGGGTGTGCTTTTGTTGCTTGTGTAAATCCACACCTGCACCTGCACCAGCACCAGCGATTCTGAGACTCCTGCAAGGAATCAGGAAAAGTCCGTGGTTCTCGGCCTAGGGGCGGGTGAATGTTCAGGGAGATGGCAGACCCCACAGAGCGTGGTCCACTGAGCAGCTCTTGGGGAGGATGAAAATAGGGAACAAACAAACAAAAGCAGTCTGGCGTCGTGCACCTGCACCTGCCCGTGAGAGCTCTGAGCAAGGGAGGTCCCCATCTCACCCCCAGTTTAGTCACTGGCCCAGCCCCTCTCAGGACCAGGTGGATTATTGCAGATGACAGTGGGCTGCTGTAAACTCCACCAAATGATAGTTCCAATCGCACCTGTCTAGTATGGCAGCTTTACTGGAAGAGTTTCTGGCATTTGTACATAAGACAAAAAAAAATGTAGGTTGTCACCTTCAGCCCAAAGACAGCGTCAAGAGAAGCATCCTGCGTGTTGGCTACACTTCCTGCAGAACACCCCGTCATCAGCTCTGTGGCTGGAGGCAGGGATGCACTTGGACTCCTGGATCACAGTGAAGACTCAGCCGTCTGGTCCGGGTCCAGGAGTTGAATCTTCCCAGTGTTGCATCTTCCCAGGTTGAGGCCTGTCCAGGAGGGCATTCATTCTCTGGCTGGAATCAGGTGGCCATCCTTACCTGAGGACTCACAGTGTGTCTGACTTACCCACATGGCCTAGAACAACTTTATGGAGATGGAGGTACAACAAGGGGCCCACATCAGTCATCTGCCAGCCCCGCTCTCTGGGTAGCACAGAAGCGGTCAGCTGGATGCATGTCGGAACCTCAGGAGGAGAGGAGGGAGGTGGGTGAGTTCTATTTATTATGTGATGCCTCAGACCGACATCTGCAGCAGCGATCTTACTTTGTCCTTCTCACTCTCCTGCTGTCTCCTGTTGGGTGGGTGATTACGAGAGGCCACCTCCTTGAAGGGTCGGTAATGCAGCAGAGCAGACCAACATGGGTGTGCATTGACTTGAGCAGCTCTGCAGGCTCCACAGGCTGTGGCTGCAGACAGCGCCTCCTCCCTGCAGGTGGAGACCCCTCCCATTGCAGATCCCCTGTGGAATGTGACTGCATCTATTTTTTTAATTTATAAAATATTTTAAAACTTTTTTAAAAATAAATGCACAGGCCGGGCGCGGTGGCTCACGCCTGTAATCCCAGCACTTTGGGAGGCCGAGGCGGGCGGATCACGAGATCAGGAGATCGAGACCACGGTGAAACCCCGTCTCTACTAAAAATACAAAAAATTAGCCGGGCGCAGTGGTGGGCGCCTGTAGTCCCAGCTACTCGGGAGGCTGAGGCAGGAGAATGGCGTGAACCCGGAAGGCGGAGCTTGCAGTGAGCGGAGATCGCGCCACAGCACTCCCGCCTGGGCGACAGAATGAGACTCCGTCTCAAAAAAAAAAATAAAAAAAAAAAAATGCACAGAAGGATCAGTTGAAGGCAGAGTGGTAGCCCCTGGTGGCTGGCCAGCACATGGACCAAGCCTACCATGACCTCAGATGTCCTGTGCTCACTGGCAAAGGGGAGCAGGGGGCAGGTGTCCCAATCAGTCCTGGAGCACACAGCAGCCCGTGTGGGAGGGGGTGCCTCACTTTCCGCCTCGGCCCCCTCAAAACTCCCCAGGACCCACACACAGACACTGCAGCGGCGACTGTAGGAGGGGGCACTGGGAACAGGAACGACACTGCCACTCAGCCTCAGGCACCTGAGGGACACCCTGGAGCCTCCAGGGGCACCGTGAAGGTCCAGGCAAAGCCCACCTTAGCGCGACTGGGGAAGGGCAAAGAGATGGCCCCACTGCGGGGGAGAGGGGGTGCCCACAAGGCAACAACCATAGGAGATGAGCAAGGGGTGCCTGCTGCGAGCAAAAGAGGAGCCCCCAACCCCCCTGAGGTCACGAGGCAGAGGGCAGGGCAGCCAGGTTAGATTCCGCACCCCTGCCTCCCACCACCACCCACAGGCAGGAAGGAGAGGGAGAGAGGGAGGGGCCCACAGCACAGCCAGGACAAGAAGAATGTCCATCCCTCATGTGTCCCTGCTCAGGCCACCAGGGAAAACATGATGTCACCACGTCAATGACTGCATCTAAAGGGTAATTAAGGGTAGAGGAGGCCATCAGGGTGGGCCCTAATCTAATCTGCCTGAAGTTCTTCTTAAGAAGAATTAGGGGACCTGGGCAAGATGGCCAAATAGGAACAGCTCTGGTCTGCAGCTCCCAGTGAGATCTATGCAGATGGTGTGTCATTTCTGCATTTCCAATTTAGGTACCCGGCTCCTCGCACTGGGACTAGTTAGACAGTGGGTGCAGCCCACAGAGGGTATGCCAAAGCAGGGTGGGGCGTTGCCTCACCCAGGAAGTGCAAGGGGATTGGGGAACTCCCTCCCTTAGCCAAGGGAAGCCATGAGGGACTGTGTTGTGAGGAATGGTGCATTCTGGCCCAGATACTACACTTTCCCCACAGTCTTCACAACCCACAGGCCAGGAGATTCCTTCGCATGCCTACACCACCAGGGCCCTGGGTTTCAAGCACAAAACTGGGCGGCCGTTTGGGCAGACACTGAGCTAGCTGCTTTGGGCAGACACTGAGCTAGCTGCAGGAGTTTTTTTTTTTTCATACCCCAGTGGTGCCTGGAACACCAGCAAGACAGAACCATTCACTCCCCTGGAAAGGGGGCTGAAGCCAGGGACCCAAGTGGTCTAGCTCAGTGGATCCCACCACCATGGAGCCCAGCGAGCTAAGATCCACTGGCTTGAAATTCTCACAGCCAGCACAGCAGTCTGAAGTCTGAAGTCGACCTGGGATGCTCAAGTTTGGTTGGGGGAGGGGCACCCACCATTACTGAGGCTTGAGTAGGTAGTTTTCCCCTCACAGTGTAAACAAAGCCCAGGGGAATTTCAAACTGGGTGGAGCCCACTGCAGCTCAGCAAAGCCTCTGTAGCCAGACTGTCTCTCTAGATTCCTCCTCTCTGGGCAGGGCATTTCTGAAAAAAAAGGCAGCAGCCCTAGTCAGGGGCTTATAGATAAAACTCCCATCTCCTTGGGACAGAGCACCTGGGGGAAGGGGCAGCTGTGGGCACAGCCTCAGCAGACTTAAATGTTCCTGCCTGCCGGCTCTGAAGAGAGCAGCAGATCTCCCAGCACAGTGCTCGAGCTCTGCTAACAGACAGACTGCCTCCTCCAGTGGGTCCCTGACCCCTGTGCCTCCTGACTGGAAGACACCTTCCAGCAGGTGTCAACAGACACCTCATAAAGGAGAGCTCCAGCTGGCGTCTGGTGGGTTCCCCTCTGGGATGAAGCTTCCAGAGGAAGGAGCAGGCAGCAATCTTTGCTGTTCTGCAGCCTCCACTGGTGATACCCAGGCAAACAGAGTCTGGAGTGGACCCCCAGCAAACTCCAGCAGACTTGCAGCAGAGGGGCCTGACTGTTAGAAGGAAAACTAACAAACAGAAAGGAATAGCATCAACACCAGCAAAAACGATGTGCACACAAAAACCCCATCCAAATGTTACCAACATTAAAGACCAAAGGTAGATAAATCCATGAAGATGAGAAAAAAACCAGTGCGAAAATGCTGAAAAGTCCAAAAACCAGAATGCTTCTTCTCCAAAGGATCACAACTCCTCACCAGCAAGGGAACAAAACTGGACAGAGAATGAGTTTGACGAATTGACAGAAGTAGGCTTCAGAAGATGGGTAATAACAAATTCCTCCAAGCTAAAGGAGCATGTTTTAATCCAATGCAAGGAAGCTAAGAACCTTGATAAAAGGTTAGAAGAATTGCTAACTAGAATAACCAGTGTAGAGAAGAACATAAATGACCTGATGGAGCTGAAAAACACAGCATGAGAACTTTGTGAAGCATACACAAGTATCAATAGCTGAATAGATCAAGCAGAAGAAAGGATATCAGAGATTGAAGATCAACTTAATGAAATAAAGCATGAAGACAGGATTAGAGAAAAAAGAATGAAAAGGAATGAACAAAGCTCCAAGAAATATGGGACTATGTGAAAAGACCAAACCTATGTTTGACTAGTGTACCTGAAACTGATGGGAAGAATGGAACCAAGTTGGAAAACACACTTCAGGATATTATCCAGGAGAACTTCCCCACCCTAGCAAGATAGGCCAACATTCAAATTCAGGAAATACAGAGAACACCACAGATACTCCTTGAGAAGAACAACTCCAAGACACATAATCGTCAGATTCACCAAGGTTGAAATAAAGGAAAAATGTTAAGAGCAGCCAGAGAGAAAGGCTGGGTTACCCACAAAGGGAAGCCCATCAGACTAACAGCAGATCTCTCGGCAGAAACCCTACAAGCCAGAAGAGAGTGGGGGCCAATATTCAACATTCTTAAAGAAAACAATTTTCAACCCAGAATTTCATATCCAGCCAAACTAAGCTTCATAAGCGAAGGAGAAATAAAATCCTTTACAGACAAGCAAATGCTGAGAGATTTTGTCACCACCAGGCCTGCCTTACAAGAGCTCCTGAAGGAAGCACTAAATATGGAAAGAAAAAACTAGTACCAGCCACTGCAAAAACATACCAAATTGTAAAGACCATCAACACTATGAAGAAACTGCATCAACTAACGGGCAAAATAACCAGCTAGCATCATCACGATAGGATCAAATTCACACAAAATAATATTAACCTTAAATGTAAATGGTCTCAATGCCCCAGTTGAAAGACACAGCCTGGCAAATTGGACAGAGTCAAGACCCATCAGTGTGCTGTATTCAGGAGACTGATCTCATATGCAAAGACACACGTAGGCTCAAAATAAAGGAATGAAGGAATATTTACCAAGCAAATAGAAAGCAAAAAAAAGCAGGGGTTGCAATCCTAGTCTCTGATAAAACAGACTTTAAACCAACAAAGATCAAAAAAGACAAAGAAGGGCATTACATAATGGTAAATGGATCAATGCAACAAGAAGAGCTAACTATACTAAATATATATGCACCCAATACAGGAGCACCCAGATTCATAAAGCAAGTTCTTAGAGACCTACAAAGAGACTTGGACTCCTACACAATAGTAGTGGGAGATTTTAACACTCCACTGTCAATATTAGACAGTTCAACAAGACAGAAAATTAACAAGGATATTCAGGACTTGAACTCAGCTCTGGACCAAGCAGACCTAATGGACATCTACAGAACTCTCCACCCCAAATCAACAGAGTATACATTCTTCTCAGAACCACATTGCACTTATTCTAAAATTGACCACATAATTGGAAGTAAAACACTCCTCAGCACATGCAAAAGAACGGAAATCATAACAGTCTTTCAGACCACAGTGCAATGAAATTAGAACTTGGGATTAAGAAACTCACTCAAAACCACACAATTACATGGAAACTGAACAACCTGCTCCCGAATGACTACTGGGTAAATAACGAAATTAAGGCAGAAATAAATAAGTTATTTGAAACCAATGAGAACAAAGACACAACATACCAGAATCTCTGGGACACAGCTAAAGCAGTTCTTAGAGGGAAATTTATAGCACTAAATGCCCACAGCAGAAAGGGGGAAAGATCTAAAATCGACATCCTAACATCACAATTAAAAGAACTAGAGAAGCAAGAGCAAACAAATTCAAAAGCTAGCAGAAGACAAGAAATAACTAAGATCAGAGAAGAACTGAAGGAGATAGAGACACGAAAAACCTTTCAAAAAATCAATGAATCCAGGAGCCAGTTTTTTGAAAAGATTAACAAAATAGACTGCTAGCCAGACTAATAAAGAGGAAAAGAGAGAAGAATCAAATAGACACAATAAAAAATGATAAAGAGGATATCACCACTGATCCCACAGAAATACAAACTACCATCAGAGAATACTATAAAAACCTCTATGCAGATAAACTAGAAAATCTAGAAGAAATGGATGAATTCCTGGACACAAACACCCTCCCAAGACTAAACCAGGAAGAAGTCGAATCCCTGAATAGACCAATAACAAGTTCTGAAATTGAGGCAGTAATTAATAGCCTACCAACCAACAAAAGCCCAGGACCAGATGGATTCACAGCCAAATTCTACCAGAGGCACAAAGAGGAGCTGGTACCATTCCCTCTGAAACCATTCCAAACAATAGAAAAAGAGGAACTTGTCCCTAACTCATTTTATGAGGCCAGCATCATCCTGGTAACAAAGCCTGGCAGAGACACAACAAAAAAAGAGAAAATTTTAGGCCAATATCCCTGATGAACATCGATGCAAAAATCCTCAATAAAATACTGGTAAACCAAATCCAGCAGCACATCAAAAAGTTCATCCACCACGATCAAGTCGGCTTCATCCCTGGGATGCAAGGCTGGTTCAACATATGCAAATCAATAAACATAATCCATCACATAAACAGAACCAATGGAAAAAAATGCATAATTATTTCAATAGATGCAGAAAAGGCCTTTGATAAAATTCAACACCCCTTCATGCTAAAAATTCTCAATAAACTAGGTATTGATGGAATATCTCAAAATAATGAGAGCTATTTATGACAAACCCACAGCCAATATCACACTGAATGGGAAAAAGCTGGAAGCATTCCCTTTGAAAACTGGCACAAGACAAGGATGCCCTCTCTCATCACTCCTATTCAACATAGTATTGGAAGTTCTGGCCAGGGCAATCAGGCAAGAGAAAGAAATAAAGCGTATTCAAATAGAAAGAGAGGAAGTCAAATTGTCTCTGTTTGCAGATAACATGGTTGTATATTTAGAAAACCCCATCATCTCAGCCCAAAATCTCCTTAAGCTGATAAGCAACTTCAGCAAAATCACAGGATACAAAATCAATGTGCAAAAATCACAAGCATTCCTATACACCAATAATAGAAAAACAGAGAGCCAAATCATCAGTGAACTCCCATTCACAATTGCTATGAAGAGAATAAAATACCTAGGAATACAACTTATAAGGGATGTGAAGGACCTCTTCAAGAACTACAAACCACTGTTCAAGGAAATAAGAGAGGACACAAACAAATGGAAGAACATTCCATGCTCATGGATAGGAAGAATCAATATCTTGAAAATGGCCATACTACACAAAGTAATTTATAGATTCACTGCTATCCCCATACCATTGACTTCCTTCACAGAATTAGAAAAAACTAATTAAATCTCATATCTAATTAATCCCATAATTAATGGGATTGACCCAGCAATCCCATTAAATTTAATATGGAATCAAAAAAGAGCCCGTATAGCCAAGACAATCCTAAGCAAAAAGAACAAAGCTGGAGGCATCACGCAACCTGACTTCAAACTATACTACAAGGCTACAGTAACCAAAACAGCATGGTACTGGAACCAAAATTGATATATAGACCAATGGAACAGAACAGAGGCCTCAGAAATAACACCACACATCTACAACCATCTGATCTTTGACAAACCTGACAAAAACAAGCAATGGGGAAAGGATTTCCTATTTAATAAATGGTGTTGGGAAAACTGGCTAGCCATATGCAGAAAACTGAAACTGGATCCCTTCCTTACACCTTATACCAAAATTAACTCAAGATGGATTAAAGACTTAAATGTAAGACCTAAAACCATAAAAACCGTAGAAGAAAACCTAGGCAATACCATTCAGGACATAGGCACGGGCAAAGGCTTCATGACTAAAACACCAAAAGCAATGGCAACAAAAGCCAAAATTGAGAAATGTCATCTAATTAAACTAAAGAGCTTCTGCACAGCAAAAGAAACTACCATCAGAGTAAGCAGGCAACCTACAGAATGGGAGAAAGTTTTTGTAATCTCTCCATCTGACAAAGGGCTAATATCCAGAATCTACAAGGAATTTAAACAAATTTACAAGAAAAAAACAACCCCATCAAAAAGTGTTTGAAGGATATGAGCAGAAATTTCTCAAAAGAAGACATTTATGGCCAGGAGCAGTGGCTCACGCCTATAATCCCAGCACTTTGGGAGGCCGAGGCCAAGGTGGGCAGATCATGAGGTCAGGAGATCAAGACCATCCTGGCTAACATGGTGAAACCCCATCTCTAGTATTAATATAAAAAATTAGCTGGATGTGGTGGCACATGCCTGTAGTCCCAGCTACTCGGGAGGCTGAGGCAGGAGAATCTCTTGAACCCAGGAGGTGGAGGTTGAATTGAGCTCAGATCCCACCACTGCACTCCAGCCTGGGCGACAGAGCAGGACTCTGTCTAAATAAAAAAAATAAAAAAAAAAAGAAAAGAACACATTTATGCAGCCAACAAACATGAAAAAAAAGCTCATCATCACAGGTCATTAGAGCAATGCAAATCAAAGCCACAATGAGGTACCATCTCACGCCAGTTAGAATGGCGATCATTAAAAAGTCAGGAAACGACAGATGCTGGAGAGGATGTGGAGATAGAGGAATGCTTTTACACTGTTGGTAGGAGTGCAAATTAGTTTAACCATTGTGGAAGACAGTGTGCTTATTCCTCAAGGATCTAGAATCAGAAACACCATTTGATCCAGCAATCCCATTACTGGGTATATACCCAAAGAATTATAAATCACTGTACTATAAAGACACATACACACATATGTTTATTGTAGCACTATTCACAATAGCAAAGACTTGGGACCAACCAAAATACCCATCAATGATAGACTGGATAAAGAAAATGTGGCACATCTACACCATGGAATACTATGCAGCCATAAAAAAGGATGAGTTCATGTCCTTTGCAGGGACATGGATGAAGCTGGAAACCATCACTCTCAGCAAACTAACACAGGAACAGAAGACTAAACACATGTTCTCACTCATAAGTGGGAGTCGAACAATGAGAACACATGGACACAGGGAGGGAAACATCACATGCTGGGCCCTGTCAGGGGGTGGGGGGCTAGGGGAGGGATAGCATTAGGAGAAATACCTAATGTAGATGATGGGTTGATGGGTGCAGCAAACTACCATGGCGCATGTATACCCATGTAACAAACTTGCACATTCTCCACATGTATCCCAGAACTTAAAGTATAATAATAATAATTTTAAAAAGAGGAAATTAGGGCAGAGACAGGCACAGAGGACCCCCTGATGGTGTCCTCTACCTTGAATCGCCTCTTCAGATGCAGTCATGTTCTGAGGGCCTGAGGGTCGAGGCTGCAATGGCAGAATTTGGAGGGGACCGTCAGCCCCTCTCACAGCCCTCCTCCTTTTCTGACTTTTACAATAGCTTTCTGTGCTTATCTGCTTGTACACTTTGGGGTTTGGGGTGAAATCATGTTTGGGAAAAGCTTTGCTTCATCACAAAGGTCTGGAAACCCTGAGATGGACTGAGGCTCTGCCTCTCCATCAGCTTGGGCTTGGAGCTTCCCTTTGCAGACCCCATGTGGACAGGAGCTGGTGGCTCCAGGACCCAGTGGCTCCAGGACCCAGTCTACAGCCACGGTCTATGGAGGCGGCTCTTCAGTGGGGCTGAGGCCCCCAGGGTGTGTCCCTCCGTGAAGTGTCCAGGCATCAGCAACCCCCTGCCCTCCCAGCCAGCCAGAGCAAAAAGCTTCTTGGTTTCCCCTTAAGCCAGAGAAGAAGGCTGTTTCCACTCAGCAGTACTGTGGCTCTTCATGGCTCTTCCAAAACCATGTCCTGTCTCCTGAAGCCCAAGTCAGGAAGAGCAGGGGTTTAAGAAGGCCTGACTCACTCTGCAACCAAGCTTGTCCTGCAGTTTGCTGGGTGCTGGAGGCCTACGTGGGCTCTGCTTCTGGGATGTCCTCCCAAGCCACAGTGGGAACAGGACCTGGCTGTGGGAGCTGGGATCCATGGAGGACACGTCCTGCCTGTCTAGAAGCTGAATCTCATGTTGTGATGTCCTATTCTGGCCCACAGAAAAACAGGCTGACTCAAATAAGGATATTGAAACAGTCTCCCAAATCTTCCCACTTCAATAGCTTAAGTTGGGCTGGTTGGGGCTGAATTGGCCAGTGGTTTAGGCAGAGCACATAACAGAACTTTCATGACTGTTATCTCATTTTACTGAGTGACCATAAGAAAGGGGAGATGAAACATGTACGAATCTCTTGTAACGTTTGTAATTTACCCCTCTCCTGAAGGACACGGCTCCTTTTCTCAGAAACGTATTATATTATCCTACAGAGCAGAGGAAGACATTTTCTCAGCAACAAAGAGAACTGGGGCAGGAGTGAATCTGAAGAAGACGGGAAAAGCAGTATCAGGATTCAGTTCTTAAGACTTCAGGAATAACTGCAGGGTTAAACTGAACACGACTACCCGGGGCTGTTTGATGCACTTTGCCTTGGACTCTGGGGCAACTTCCCTCCTGCTCCCTCTGTCTTCACATGACTAATGGAGAAGGGAAGGAGGTGGAGAGGCTGCAGGGCACAGTGAGGAAAAAGCTTCCTGCTATCACGAAGCACAGACGATAACAACAGCTAACTCCACGGGACAGCCACCTTGGCATTTTCAGACATGGTAGCGTTCTCCCCCAGGGCCCTGTGGCAGATGGGTGGCTAATTCCTCAGGACATACACACTGAAGAAACACAGAATCTGCCTCAAAGCCCGGACTCCCAGCTCTTCAGGAGTAAGATCTCTACCCTCCTCGCTGTGCAGTTTCCACAAAACCATCGGCAGTGAGGAGACTTCAAAATCACCCTTGTAGAAAGAAATTAATTAATTTAAGATAAATTAAAATAAAAAAACAAAATCACCCTCATGTCAATTCCAGCACTATAGCAGGAAGCTCTCAGAGTCTTATTGAGAAATTTCTTTCTAACTTGTAAGAAACATCCTTATCCATCCAAACCCAAAGAATGGACTCAGGGACACAGAGAACAGAAGAAGCAAGACTTTAATGGCAGTCTTGCAAGATTGGGTGTCTGGCATGAGGCACACCCAGAAGGGCTTCAACAAGAAATTTACTCCCTAGTGCACAAGTCCCTCCCCCAGTTCCTCATTGGCTGAGTACTATGAGGTTACAATCTTCCTGGACGTCGAATATTGGTAGTTGGATTAAGTTTTCGAGTATGTTCATTAGGGTCTTTCTGCTGCATTTTATTGCATCCCATAATGCATTGTGACTGTCTCAGGACTCTTCGAACATTTGACGTATGGCCCTAGTGGCTGTGCTTTGCTGATAAGAAAGGATAAAATTATCTATGTTGCAAGCTAGCCTAAACTAAATTCTTCGGTGGGGTGGGGAGGGGGTATTTAAGGGGGCCCTGACCGATAGGCACCTGGCTGCCAAGTGAAAGGAGAAAGCAGGATGGGGGCAGGGGTGGCTCAGTACATTCTGCTTCTTTATCTCTTTATTTCCACATAGCCTGCTTAAACCTATACTAAGACACTTAAAATTAAAAATGGACCACCACATATAGGTTATTTTTTACATAACTGACACCCGGTTTTGAGTATCTTATATTATAATCTGTTTTGCTTGCATTCTAGTAAGTCATTTCCCCAGTAACACGATTGCAGACTCCTTAAAGGGAGAGACATGCCTTATACACAAAACCTGACACAGACAAGGAATTGGTCAATCATTCCAATAGTATTTCTTAATAGCATCATTTTCTTATTTAGTTTGTCTCACAGTTTCTTCTTCATACTTTGTGAAAGAGTGGCTAATCAAATTTCTCTCATAGACTTTATTTATTTATTTATTTATTTATTTATTTTTGAGATGGAGTTTCACTCTTATCACCCAGGCTGGAGTGCAATCGTGCGATCTTGGCTCACTGCAACCTGTATCTCCAGGGCTCAAGCAATTCTCCTGCCTTAGCCTCCCAAGTAGCTGGGATGAGAGGTGCCTGCCACCACGCCCAGCTAAGTTTTGTATTTTTAGTAGAGACGGGATTTCGGCATGTTGGCCCAGCTAGTCTTGAACTCCTGACCTCAGGGGATCCACCTGCCTTGGCCTCCCAAAGAGCTGGGATTATAGGCGTGAACCTCTGTGCCCGGCCTCTCTCACAGACTTTAAAAACACATTTGTGTGAAGAATAACATTAGGAGACCATTGTGTAAGCAGGCCTGTGAACTAGGTATCTGCTGTTTAGGAACACTGAAGAAGGCAGTCTAGGGAGAAATGGGTGCCCGTGCATCAGAAGGGAAAAGGGGGCTGGAGAGAAGTTTAGAGGTGGAGACAAAATGGCTTTGTGGCACAAAGGGCAAGGAAAAAAGCGAATTAGGGATGACTCCTGGGTTTATGGTTGAGCTGGTGGTGCATAAGGGATTGGATTTTGTCATGATGAGGTCACTTCTTCCAAGAGCGTCACTGAGTTCAGTTTCTGGGGAATGGAAGGCCAGAGTGGAAATGTCATGATAAAACAAATTGCAAGCCAATTACCCTCCTCTCCCACAGCCAAGCGAATATCTACATTTAACAGGCTTTTTAAAACTTCATCTATGTAGATTCTGAGTAACTGGGAAAAGGAATCTCTTCTGAGGTCCTGATTGTTCTTACAACCTTAACCTGTAATCGCATCTACGCAGCCCACTTTCACTAGCTTATAAAGCAGTTGAATATTCCAGTTGCTTTGAGTCAAAACCCAAAGCAAGATTAGACTTCATCGATACTTCAGGCACGATGGCAACAGGTATTCATCATATTTAAGCTTCCCTTTCTTGTTCCACAGAACTTAAAAAGCTAATAATTTACTTCTGCAGTCTCTCCTACTGCAAGGACACCATTCCAACCAAGCAAAGATTATGGCAGGTCAGAACGACGAGCACGTAGGTAAGAGTCAAATAATTTTCATTTAAATTAAGCCAAACTTTGTAATTTGCTTTTTGTGCCTTACTTTTATATTTTTATTTTTTGCACTAAACAATATTCTTCAAAAATGATGCCAAAAAACCCTGGTACTGTTGTTATTATTATACTTTACTTTGTCTATTTTTGGGCACTCTTTCAGGAATGGAAAGTAGATCTGAAACTATTTTTGGCCTGAACCATGTCTTGTTAAGATGCAGATCCTGATTCAGTGGGTCTGGAGTGAGGCCTGAGGTTTGCGTTTCAGATGAGCTCACAGATGCCACCCTTGCTGCTGGTCCTCGGGCAACACTTTGGGTAACAACCTCCAGGGGTGGCTGGGGGGCCGGGAAACCCTTCAGAGCTGCCCCACTGAGGCAAGGCTAGTTTTGTGCCCCTACAACCTGCATCAAGTGGTAACTGGATGGAGGCTGCCCCTGGTGAGGCAGCTCCTCGATTCTGTACACCACCAAATTGGGCATTTCCAGTTAATTAAATCCAAATCTATTTGGAGTGCAGTCCGGGCACAGTGGCTCATGCCTGTAATTCCAGCATTTTGGGAGGCTGAGGTGAGCAGACTGCCTGAGCTCACGAGTTCGAGACCAGCCTGGCCAACATAGCAAAACACCCTCTCTACTAAAAAAAATACAAAAAAGTTAGCCAGGCATGGTGGTGCACACCTGTAGTCCCAGTTACTTGGGAGGCTGAGGCAGGAGAATTGCTTGAACCCAGGAGGCAGAGGCTGCAGTCAGCCGAGATCGCATCACGCACTCCAGCCTGGGTGACAGAGTGAGATACTGTCTCAAAAAAAGAAAAACAAGAAAAAGAAAAAAGAGTGCAGTTGTGTGGGGGAAGGAGAATGACACTTGGAGCCAGAAGACCTGGGTTTGAATCTTATCTCTGCCACTTAAGGCAGCAGCACCACGTGTTCAACTTTAAATTTCTAATATTAAATCCACAGCATATATCACCTCAATCATATAGTTTCCAAAATCATCAAGTGACATATTATGCTTGTAAAGATTTTGCCAAGAATTCTTAGTGGGTTCTCATGACCTTAATTGTAATCAAATCCAAAACCCATACTATATTTTGTGTAGTCCTATTTTTTGTAACAAATAGAGCTATTACACAAATGCAAAAGTGTTGTGTATGTATGTATTATGTGTAAATAGTAGCAAGATGATAGATAATGGATTGGTAGATGATAGATAATAGATATAGATAGAGAATACATAGATAATAGATAAAATAAATAGTTATAGACAGGTAGATGATGGATAAATAGACAATGGATTATATGGATGATAGATATAAAGATAATAAATATGGGTAGATAATAAATAGAAATAATATTATAGAAGAGAGATTTGGAAAGCTAATAGCTATAGACAGATAATAGATCGATGATAGATAAAGGTAAATATATGATCATTAGCTAATAAGAAATAATTAATTCCCTTATTGCCTTATACACTTTTGCCTATCTGGGCCGTGAGTGTGGCCTGCAGCCATGTACCTGTGCCTAGCCCATGTTTCTCATCGTCCGAGCTTAGGGGGCAGCTGGTGAGCTGAGGTTGTCATTCCCCCTGCAGGTGAGAAGGGTCTCCATTCTGCAGCTCACTCTCCCCGCCTCTCCATCACCCTCTCCTTTTTCTGGCTGTGGAAGGGACAGGAAGGGCTGAGAGGTTGACCACATAAATGAGGTTTGATTGGAACTGTTATGCTTGGGTTTCCTGGAAAAAGACTCTGAGGCAGAGGCTATGGGGCAGGCTCTGGGGAACCCCTCCTGGGGAGGAAGACAGTACCTGCAAGTGGTCCTGACAGCTCCCATGGGGGCTCAGGACTGAGCAGGCACTTCAGAGCAACCCCACTGAGGCAAAGGTGTGGGGCTTGTGCCCCCAGACCCAGTGGTACCTGGGCAGGGCTCCCCTGCAGGGCCACCCCAGGCACTGCACAGAGGCTCCCTGTGGGCCTCAGCCACCCACACTCCCACGAGCTGGACACAGGGTATCTGGTTCCTAATGGGCACCACCTTGCCTGGCACAGGAGGGGACAACATCTCAAGGCATTGATGGGCATCACACCGATGCTACCATGAAAGCCACAGCTCCTCAGAGCCCCACACACAAGACAAGGGCCACAGCTCCTTGGCACTGTCACCCAGGACTGCACAGTGTGGGTTGGGACTCACAGAGGTTTCTCTTGAGTGGGCACTGCCAGTCTTTAGGCACCGTTGAGATCTTGCTCTTGATTTAGCTCTTACGAGATGCAAGCCAGGCAGAGGTGTCTGTAGGGAGTTGGCATGACTGGTGTGATTGGCAAGGTCCATGTGACTGGTGAGGTCGGTGTGCATCCTAGGAGAGAACCAGAGGGGGGCATCCCTCATGCTCTACCCAGAGCCATGCACTGCTATGCCAAGATGGCGTCCTACAGCCCAGCACAGAGCCACAGGTAGGATGCAAGTAGGACTCAGGTAGGATGCAGGTGGGATGCAGGTGGGACTCAGGTATGATGCAGGTAGTAGGCAGGTGGGACTCAGGTAGGACTCAGATGGGATGCAGGTAGGATGCAGGTAGGATGTAGGTGGGATGCAGGTAGGATGCAGATAGGATGCAGGTGGGATGCAGGTGGGACTCAGGTAGGATGCAGGTAGGATGTACGTGGGATGCAGGTAGGATGTAGGTGGGATGCAGGTAGGATATAGGTGGGATGCAGGTAGGATGTAGGTGGGATGCAGGTAGGATATAGGTGGGATGCAGGTAGGATGCAGGTAGGATGTAGGCGGGATGCAGGTAGGATATAGGTGGGATGCAGGTAGGATGTAGGTGGGATGCAGGTAGGATATAGGTGGGATGCAGGTAGGATGCAGGTAGGATGTAGGCGGGATGCAGGTAGGATGCAGGTGGGACTCAGGCAGGATGATAAAGGTGGGACTCAGGTGGGATGCAGGTAGACAGAGTGCAGGTGTGTGCACTCAGCTATGTCCATAGCACACCCTGGACCTTAGCACCATGCCTGGAATGCCAGAATACGATGGGTCCCAGAGGGAGGGTAGCATTCAAATGAAGACTGCGAATGTCACATGTGCTTAGCCTGTGTGCCTGGAAAATCCCCTAGTGTCCTGCACCAGCTGGCCCGGGAGGGAAGAACAGGCAGCTCTGCAGGCCGCGCTCTGGGGACCGAGGTACCCGTGAATGAATCCACGTGGATGTCAGAGAGACTGAGCCTTCAGCCGAAAGCCCAGCTCCTTCACTGGCCTGTTGGGCAGCTGTGTGCCCTTTCCTCAATCTCTCTGAGCCTTAGTTCTGTCCTTATAAGCAATGTGTCGGTGCAATAATAATTCCTGCCTTGATGGTCCTGGAATGACTGAATAAGATCTAGTTCCTCGAGTCACCCGATTAGGTTTCCTTCCCTTCCTTTTCCTTCCTAATCTCAGAAAGAAAGGGATGGGAAAAGCAAAAGGAAGGAAAATGCTGGCAAAGCAAACGTAGGTGTGTGGCACCTGGCACCCTCGCAGCGAGCGTGGCTATGGTCTGTAGCAGCAAAGAGCCCCACAGCCACGCCCAGCTCCGGGAGAGGGGCCAGACTGGGACCTGGGCTCTGAGCCCCCGTGGCTAGCGCGGCACCTGCACTCCTTGATATGTTCAGGACACCTCAGCATGGAGGGGGGCCGCACTGTGCCCCCCACCACCGCCATCCTGCCAGCCCAGCAGACTCTAGGGACTGGGCCTGACCTTGCCCAGCAGCGCCAGAAACCCAGAGGCAGCCTCCTCCTCCCCAGCACGATGCCTATGCACGAGGGCCTGGGTCCAGGATGCAGACGGGGCCACTGCTGCACTCTGCAGCGGTGCGGACCGGGAGCAGCTGCCTAGTGGCCCCTGCAGGGGGTCGGTCTTAAGCCAACTGGTCCCTCTTCCTCTTGTTCAACTTCCTGCCAGGAAGCTTGGAGGGCAGCTGTTATTCACAACTAAACATCTTAAAAAGGAATGACTTGGTTCTTAGTCCTACCCCAAATGGGTCAGGGTTTTCTTTCCTCCTTTGAAATGGCTTTGGCGTTACAAGGGCCTTTCTTATCTGATTGTTGCATTAATATGATCCTTGAAAATGGACCGAAGGAGAATGAGGATAAACGTTTTGTACCAAAAAAGCACTAATTTCAGTTGAGATAGGATTTTAAGTTTTAGAGGAGAGAGGAGTGGAAAACAGATAATATAAAAAACGAAAATGTGAATACAGATTTAATCCCAGTGAGGCTAGAACGTGCAGGGCTTGGCCTCGAAAGAGGCAGAGCTGCGTGCTGACTCACCAGAGGGGCGTGCGGATCCTCCCAGGCCGCTGTTGAGGAGTGTTGTGGGTGGAGGCTCCACTCTGGGGGGACTGGCTTCCCGAGTTTGCCTTCCTTGCTGTCAGCATGGCCTCACGGCCCTGAAGAAGCAGGGCCCCCAGCCAACGTAAATGTTAACACCGTTGTAGGGATTATAGCCGCTGGTTTTCAATCGCGCTTTTTTTTTTTTTTTTTTTTTTTTTTTTTTTTGAGATGGAGTCTCGCTCTGTCCCCAAACTGGAGTGCAGTGGCGCGATCTCGGCTCACTGCAAGCTCCGCCTCCCGGGTTCACGCCATTCTCCTGCCTCAGCCTCCCGAGTAGCTGGGACTACAGGCGCCCACCACCACGCCCGGGTAATTTTTTGTATTTGTAGTAGAGACGGGGTTTCACCGTGTTAGCCAAGGTGGTCTCGATCTCCTGACCGCGTGATCCGCCTGCCTCGGCCTCACAAAGTGCTGGGATGACAGGCGTGAGCCACTGCTCCCGGCTCAATCGTGCTTTTACAAACGCTCTGGATGCTTTTGAAGTTCATTTGAATTCTATCCCTCAGATAAATGGACTCTCCTGAGAAAGACAAACAGTTTCCTAGGCTCACTAGCAACAGCACAGTCCTTGGGTGGTGGTTGTTATTGTTGCTGTTTGTTTTAATATTTACCTAAGGTCACAGTCACAGCTTGTAATTTATTATATCTGAATTATTTAGAGTGATTATTAACTGTCGATCTCAGGGCTTAATGTTAATGAATGCTTCTGGGAAATGAACAGAATGATAAATTCAGGCCGATGCAGGCACCTCCCCACTTTTATGGGAAGAAGGGCCCCACACTTGTGCTCTGCACCCGGGAGGAGGCCTGACCCATCGACTCGCTTCCCGTCCTCGTGTCATTACAAATCTCTGCCTGGTTCCTCACACAATAACAGAGGAGATGGCTGAAACGCTGCCTTCTGGGCGTTTATAAACCACAGTCGCTGCCTATTTTCAGGCGGAAACGCTCCAGGAGCTGAGAGAGCTGTGCTGCCCTGTGAGGCTCCCATCCTCTTAGTCACAAGACTGCTGTCTCCCCTGGGGACCACACGCTGTGCAAATCCGCCATCCATCCATTACCGTCTACACGCTGTGCAAATCCACCATCCATCCGTTACAGCCCATTATCAGATGGAAGCCTTCCAGCCCCCTGGTGAGAAGCCAGAGAGCACTAATGTCCACATGGGGACAAAATTATTGACCATGAACTGAGGAAATGTATTTTTTTTTTGCTTCTTCCCACTTTGACCGGAATTACTAACTTGATCAACATGAAATTAAAATGAAACACTTGGGGAAGAATCTCTTCAAGTCCATTTTTTTATCACTGGGCTGAGACCATATTATGCAGTCACAATGCCAGGTTATTTCAACTTAGCCGAATTAATGAATCTAACTCAGTCCTGGGCTATATTACCCATCTGTTTTAGGATATTATAAGAGAAAGTATGTGACTTTTTCACCAAGTTACACATGAGAAAATCAAGACGAGATGTCCAAGTTCACAGTCATCTCATCATGATGGAACAGAGGGATAATCACAGGAAAATGTAGGTGCTTCCCCAGAACACTGAATTTCTATGTAATCAGGTAAAATTAGGCCATCTCGGTTGTCACCTTCCTGCACAGGATGTGGAAATAGCTGTCATTTATAAAGAAGGGGCCGTGCAGAGGGGCAGAAGCCACTGGAGAGCAGCTGTGGCTGGCGCTCACTTCTGGGCTCCTGGCGGGGTCTCAGCCGGGTGGTAAGTGCAGCAGTGGAAAATGGCCTGGACTCCTCGCCGGGGGCTCTAACCTCTTCCCTAGCTTGGCTATCATCCTGAGTCAACACCGCTGGGCCTCAGTTGCAGGTCCTGTTGGAATTTGGGATTGGGGACTGGAAAGGACTCAGGGGTTTATGCCGTTGCACTGGTATATAAGAAGTGTTGACAGCTAGAAGGAGGATCTAAGTTCAGGGACACCACACGGCTGTGTGGAGTCTCACCTCCTGGTGCCCTGAGCAGGGTCTCCCACTCCAGAGACTGTGGGAGTGCCATGCCTCCCAGAGATATGGCTGCTCTATCGTCTGGGTGCTCAGTCCCACCCTTGGAGACTCTCCGTGTGATGTTTCAAACCAGCCCAGCAGTGGTCCTGGGTCCTGAAGAGTCTTTGTCAATAATAGGCAACCTCTTTGGGATATTGGGCTGCCCAGACCAGGCAGTTTCTTTCCAGAGGCAAAATGGCTTTGTCCTCACTGAGCGTGGGAAGTCCAGCCCTGCCATTCTTTAACTCGGCGACCTTGGGGTGTTGCTGGCTGCCCTTAGCCTTGGGTCTCCATTGCTTTCCTCAATGAGAGTCAACACAGGCAGCTGTATTCAAGGCATTTGGTAACCAGGAAAGGTGTAAATAAATATCTGTTATTATTATGACTCCAGAGGCAATTATTTCTGCTGCAAAGATGGAGATGTTTATTAATTTGGATCACAACTGGCTTTCTGAGATTTTATAATCATTGTAACTATATCACTTTTAAAAATATAGCATTTCTCACTCAGCTTATCGCTTGATGGGTCTCATTTAATGTAATTTTATATTTACAAAATTCTATTACCTATGTGATCTCATGTAATCCCCATGGCAACACTGTGAAGAGGTGCCACTACTTCTATTTGCAGAGGAACATGATGCCCCATGAGGTTTAAGGTTGTATCCAAGGTCACACAGCAGCAGAGCTAGGGACAAATGCAGGACTCCCGAACTCCAGGCCAGTGACATCTATGGCAAACCCCCAAACCTTAACTTCCTCAGACTGGAAGATTCCCGTGGGCATTTGCTGCTTTGCGTTGAGTGATCTTGGGCAAGTCACTGCGAGCTAAGGACTAGGCAAGCTGGGGTTCAAGGGATGCAGAAGTTCTTTCCAGATCTAAAATTCTGAATTTCTCTGGTGTTGTGTTTGCAGATTTTGCTTTTGCCAGTGCTTTATAGGGCCGTGCCTTCCTGCTATGCCAGAAATAAAAGGGAGGACAAGAGCTGAGTCTTGGACACATTTTCTGTTGCACCCCCTTTTCACCCAGGGTAGGCTACACACAATATGCCTCTTTTTTATTATTAATTTTAAAGGCAAGAGGCTTATTACTTATTAGCCATTCTGAGATAGTTTATTTTGAGCCATTATTGCCTATTTTACAAACACTCATTAGCAATATGTACATATATTGAGGTGTGTGACCCCGCAGATGAGAGTTTATTAGCTTCAAATGCTCACACTGCCTGTAGAAAAAAGTAACATTAATAGCTCACATTTTCCCTCCCTGTGGCTACTGCTAAACCAGCAATCTGTGTTAACCATTTGCTGACATTCTCACAGGGAGGAAGAAAAAGGACCTCTTATGCTTCTTGTGGGTATGAAAAATGGCAGAAAGTTGAAGGAAAGGTAAGCAGTTAAGGTTTTAGGGCTTTTTTCATTTTCAGATGTGCATGTTAGAAATAAATTTTCGGTGCCAAAAAAGAAATAGCACTCAAACATAAATTTAATTTTCTCAGCAAGGCAATTTTACTTCTATGGAAAGGTGTGACTCGCGGATGGAGCAATGGCAAGAGCACACCTGAACAAGGGAGGGGAAGGTGTTCTTATCCATGATGCAGGCAGCCCCTACTGCTGTGTCATTCCCCTATTGGCTAGGGTTGGACTACACTGTCTAAGCTAATTCCGATTGGCTATGTTAAAGAGAGCGGGGCACGAGTCAGAGTGGTGGGGTGAGTAATTGGGCAGGAAGGACAGTTACAGAACAGGTGACTCAGGATGACTCATGTCAGAGCAGGTGACCAGGGGTGACTCAGGATGAAGCAGGTGACCAGGGGCGACTAAGGTCAGAGCACGGGATAGAGGATAGGAGGGGGTTGTTTACTGAAACTAGGGGCAAGGAGACAAAGAGAATGAGGAAGTTAAATTTTAAAATGAAGAACAAAGAACAGGGAAGCTGAACACACTGATGCACTGGTTCTTTGGAGAGGATCTCAGAACTCGTTGTACTTAACAATTTACAGGCTAAAACCTTTGAAGAGGAATTTATTATATCCTACAGGCAGAACCCTCATGGAAATTCTTGCTGGGCACAAGAATGGGAGTAACTACACTTTGGAGTGCTGGGTCTGACTTTACACAAACTTATTTATTGCCTAAACTCGACTTTGACATGGGATGTCCAGATATGTGTTAGAAATGCAAAATGCTTGTTCCTCGATATCACAAAGATATAGCACTAGAACATAAATTTAATTTTATCAGCAAGGCAATTTTTACTTTCTGCAGAAAGGGTGCTCCTCACAGATGGAACAATGACGAGAGCACACTTGGACAGGAGAGGGGAAGGAGTTCTTATTCCTGACACAGGTAGCCCCTACTGCTGTGTCGTTCCCCTATTGGTTAGGGTTGGACTGCGTAGTCTGAGCTAATTCCAATTGGCTATTTTAAAAAGAGCAGGAGTACGAGCCAGAGTAGCGGGGTGAGTAGTTTGGCAGGAAGGACGGTTAGGAACAGGTAACTAAAGGTGACTTAGGTCAGAGCAGGTGACTGGGATGAGTCAGAACAGAGCAGGTGACCAGGGGAACAGATGTGAACTACTGATTAAAAGTGGTGGAAAAGGTTGTTAACTGAAACTAGAGGCAAGAGGGCAAGGAGAACCAGGAAGATAAACTTTAAAGTGGAGAATCAAAGAATAAGAGAGCTAAACATACTGCCATACTGATTCTTTGAAAAGAAACTTGGGGTTCACTATATTTAACACGTGGACATGAAAAGCCATCTGCTGAGAAGTGCAAACTCAGAGTCTACTAAACACCAGCAATTGTCCTGCCCAGGATCGTTCTGAGCTCTCTGGGGCTGAGTAATGCCAGTCAAGGAAATGAGAGGCTATCCAGCCACCAGACCTTCTAGAAAGACTATGGAGTGACTTACCAATCTTGAAGTGGGTCAGGGGTTTTGGGGAAAGGTCATATGTAAAGCTTGTAGCATCGAAGAGGCTGGGCTTAGAATCTCAGAGCTCTGGCAACTGGACTTGGAATCTCAGAGAGATGTTGTAGAAAGTAGAATAAGTTCCTCTTCAAAGTTCATCTTGGTTTAAAAATAAAATAATAGACACTAGGAATAATAGCTCCTTACTCTAAAGCCTCCTATCAACTGTTAGTTCTTACACTTTAGCCCAGTTAGTCGCTTTGGCTTATTCAGGCATGTCTGGACAAGCCCAGGCAAGACTTAGCTCATAGCTTATGCCCCTTCCTTACTTGGAAATGTTATTGCTTCCTTAAACTTTTCATAAGCAACTTCCTCTCCTTCTTTGTTCTCCCTTGCACTTACCTATTTAGGAAAGTTTTAGGTTATTAGTAAATCAGGTGTCAGTTTAAGACTGTGAGGTCCAGCTCCAGCCAATGGATGCAAGACATAGCAGTAAGGAGGACCAAAATGCGTAAGGGATAAATATGTCTGTTTTCCTTTGTTCAGGTGTGCTCTCACCATTGTTCCATTTGTGATGGGCACCCTTTCTGCAGAAAGTAAAAATGGCCTTGCTGAGAGAATTAAATTTATGTTCAAGTGCTATTTCTTTGCAGCACTGAAGAATAAGCATTTTGCATTTCTAACAGATGTAGGTGCAGTAGATAAAGTAATAGGCAAAAAGAGATCTTCCTGGGCTCCTGTCCTCGTTCAACTCAGCCAGTGAGTGGACTTGGTCACTTAATCTCTTTGAGCCATGGTTAGTGCATTCAGTAAGTGGGGGTGGCACAGCCAGATTGTCCAGCCCCTCCATCCTACAAATCAGGAGACTGTAGCTGACTTGCTCAAATTTATCTAGTGGAATAGTCAGAACAAGGGCTACAACTGTACCACGTTTTCTCACACACAGGCCAGGACACCTCCTAGGACCTGATATTGTTTAATTTCAGTGATTCTCCATCAGATTTTCTATACCCCTTTGGAGGCTTTTCTATTGCTTCAGAGAGTCTACTTTTAATGCATTTTGTATTTAACTAAATTGGTGTTACTGGGGACAACCATAATAAGTGTTAATATAAGAGGAGTGGTTTGGGAGCTGTGAAAGGAAAATATCTTGGGCCCCCAAAATCACTAAGGAAAACTCAAGCTGGAAACTGCTGAGGGCAAACCTGCCTCCCATTCCAGTCAAAGTCACTCCTCTGCTCACTGAATTGCATATCTGATTTGCCTCCTTTGGAGAGGCTAATCAGAAACTCAGAAGAATGTAACTGTTTGTGTATCACCTATCTGTGACCTGGAAGCTCTCTCCCTTCGAGTCTTCCTGCCTTTGCTTCAAGTTGTCCCACTTTTCCAGACCAAACCAATGTACTTCTTACATATATTGATTGATGTCTCATGTCTCCCTAAATGTATAAAACCAAACTGTGCCTTGACCAGTTAGGTGGTCGTAAGCATTTGCTGAGCACTTCTGTGAACTCAGGGAAGATACATAAATGCTTTGGAGGATACTCAGGAGTTAGGCTGTGTCTGCCAGGGGTTTTCTAAAGTGGTCATGGTTTTAAGAGCAACATCCTCAGGCCTTAAACTGACTCAGGTCCAGGTCTCATAGCCGGGTCTCATCAGATGTCAAGTTATATAACCCAGGGGTATTCAACCGCCAGGCTGTGGACCAGTAGCAGTCCATGGCCTGTTAGGAACTGGGCCACACAGCAGGAGGCGAGTATTACCACCTGAGATCTGCCTCCTGTCAGATCAGTGGGAACATTAGATTCTCAGAGAAGTGCAAACCCTCTTGTGAACTATGCATGCGAGGGATCTATGCTGCATACTCCTTATGAGAATCTAATGCCTGATAATCTGAGATGAAACAGTTTCATCCTGAAACCATCCCCCATGTCCCCACTGACCCTGTTGGTGGAAAAATTGTCTTCCATGAAACCAGTCACTGGTGCCAAGAAGGTTGGGGACTGCTGATAGAAGCCCTATAGGTCTTGTTTCCTCACCTGTAAAGTGGAGAAATGAATATCTATCTCTTCATAATTTTGTAAAAACACAAGTCCTTGGTTTACAAACAGTGCTTACAAAACAGCGGCTGTCATCAATCATAAGCAATTAATGCCATATCAGGCAGGATAGGCTGGATTACACTGTGGTTAGCAGGGCTCCACAACTCACTGTATGTGCTTTGCCATATGCATTTATAATCAGTTTGACAGCTTGTGCCAGAAAAACAGCCTGATGGAATTTTCACTTAAAGTGCCTTGTAAATAAAATACTACCTCTCTATATTTATTTCATCTTTAATTTTCCTCAGCAATATTTTGCAGTCTTCAATGGATAGAAGTTGTACATATTTTGTGAAATTTATCCTTAAGTATTTCGTGGTTTTGGTATGTTTGTAAATAATATTTTTATTTCAATTTCTACCTGTTCATTGCTAGTATAAATATGATTGATTTTGTATGTTGACATTTATCCTTGTCTTATAGCTTTTTTGCAGTTTTCTGAGATTTTGTATATGGACCATCACATTCTCTGTGAGTAAATGCACTTTTCCTTCTTCCTTTCTGATATGTATGCCATTTACTTATTTTTCTTGCCTTATTGCATTGGCTAGGACCCCTGGTACCACGCTAAGTAGAAGTGGCTAAAGGAGACATTCTTGTTTTGTTCCCAATCTTAAGGGGATAAAATTTAATATTTCACCAACAAGTAGGATGCGTGTCGTGGGTTCCAGGCACAAATCTTACCAAGTTGAATGAGCACCAGCTTGGAGGGAGCCAAGCCTGGATCAAACTGTAGCCATGCCACTCGAACGTGTGTGACTTTGAGTGAGTTGCTTCCCCTTTCTGAGTTTTGTCATCCAAAGAGAAAGATAATGCTATTAGGACCATTGAAATAATGAACAGGAAATAAACTAAAGCTCATTAGAAACTGTAGAGTGCTGTGAGGCTGTATTACCCAGTGAAATCACATCTTACATGGGTAAGGTAGTTTTTTTTTTGCTTTTTTTTTTTTTGAGACGGCGTCTCGCTCTTTCACCCAGGCCAGAGTGCAGTGGTGCGATCTCGGCTCACTGCAAGCTCTGCCTCCTGGGTTCACCCCATTCTCCTGCCTCAGCCTCCTGAGTAGCTGGGACTACAGGCACCCGCCACCACGCCTGGCTAATTTTTTGTATTTTTAGTGGAGACAGGGTTTCACCGTGTTAACCAGGATGGTCTCAATCTCCTGACCTCGTGATCCACCCTCCTCGGCCTCCCAAAGTGCTGGGATTACAGGCGTGAGCCACCACGCCCAGCCTGGGTATGGTAGATTTTAAAGTCAAGACATGAAGTGAAAACAGCATATCATCAAAACTCTGCTGATGATCCTATAAAATTATAGCTAAACAGCCTTATACATAGTTGTGAGACAATAGAGCTAGAAATTAATAATAAATGTAATAAATGGAAACAGAGCAGGGTTCTTCCCATGGAAAATTTAAGACTCTATTAAACAACTCTTGGGCGAAAGGGGAAATGCAAACCAAAATTTCAGAATTTCTAAAAAGTAATGGTAATGAAAGCACTTCATGTGAGAATGTATGGAGTGTGTTTAACATAGCTCAAACTCTTATCACTTTTAATATTTACATCAGTTTTTAAAAAGCAAAAAAAATGAAAGAATAAAACAAATGAACCACATTTTCAACTAAAAAACTAAAAAAGAATAACAAAGTAATAACAAAGGAAGACACCCAGAAAAAGAAAATAATAAATATTACATCAGAAAGAATTTGGGGTAGCTGAGGTCATGGAGGCAGCATAAACCTGAAATTCTTAACAAATCCTCCAAAAAATAAAGAATAGAGAACAAATAAAACCTTACTGAGCCCACCCCACCCACTGTAACTAGAAGACGGCAAACATCCAGACTTCAAAGTATATGTGAGTAGAAGGACAAGCACTGAGTCCTGGAGCACTCTCTCCTCTGGGCTCCTGGCCTTTGTCAACAGCAAGGCATGACAGGAAAATCTGTGTGGAAGAAAACAGCAAGCTAGCGATGAGCCTAAGCTTTATCTAAAACCACCACTAGCACTTCCACTGTTAAGTATGAAAATGCTGAAAAAATATACACTGTGTAAAACAAAATAAAAACTTAAGACCTCCTGTTCTCAGCCAAAGCCATTCATGCTGACCTTGGCAGCAGGGTTCTCTTGTAGATGAGGAAATAGTATTTTTTATTTTAGGGGGACAAAGTCTCGCTCTATCACCCAGGCTGGAGTCCAGTGGTGCAACCCTGATTCACTGCAACCTCCGCCTCCAGTGCTCTGGTGATCCTCCCATCTAAGCTTCTGGAGTAGCTGGTACTACAGGCCTGCGCCACCATGACTGGCTAATTTTTTTCTTTTTAATTTTGTGGAGACCATGCTTCACCATGTTGCTCAGGCTGGTCTCGAACTCCTAGACTCATGCCATCTGCCCACTTTGGCCTCTCAAAGTGCTGAGATTACAGGCATGAGCCACTGTGCCCAGCCAGAGATTGCTTATAGAATCCAGAAATACCAGTTCTGCAGGCGTGTATGGAACCTGGGCCATAGGACCAGCTCTGTGAGGGATGAGACCCATCCCTGACTTGCAGGGTATCCTGTGTCCTGCAGGAGAGAGACCCACACAGAAGGGCACAGAGCCTCTGACCACTCCTAATGGAAGCACAGGGGAAGGGACCCAGGGTGCAGAAGGCAGAGACAGAATCTCTTGGGAATAAACAGGAGGCTGTGGAAGAGAAGGATGAAGCAGGGAGGCGTCACATGGGGCTTTGTTGCACTCAGGTGGAGCTGGAAGGCTGCTTCTGGCCGAGCAAGCACTGTGAGCAGGGGTGTGGAGGCTGCATGAGTGCCACACAGAGCCCCCGTGGGAGAGCTCAGATGCACCGTGCGCACAGGCAATTACTGCCCCCAGCACTTACTTGTTGCACTACAGCCTTTAGTCCGTTACCTGTAGGAAAGATGAATCTTTCCCCGGATGTGTGAAGGCTTTGAATCAGGGTGAGTAAATGCCTCAAGGTCTGGGAAATTTCACTTCGTTGTCAGGGGGCCCTGTCTCCCTGAGTTTTTAGGCCCAAGGAGACTAACAGTGAGGATGGGTCAGGTGCAGTGGAGCTGTGGCCTTGGCCTTCAGAATGAGGCCACCTCTGGTGGGGAAATCAAGGCCCATGCTGAGCTGCTCTGGCATCGTCTCATCCCCAGCACCCTCTCCTTCCGCGACGCCCAGCTTTGCATCTCCCATGCTTGGCGTGCAAACTCCTCGCCCTTTCCTGGAGAGGCCCCCTGGCCCTGCCACCATCACCAAAGCCCCTCTCTTGGCTTGAGGCTTCAGATATAAATGAGCCAGGAATGATGTGGTTATGAGGTCTTTGTGAGCACTAAGAGACCAAGCCTATAAAGAAAGCATCTTGCAAAACAGCTGGTAGGTGTTAGACCCTCACCCCTCTCGCTGGTTAAATGAAAATATTCCCACTCAGAAGATCAGCAAAAGATATTCACCGAAGTTCATTAAATAAACCTTAGGGTGTAACAGCTCAGGCCTGGGATTTCCAACCTCTGTTATAAAAGATAAGGGAAAGCGCCTATATCCAAGATTAAAATTCAGATCCTTACGAGATGAGGAAATTACGGGAATGCATACACAGTTCACCTCTGAGATCTGTATCTGTGATCTGTCGATAATTATTCTCCATGACATACAGACACAGATGCAGCCACCCACAGATGCATTCAGCAGGGGCACAGATATTTTATAGAAGACAAAATGTATGTTGGGCAAAAGAAGATCACATGGAAATAGACCAGAATCCTGTTACCTTACAGGACCGTTGGAAGACTCTCCTGAGCCGTGATATCTTGGAAGAGTATCCAACGTGTTTTGTGCTCCGTGCCCGGTGCTGCCTCCTCTCCCTCTCATTTCCATAGTGTTTCCCTTAATAAACATTCGCAGTCCTATCTGTCTGGGCATCTGCTTCCTGGAGGACCAGCCCACACCCCAGGGTGTACCGGGTGTGACTCCTCATACACTGTTCAAACCCAGGCAGATACTGCCTTGCTGGCCACAGAAGCAGGGTTAGCCATTGGGTAGTGTTGACTGGGAGGGGCCCGAGGGGGCCTTCTGGGGCGGGGGAACATCCTGCATCAAGCCATGGGTGGAGGTTGTGCTCATTCATTCTAGATATAGTCACTGTGTGCCTAGTGGCTGCCAGTGGTGCCTTGTGAGCAGATAGACAGGAAGATATCCCCATGAGGTGGCCAACGTCTCATGATAGGGAATAGAATGGGGCCCAGCAGCAGCTGTGGAGCCAGCGAAGAGCCACACAGAGGCTCAGCGTTTGTCATAGCCTTTTCCCCACTGAGCCAGCTGCCCCTAGGAGCACCAACTCCAGGCAGCTCTGAGGAAAGCTGAGCTGGGAGCAGACATTTCTCAATAAGTCCTCTACCCCCCACCATCTTTCTGTAATGTTTTTATTACAGCACCTGCACACTTGTGGCCCGCACCTGTGCGGCCCTCAGGTCCATGTAGAGTGCACCAGCCAGTGCCAAAAGCCACCTGCGCTGGCTCCATGCTTCAATGCCACCAATGGCCATGAGCATAGCCACCAATTTCCACCTCTTCAATGCCACCAGCGGCCGTGAGCATAGCCACCAATTTCTCCCTCTTCAATGCCACCAACAGCCATGAGCATAGCCACCAATTTCTCCCTCTTCAATGCCACCAGCGGCCGTGAGCATAGCCACCAATTTCTCCCTCTTCAATGCCACCAGCGGCCGTGAGCATAGCCACAAATTTCTCCCTCTTCAATGTCACCAGCGGCCGTGAGCATAGCCACCAATTTCTCCCTCTTCAATGCCACCAACAGCCATGAGCATAGCCACAAATTTCTCCCTCTTCAATGCCACCAGCGGCCGTGAGCATAGCCACCAATTTCTCCCTCTTCAATGCCACCAGCGGCCGTGAGCATAGCCACAAATTTCTCCCTCTTCAATGTCACCAGCGGCCGTGAGCATAGCCACCAATTTCTCCCTCTTCAATGCCACCAGCGGCCGTGAGCATAGCCACCAATTTCTCCCTCTTCAATGCCACCAGCGGCCATGAGCATAGCCACCAATTTCCACCTCTTCAATGCCACCAGCGGCCGTGAGCATAGCCACAAATTTCTCCCTCTTCAATGCCACCAACGGCCATGAGCATAGCCACAAATTTCCACCTCTTTTTGGTACCATGAAGATGAATCTTGACAATGAGAGCTTTTTTCAGAATGGGAATTGGCAGAATGGCTACAGAGACCTCTTTCTGCACATCAGAAGACCCACACAGAGGCCCCTCTGGAAGCTGCCATCTCTTCCAAAGGATCCCGCCTTGGCCAGCCTGAGGAGCCTCCTGAGGCAGATGCACTCTCTCAACACAAAGTGTCTGCCAGCCTCCAGCCTCCACTTGAATGGAGGCAATTACCCCAATGAGTGATTTCCTCTGAGCTGGAATAACCAACTGAAGGAACAGGCCCTCGGTAAAATGTGGATGACCTGCCTGCATGATTGCTGGGGCTGGAGGCTCCAATCATAAGCGCTTCATACTCATTAGATACCTGTAGCTTCATATTTGTTATGAACAATTTTTCTTTGTCAGATCCATTTTGAAATTTTTCATCTAAGGGGTTACTGAAAACATTTAGTCCCATGAATATCAACAATATAGTAAACATATGGGAAAGTGCATCCATATGTCAACTCTGAAATAATTACAGAATTTACATATTTGAGGAAAATCTCATAGCTCTAATTAGGTAGAATTCACATGGAGGCAGGTATCTTCATGCAAACACATATAAAGAAACAAGCCGAGCACAGCTGTGGTATGAACCCCAAAAGTTGGGGTAGAGATGAAAGGGCGAGGGGGAGTGTGGTTACAGACTGTGATTTAAGGGGTTCCAGGAAGGACTTACTGAGGATTAGGAGGTTTTAGTAATTATAAGATGGAGAGCAACTGAATAGTTATACAAAGAGTAATCACAAAGATATAAATGTAATTTGTTGTAGGGTTAAGATTTGACGACCCTACTAAATGAAGTATTAGGTCTGTGCAAACGTAATTTCTGCTTTTGCCATGACTTTTAATTGCAAAACCAAAATTACTTTTGCATCAACCTAATATTAATTCCTCTACTCCAATAATTGCCATATTCTTATCATTACTCTTGTCTCCGTTAACTAGTACAGACAAATTGTGTTGCCACCCACATTAGGATATTATTTCTATCTCTACTTCATCTAACTCTCAATAACAAAATAGATCACCTGTTATGATTACTCCTGTTTTATAGATGGAAAGAGCGAGGCCCAAAGAATCTGAGTAATTTGTCAAAGGTGTCCGTTTAATTATCAAGATTTGTTTCAGGCCCCTCCTCAATTCCACCTTCCTCTCTCTTTTTAACGTCCCATCTATTTTGTCACATTCTCAGCCATAACGCCAGAACTGTCTACATCTTCAATTCCCATCACATGGATAATTTGATGTTCCCCTTTTTTTCTGTAGTTCTTCTGAGATGCCTCTTGTCACAATCAGGACTTACCCCTACATCACCACAGCTGATGATCACTTTCTTGTTCTCGGCTTATAGGGCCCTCAGAAGCTTTCAGCACAGTTGCCAGCTCTCCCCTGATGATATGGTTGGATTTGTGTCCGCATCCAAATCTCATGTTGAATTATAATCCCCGGTGTTGGAGGAGGGGCCTGGTGGGAGGTGACTGGATCATGGGGGTGGATTTCTCCCTTGCTATTCTTGTGACAGTGATGAGTTCTCACAAGATCTGGTTGTTTAAAGGCATGTGGCTCCTCCCCTTCACCCTCTCTTCCTCCTTCTCTGGCTTGTAAGACTGCCTGCTTCCCCTTCACCTTCTGCCATGATTGTAAGTTTCCTGAGGCCTCCCCAGCCATGCTTCCTGTACAGCCTATGGAACTGTGAGTCAATTAAACCTCTTTTCTTTATAAATGGCCCAGTCTCAGGCAGTTCTTTACAGCAATGTGAGAACAGACAAATAGAAGCCCTCACTCAGGCCTGCTTCTCTCTCATCAACACTTCCCTGCACTGCACCTGCCTCTCACCCAACTCTCATGCTCAAGCTGACAACCAATGTTGATCCAATGTTTAACCTCCAATCTTCTCCAGTTTCGCTTCTAAAGAAATGCAAATCCTGCTCGCATTCATGATTCATCTGTCTGGTATTCAATCCCACTTGGACCCATTAATTCCACTTCTCGATATACATCTAAAGGATTTGAAATTAGCATACCAAAGACGTCACTAGACTCCCATGTTCACTGCAGCACTGTCCACGATCGCCAAGATATGGAATCAACCTAAGTATCCATCAAGGCATGAACGAATGAAGAAAATGTGGTACATATGCACAACGGAAGACTATTCAGCTTTTAAAAAGAAGAAAATCCTGCAATTCACAACAACATGGATGAGCCTGGAGGACATGATATTAAGTGAAATAACCCAGGCACAGAAAGACAAATACCACCTAACCTCACTCATCTGTGGAAAATTTTTAAAGTTGAACTCATAGAAGCAGAGAGAAGAATAGTGGTTACCAGAGGCTGAGGTATGGAGAGTGGGGTAAGAGGTTGGGGAAATGTTGGTGAAAAGATATAAAATTTCAGTTGGACAGGAGGAATAAATTCAACGGACACATTGTACAGCATGGTGACTCTAGTTAATAACAACATACTGTATTTTCAAAAATAAAAAAGAGTGAAAGGGTATATAATATGATGATAAGAAGGACAGAAAATAAACAAATAAAAATAAATCCTACTTGTGCCATGATTTGGGCTATGCTATTCCGAGGACAGGGGGAATGCCCAAAGAAACCCTGACCTGGTTGAGACAATAAATTCTGTGTCTTGTGGAAGAGAAAAACCATCGTGAGTTGAAATAATCAGAAAGGCTCAGAGGGAAAGTGGAAACTAACCTGGGTGGTGAAGAATTAGACAGACACTGAGCAAGGTCAGTGACAATCTTGGTGAAGAAAACAGGATAAGAAAAAAGCGAATAAATAGGCCAGGCGCAGTGGCTCATGCCTGTAATCCCAGCACTTTGGGAGGCTGAGGCGGGCAGATCACGAGGCCAGGAGATCGAGACCATCCTGGCTAACATGGTGAAACCCCGTCTCTACTAAAAAATACAAAAAATTAGCCAGGCATGGTGGCGGGCGCCTGTAGTCCCAGCTACTCGGGAGGCTGAGGCAGGAGAATGGCATGAACCCGGGAGGCAGAGCTTACAGTCAGCTGAGATCGTGCCACTGCACTCCAGACTGGGCAACACAGCAAGACTCCATCTAAAAAAAAAAAAAGGAAAAAGAGAATAAATGAGATGTGTTCAAAGGCCAGAAAACAGATCATGGTGGTGGTGTGGTAGCTGCCCCAAGCTTGGCAGCTTAAAACAAAGCACATTTAGGCCAGGCGCCATGGCTCAGGCCTGTAATCCCAGCACTTTGGGAGGCCAAGGCGGGTGGATCACCTGAGGTCAGGAGTTTGAGACCAGCCTGGCCAACGTGGTGAAACCCTGTCTCTACTAAAAATACAAAAATTAGCTGGGCATGATCGTGGGCACCTGTAATCCTAGCTACTCGGGAGGCCGAGGCACAAGAATTGCTTGAACCCAGGAGGCAGGGGTTGCAGTGAGCCAAGGTCTTGCCACTGCACTCCAGCCTGGGTGACAGAGTGAGACTTTGTCTCAAAAAAAAACAAACAAGACACATTTATTATCTCACAGTTTTTGTGGATCAGGGATCTTTGTGTGGCTTAGCTGGCTTGGGTCACTCACTGGTCCTCACTCAGGTATTGGCCAGAGGCAAGGGCTCATCTGAAGGCTCAGCAGGGGAAGGGACTGCTTCTGAGGTCCCCTATAAGTGCACTGACAGAACTCCATTGCTTGCAGGCTGGTGGGTTGAGTCCTCAGTTCCTTGCTGGTTTTTGGCTAAGCCTGCTCTGTTTGCCTCTAAATGGCCCCTCCATCAGAGCAAATGCATGAGAAAAGCCAGGGAGAGAAAGTGTGCAAGAGAGAAGTCACAGTCTTCTATAACCTCATCTCTGAAGTGGCCTCCCCTCACTGTTGCTGTATTCTGGTGATTAGAAGCAAGTTACTTAAAAGGAGGGGATGGCACAAGGCCATAAACACCCAGAGGTGGGGATCACTGGGGGTCCAAATATTTGCCCCAGACCTTCCAGACTTCAGCACCAGATGCAGAAACTACAGCCTACACCAATTATTTAGCCAGTTTGCATCCTGGCCTAAGCTCAGTTCTCCGTAATCCATCCCTTTAAATATATGTGTGCATATCTTACTGAATCATCTTTGACCAAACCCTAAATGGCCCCACTTGACTGGCTTCAGCAGAGCATTAGGACACAACTCCAGATCTTTCAGAGGTTCGGATTGAAGAGCAAATTTACTGAGTTTGGCTAAACTAAGAGGGAGGATACAAGAAGGTTATTCTGCCTTCCTTGTGGAAACAGTTACAATGCCCCGTGGAGGCTGTGGAACATTTTTGGTTTTCTGGGACATGGAAGTGAAAGAGCTTTAGGAAATGTTGCTATCACATGGAGATCTACATAAGCCTTACTGTCTCTCCAGCCCTCCTGGAAAAGCTATGGTCCTGCTTTGCCTTGTCCCAGCCTTTCCACATACAAAGAAAGGCTAGAACTCATTTTGCAAGAAAGGCTAGAATCCATTTCCCCTGGGCAGACCTCAGGTAGACACAAGCTGCTGCACAGCACCCTACTGCCCCAGGTATAAATAGAGCTTAGCTTTAACTGTGGCATAGAAGGCTACTGTGAGTCACCGAGGCCTTATTCCAAATGCTTTAAATCTACCTGAATGTTGTTTTTTATTATTATTTTTTCTGAGACGGAGTCTCACTCTACTATCCAGGCTGGAGTGCGGTGGTGGAATTTTGGCTCACTGCAACCTCCACCTCCCAAGTTCAAGCAATTCTCCTGCCTCAGACTCCTGAGTGGCTGGGATTACAGGCGCCCACTACCACGCCTGGCTAATTTTTGTATTTGTAGTAGACACGGGGTTTCACATGTTGGCAAGGCTGGTCTCAAGCTCTTGACCTAAGGTGATGCACCTGCCTTGGCCTCCAAAAGTGCTGGGATTACAGGCGTGAGCCACTGCACCCGGCCGTGAATCTACCTGGATGTTTTAATGCATAGTGTGTGCAGGACAGGGAGAATATGGCTTCAGATGGATTCTGCCTGAGGAAAATGGACCTGAAGAAGCTGGCCTGCGGCAGCCACGTGTCTGGAGGGAGTGACTCAGACCCGCCATCACACGTCCTGCCTTCCTGGAGTTTTGTTCTTATCTTATTGGACAGGAAGCTGGCTGTGACTAAGTGGTGGGGTTGTCATATTCACCTTCACCTGGGCCTTATGGAGATGATCTAAGTCAGTAGGGTCACCCCACTCAGAGGAGTTCCACACACTGCACTGGGAAGTCAGTCGGGCGTGGGAGGGCGTCGCTGTTTCTGGAGGGAATTTGCCACGGCTTCTCCCTGCCGGTTCCATTCCACTCGGTCGGTTGTCCTACATGTAGGCTTATCAGGGGACAAGTCCTCTATGGGAAGGGACAAATGTGACCGTCCTGAGCAATGTCATGTCAGGTCCCCGCACGCTTAAATCCTGATGAGCCATTTTCCATGCTCTCCCTGGCCAAAAACAAAGTAAACAAAACAAACATGGGAAATGGTTTGTCTGGTCACTGATAGAGGCAAGGCACCTCTGAGTTCAGTGTCGTGCTCGAGGTGAGCCTTCCTTCCTGGCCATGTCAGAACGCATAGCGGGGAAGGTGCATGGAAAGCCGATGATGCTGGTGTGTTGCAGCCTAGATGGCCCAGCCAGGTAGCGTGAGGAAAACCACTCTCGCAGCGCAGGGGATGTTCCCAATCACAGGGCAGGTCGGCAGCCCACGGGTTTCTGCCGCTCACTGGCTGGCTCTGGGAACCACGGTATCCCTGTGCCATGCCACGGAAGGTACCATTCCATGTGCCACGTGGAAGCCGGATGCCCTTGTTAGGAATAACGCTTAAACTTCTAAGGAAATTGAATACTTGAACAAACGATTTTTAGCAAAGCGATTTTATTTTTGCACAGAGGGGTGCCTCATTGGCCAGTCACCATGAGAGCTCACCTGAACAAAGCGGCATGAAAGTCTTCATTTTTGACCAAGTCCTGCCTTTGTACTCTTTTTCTATTGGCTGGGATTGGGTTATACCATATAAAATAATCGCGGTTGGCTAAACATTTTATTTTTTTTAAGATAAGGTGGGCACGTAAAAGAAAGCAGAGAGGAAAGGGGAAGGGGTGTCTGTTAATTAGCTAGAAAGTTAGTTGTTGTTTTTTTTAATAAGGAAAGGAATGTGAGCCGGTATTGATAATGCCTGGTATCGCGGCGTGCCTGGGCATCTAACAAAGGCAGGAAGAAAAAAAAGGAGAAAAGGGAAAAAAGGAGGGAGGGGGGTACCAAGAACTAAAGGATAAAAGATTGATCAGGTTATTTGAAGAGAAACCTCATCATATCCCACACCCTCTTCAACACTCATTCACTGTTGCTTCTGTTCATTTGGTCCCAGTTCAGGTGCAAAGAGGCATAACTGATGCTGAGGCAACTAGGGTTTCTCAAATTGTAAATTTTGTAAGTGGACCCTGCAGTTCATTCCCTTCTCTAAGACTCTGACCATAAACAAACTGTCCTGGAAACTTGCGGACAAAAGTCTTTGGTTGGGTTTGGCCTAGTTGCCAGATGAATGAGTTCATGTGTGAGGTGCTAATTTGGTGGTTTTGCCTTTACAGAAAATCAGTCACTTAGGGGAAGCCCAATATTGTTCGCTTAGATTGTCCAAAATAGAAAGTCCACAGCCCAGGAAGGGGCAGGTCCTTACTGACAGGTCTCTGGGACCTGTGGTCTTCTGCTCTTTAGCTGTCAGGGTTGGAACTGCAAACTCTCTGCCTCCGTCCTGTCTCACGGATGGAGCCCATTCCAGCTGCTATTGGTTGAAGACTCCATGGGGACAGAGCACCCCAAAGCACCACCCTGAACAGCTCCAGACAGGTGACTGGAACATGTCGGCAGCCGCATGGTGGAGCAGCCCCAAAGCCAAGGGCTTGCCTGTGTTACTTCAATTAATTCTCAAAGCAACCCCATGGCATTGGCCTTACCCTCCTTCTGTAGGTATGGAAAGCAGAGATTTTATAGGTTAGGAACATTCTCGAAGTCTTGCAAGCAGTGAGAGATGGAGCTGGGATCTAATTCATGTCTGTCTGTCTGTCTGTCTCAGATCTGAGTCTGTCACTTGCACTGATGCTGGGCCAGTGGCCTGTCACTCACAGACACCGCAATGACCATGAAAGGGCAATGCCCTGTTTCTTTGTCTCTTCCGCCCATGAGCTTCCATGCTAACCACCCCCACAGTCTGTGCTGGATTTTTATGGCAACTGGAGCAAATCTGTCACAGTTTGTAATCAAACATGACTTTGTGATTTTTTGGATGATCTTTCTGCCCCATAAACTGTAAGCCACATAAAGACAGAGATGGTGTCTTCATGTGTCCAGCGATAGAGTCCTCATTCCTCACACAGTGCCTTGCACGTGGGAGGTGCTTCTACTAAATCTTTGTTGATCGAGAGCTGAGGTCTAAAGGAAATGGGTGATGCAGAGGCCTCCACCTGAACACCCTCAATGCTTCTTTTTTATAGTTAAGGGAAGCCCAGACAGAAAGCTGATAAATCCTTTACCTGAACTCACTCAGCAGGTGAGGGGCAGGCCAGGCCTGGACGGAAGGTTCCCCTGGGCTCCCCTGACCTTGGACAGCCTAAGCAGGAGAGAAATGGCCCTGGGGTGCGCAGAAGGGCTCTGAGGTAGGGAGCACCCACCTTTGCCAGGCTCTGTGGGAATGGCTTTACTTAGCACAGAAACCTGGAGTGGAGATCATGTTCCCATTTCACAAAATCAGATTTCACAAAATCAAGATTGGGAAAAGAGAAAGAGAGGGAGGAGGAGAATCAGAGAGGGACAAAGCACAAGTAGGATTTATTTTTATTTGTTGATTTCCTGTCCTTCTTATCATTGTATTATACACCCTTTCACTCTTTTTTTTTTTTTTGGAAAATACAATATGTTGTTATTAACTAGAGTCACCGTGTTGTACAATAAGTCTGTTGAATTTATTCCTCCTGTTCAACTGAAATTTTATATCTGTTGACCGACATTTCCTCAACCTCTCACCCCATGCCCTAGACCTCAGCCTCTGCTAAATACTTCTGGGAGAGCAAAAGAAAGTCCTAGGATCAGCGTCATGTCTGCAGTGCCCTCATCGCCTGATGAGCCTGGGGTTTTCCCAGGTGTGCCCCAGACGCCGCACTTACTCACCCTCTTCCCTGCAGGTGAGGCTAGGTCTTCCTTTTACATGCTTCCATCAGCGCCTCGGCTCTGCTTCCTCCAAACCCGGCCCCATCAATGGGCTCTGGACGGCCGATTTCTACCCTGCCAGGTCTGTGCAAGGATGAGACAAGATATTCCAGGTGAGGCTCTCCACATGGCCCCCAGTGCCACCTCCTTCCAGGAGTGTTGGCTCTGGTGCCTGCTTCTGCATGAGTTTCCATCTGTCACTTGCGAAAGGCGTGCTGGTGGAGAACACGGCACAGGTGAGCAGCCTGAGACCAGTTCTTATTGGGGGGAAACGTTTTCCTCTACCATCCTAGCTTCAAATGTTTGGGGTCTGCAAATGAACTGACAATAGAAAGGTGGACAGGAGAGAGCAGGTCCATCTACTTGTGCTCATGCACGCTTGTGAGGGCTCAGGAATGAGGAAAAGGCATGCATAGCAATGAACACGGTAACAGGAGGGGCTCAGGGCTTCCAGAGAAGTTTGGAAGGTCCACGTGAGGACTCAGGAATGAGGAAAAGGTGTAATACCAACGAACATGGTAACAGGAGGAGCTCAGGGCTTCCGGAGGAGTGTGGAAGGTCCATGTGAGGGCTCAAGAATGAGGAAAAGGCGTACATACCAACGAACACGGTAACAAGAGGAGCTCAGGGCTTCCGGAGGAGTGTGGAAGGTCGTTTCCTAGTCTTGATGCTAATGGGCAGCTGAACGCGCATCTCGGTGAGGGTTCAACCCTCTTCCAAGCAGGAAGTCCCCCCAGAGGGCGTCAATAGCAGCTGCCTCTGTGTTCTGGGGCAGCTGCTTATGTAGAGGCAGTGTTTCCTTTCTGCAGTTGCTGACTGTTCAGGAGTTTTCCATTTAAAGTAATTTCTGTCCCTTCATTCTCAACTTGAGTATGCACCAGCATCACCTGCAGGGCTTGGAAGACAGAGATCATCCAGCCCCGCCCCAGGTGTCTGAGTCAGCAGGTCAAGGGAAGTGCCTGTGCGTGGACAGCCACTGCTCACTGGCCGTACCCTTACATCTGCCAAACAAAGATACAGCCTGAGAAATTCATGGTGAATGTGTGTCCACATGAAAAGAAGCTCAACATCACTGATCATTAGAGAAATGCAAATCAAAACCACAATGAGATACCATCTCATGCCAGTCAGAATGGCTATGATTAAAAAGTCAAAAACCAACAGATGTGGCCAGGTGCGGTGGCTCATGCCTGCAATCCCAGCACTTTGAGAGGCCAAGGTGGGCACATCACCAGGTCAGGAGTTCAAGACCAGCCTGACCAACATGGCGAAACCCCATCTCTACTAAAAATACAAAAGTGTGCACCTGTAATCCCAGCTACTCAGGAGGCTGAGGCAGGAGAATCACTTGAACCCAGGAGGAGGAGGTTGCAGTGAGCCGAGATCGCGCCACTGCATTCCAGCCTGGGCGACAGAGGGAGACTCCATCTAAAGAAAAAAAAAAACAGATGCTGGCGACATTGTGGAGAAAAAGGAATGCTTTTACACTGTTGGTGGGCATGTAAATTACTTCAACTATTGTAGAAAGACAGTGTGACAATTCCTCAAAGACCTAAAGAAAAAAATACCATTTGACCCAGCAATCCCGTTACTAGGTGTATACCCAAAGGAATATAAATCATTCTATTATAAAGATGCACATACACTTATGTTCATTGCAGCACTACTCACAATAGCAAAGACATATCAACCTAAATGCCTATCAATGATAGACTGGATCAAGAAAATGTGGTATATATACACCATGGAATACTATGCAGCCATAAAAAGGAACAAGATCATTTCCTTTACAGGGACATGGATGGAGCTAAAGGCCGTTATCCTCAGCAAACTAACATGGGAGCAGAAAACCAAATACTGCATGTTCTCACTTGTAAGTGGGAGCTGAATGATGAGAATGCATGGACACATGAGTGGGGGGAACAGCACACACTGGGGCCTGTCAGAGGGTGAGTGGGGAGGAGGAGGAGCATCAGGAAGAATAGCTAGAAGATGCTGTTTCTCATCCTTAATGCAAACAAGACTTACATATTTGGGGGATGTCAAAGGATAAATTTAGGCACATTTAAAATTTAATGGGTTTATTTGAGCTGACAGCAATTCATGAATCTGGCAGCAACAAAGCTCAAGTGAGAGTTCCACAAGAGGGCAGGAGAGACAACGTTTACAAGGTGTTCCTGGAAGTAGCTCCACAAGAGGGCAGTAGAGACAACGTTTACAACCTTTACAAGGTGTTCCTTGAAGTGAGACAAAGAAAACATGTGATTGGTTGAAGTGGAAAGTCCCCAGCTGGAGGTTAGTTAGTGGTTTCTAATTGGTAAAGTCTCCACTTAGAGGGCGCTTGGCAGTTTCTGATTGGTCGAGCTTAAGTTCCATTTTATTGTTTGAGTTGGGTTTTAGTTTTCTTGTGTAGGAACCCAAGGCCCTGGAATGTCTCAGCCCGATGGCTAACCAACTAATTATTTGAACAATATGAAAATGTCCTCGGTCCTTAGTTTTATGTTCTTAGGCCCACCCAATTTTATTTCTTCTTCGTCAGCCTCTGTAGCCTGAGAAATAATTAATTACCCTCCCTCCCCATCCTAACCTCTTCTACCTCCGGCCTCAGAAATTCTACCTCAGGCTCAATTGAGAGAACCTGAATCAGGAAGGTTGACTACTACATTCTTTCTGCCATTATTATCCTGTCAGTCTATGCAGAGACTATAAAATTTAAGCACACAAATCTTGAACTGCTCTCATAAATAAAGCTCAACTGTGCACCATGCAAAAGAAGGTGACATATTTGTGCAGTGTGTTGAAGGGCGTCCCTCTGAAATGAGATCCCAGATTATCTGCCAGTTCCTCACCCTTGTCAGATGATTTGTTCACTAATAATTAAAAAATAAAAGCATGGAGACTAAGCTATGTTCTGAAGGGATTTACTTGGCTATATTCTTTATGTCCCAGAACAATGGGGTGATTCTGATTGGAGTTTAAAAAGAAACATCTGTTTGAGTGAGAAAAGCGCTCAGATGAGCTTAACCATAAAAAATGAGGAAACAGAAATGCCCCCGGGAGACAAGATTAAGCTGTTCTTCAGGATCTGTTTGGAGCTGTGCCCTTGGATAGGTCATTTAGTTTATCAGTGCCTCAGGTTAGTGTCTCAAGAAATTTACCTCTCAGAATTGTTATAAAGCTAAATAATTTAGCATCTGTAAAATCCTATGAGATGAAAGGCACCGTAGAAATGCAAATTATTATTTTGTTATGAGACACCATCAATAGGACAGAAAGTAAAATGCTCTCTTTGATCGAAGTCCAGTTCAATTGACTGATGGCCTTGTGTGTCCATCTCAGAAATGGACGACATTTAACTGCAACAGATAATAGCCTGCTGTCCTACACTGTTTCACCTGTTCTCCTGAAGAATTATCTTTGGTGGTTATTTTTTCAGGGGTTACCCCTGTCATTTCATCCTGACATTCCTCAGCAAATTGAATAAAATAGTTGCCATAAATCCCCAATGAGAAGCAATGCATCTTCATTACAATAATTATGTTTTATGTGGAGGCTTTTTATAAAGAGGTGTCAAAGTTTTAATTTAAGTTCAAAGGATGGTAAATTGCTAGTGGTAATAACGTTAGCTAAAGCCCAGTCGTTAAATGGAGAAATTTGTTTTTTAAACGAGAAGAATGTTTCCAGTAGGCTCCTTGTCTGGTAAAACAAAAAGCGTGGTCTTACTGTTTCACCTCCAAGATCAGAACCAGGAAATGCAATCCCTCCAGCTAGGAGACTGGCAGCCATCTCTCTCTGATGTAGGGAGCAAGTTGGTTCCGTAGCAAAATGTCTGGCTTCTTTCTGGTTTCTTCAATGGAGCACCTGGGGAGTTGCGGGGTGGGGGGTAGGGGTGTTAGAGGGAACCTGGCTTCTCATCCAGCCTCTGTCACTACAGCCTCCCATCTGGCCAAGGTCCACAGCCTGCAGTCAGCCAGTTACCCAAATGCAGGGAAAACCTAAGTGCTCTGTCATTTTAGGAACAGGGGGAAATAGGAAGGAACTGGGCAACCTTTGAGGTTCATAATTCTCACATCTGTTGTGAATCACCCCATTTTCTTTAACCCAAATCTGGAAGATGGAGTGACAAAGAATCTTGGTGATATTTCCTGTACAAGGTAGTCTAGGAAAGAAACAATTTTTTAAATTGGATGTCTGGATTATTTTTATTTATTTGGACAAGAAGCAAAATGTTTAGATTTAGGACTATTTGGAGGGGGAAATAGTCCCATATGTAAAACAATCTTAGAGAGGAAAAAAGATGAAGGTAACTGACAAACCATCTGAATAATACAAATGCTATGGCATTGTACACAAAGGTGCTATTTTAAAATAAAATGACATTTATTCTGGATTTTGTAATCAATATATGAACATATATTTAAATTTAACTTTATATACATAAGATCACAGCCAAGGAGATTAAGCATAATTTCAAATTTTATCACCAGTCACTTGTGTTATTTTATCACATTTGAAAATATTCGCTCTTATTTACTTTAAACAGTGATCTATAAATTTGTTTAGACAGTAATCATTAAGGATCTTTTCTTCTTCAGGATAATTTTTAAAATTAAATGATGTATCGAACATACTACCGAAGAAACTTTCCTTTTTGATTATGGCCTCTACATTGAAGATCTGTAGGAATTTTTTCTAATTAATTTTCAAATCTTCTCCTGACCTTTGCTGTTCAAAGAAATATCTTTGAAATAATTTTTGTGAATACTTCATAAATCAAAATTTTATTCACAAAACCATATTGCCATAATCACTAATTTTAACAATCCCCTAAATATTTTCTATATCCATTTTCTTGATGATAAAATGTCAGTAATATGGACACACTCTTATTTAACAGAATAATTCCATCAGTTTGCCACCAACCTTCCAAGGTCATTTAATAATTATGCTAGCCATTTCCACAGATTGGTAAGAGGCTCTCCACTAATGGCTCCCAGGCTTTCCACGGCCTCATTTTTCTTGCCAGACTTAGTTCATGTTCAGCCTGAAGAATCACCTCTTCTATTTGACCACCTTGAAGTTGGTCTTCTAATTTTTTAACATCTGTTTCCACTTTAACCACAGCCGGCTTCTCATTTGTAATTTGTTCTATGTACTTTCTATATGCTGCATTTTTAGGGATTTGCTCAAGAACATCAAGAATCTCTGTGTACAATATTCTTAGCCTCTCATGTGGACTCTGAATATAGCCAGTCCCACAAGGGCAGTGGTCTTCTTCAGCACACCTTCAAAGTCACTATTTTAAATACCCACTTAGGCCAGGTGCAGTGACTCACATCTGTAATCCCAGCACTTTAGGAGGACAAGGCAGGTGGATCACTTGACATCAGGAGTTTGAGACCAGCCTGGCCAACCCTGTCTCTACTAAAAATACAAAAATTAGCTGGGCGTGGTGGTGGGCGCCTGTAGTCCCAGCTACTCGGGAGGCTGAGGCAAGAGAGTCGCTTGAACCCGGGAGATGGAGGTTGCAGTGAGCCGAGATCATGCCACTGCACTCCAGCCTGGGTGACAGAGTGAGTCTCTGTTTCAAAAAATAAAAAAATTAAAAATTAAATACCTTCTTATTTCTAGTCTCGGGAGTCAGCATGCTTGAAGGAAAGCCATCTCTGGCTTCTGATCTGTGCTCTGCCACTCACCAGGATAGGAGGCCGGCGAGGGACAGGAGCTCTCTACGCCTTGGTTTCCTCATTGCATTGTTGAAAGAAAAACTTTAGACAAATTAAGTTTAACAGAGTTTATCTGAGCAAAGAATGGGTCACAAATTAGGGAGCTCCCTCGAACCAGAATAGGTTCTGAGCAATTCTGGGGCTGTCTTGGGTTTGCAGAGAAAAGTGACATAAGGGGAATGGAAGTAAGGCACAGAAACAGCAGGATTGGTTCCAGCTCGATGTTTGCCTTTTTTTTTTTTTTTTTTGACAGGATCTCACCCTGTTGCCCAGGCTGGAGTGCAATGGCGCAGTCTCGGCTCACTGCAGCTTCTGGCCCCCAAGTTCAAGAGATCCTCCCACCTCAGCCTCCCGAGTAACTGAGATCACAGGCGCCCGCCACCACGCCCGGCTAATTTTTGTGTTTTTAGTAGAGACAAGGTTTCACCATGTTGGCCAGGCTGGTCTCAAACTCCCGACCTCAAGTGATCTGCCCACCTCAGCCTCCCAAAGTGCTGGGATTACAGGAGTCACCACCAGGCCCAGCCACGTTTGCCTTTTATGAACAACTTGAACAGTGGCCACTGTGAGTGGTTGAGAGATGGCTCCTGGAATTGGGTGAGACTTGGCTATTTGTTACAAGAGCAGGTGACAGCTTGTGGACGTGCCCAGGTAGGTTACACTTCACTATGTATGGAGAAACCTTTAGGCTGAATTTAAAATGTGTAAGGAGGCAGCTTTAGGCTAAAGGTAACAGCCTTATCCCTGTAGTCACATATGTAAGTTACATGCACAGAAGGGTATCTGGCACCAAATAATATTCAATAAATGCTACTTCCTGCTCCCATTTCTTTCAGCACATAGAGAAGGAAAAACCTAAAGACATGGGTGGATAAGGTATGAATTATTTTAATGAGGGAGATTTTGAAATTGAATGCCTTATAACTTATCACACGTCACATCAGTCTGAAGCAACAGAGTGAATTTGTTTTAGGCATTTCTGAAGGTGGAGGTTTATGATCCTCTAGAGGAAAAGTTATAAAAGTAATTGCCAGATATAGTTCTTCATTAGGAAAGTTGGTTTTTGAACTAACGCTATTTGTAATCAGGTAGCAAAAGAGAGAAAGTGCCAGGAAATTCAATTCTAGTCTTTGCTTATTTTGTATAATATTTAAAATATCTTGCATCTCAATACGTTATACTTACAGTACAAAAATATACTTTAAAAACACCTTATATTTGCATAGTTTTTACATATCCTAAGTACTTCGGTGCATATTATCTTATTTTACCCTAACAACCACCTTGTGATCTAAAGAAAGAGGAGTTTTCTTCTTCCCATGTTTGGGGTAAAGAAACTTAGACTCAGGGAGGTAAATGAGTGTTTAAGAATCAACCAAAAAGTGGAGGCAGATTGATCCTTAGACGGATCAGTGTGCCCAGGGCTAGGAAGTCTGTGACTGGAAGAGCCAGAATTCTTATCTAGCTCTTTCAGACTCCGCTTCCCTCCTGAGCAACACTCTCCTTATTATCAGCCAGAATACAGGGCCTCACATTGTGAGACTGGTACAGCGCCCGCTGCGTGAAAATCAAAGCTGCTGTGGCCACTTCACCAACCAGAGGTTACCACCCTGTGATCAGCCTACTTCCGGGCACCAAGTACTGGTTCCAAAGATGGTGAGAAATAATAAACGCTTGTTGTGTGAGCAGGCTGGTAGTGTGGCTTTAGCTCGGTTTGCAAAAGGGACATGCGTTATGGGAGACCTGGTCACATGGGAGGTCTGTCACTGTGTCCTCCGGGATTTCACTGCACTGGAGAATCACAGGGTTTGAGCTAGAGCCCTCCTGACATCCAAGCATGGAGGCGTTTCACTGCAGTCAGCAGAAAGCCCTGGCACCTGTTCTTTCAGAGAACACCTGCTCTGATCCACGCAGCCCCGCACCTGTGCATGGAGCCTTGGCAAGACATACAGAGGTCTCAGGGAAAGAATGGATTTCCCTTGGTGACTCCCATGGAGGAGGCATCTGATGCGCATGGGCTGTCGTCAGGATGTGCCTCGCCTCAGGGAGGCTGGCAGGAGTGCAGCAGGGAATGGCAATCTCTGTTCTGAGCACCCTGGCCTTCCTGAGGACCAGCCGGCTGCCCCCACAGGCTGGTCTGTGAGCGGACGACATTCCACAGGCTCTCCACACTGGTGGAAAAAGAAGCCCTCAGAGCCTGGAGTGCACCCCACTGGCTGGGGTGTCTCCAAGTACACAGGCCTTCTTTCCAGAGCCACTGTAAGCCGGGCACTGCTGTTCTACATAGAAGAAGAAAGGTTACCGTTTTCAGAAAGAAATACCATGAACGGCCGAAATATTTAAAAAGTATGCTTTTTCATCTCCTTTAAGATGAACTGTGGTTGCTTTTACTATTTCCCACTGAGGAGTGATCAACTGCTTATCTATCGAATGCTTCAAAGGTGCTTCTCATCTTGACCTGATTTCCCCACGGGTGTGCTTTTGTTGCTTGTGTAAATCCACACCTGCACCTGCACCAGCACCAGCGATTCTGAGACTCCTGCAAGGAATCAGGAAAAGTCCGTGGTTCTCGGCCTAGGGGCGGGTGAATGTTCAGGGAGATGGCAGACCCCACAGAGCGTGGTCCACTGAGCAGCTCTTGGGGAGGATGAAAATAGGGAACAAACAAACAAAAGCAGTCTGGCGTCGTGCACCTGCACCTGCCCGTGAGAGCTCTGAGCAAGGGAGGTCCCCATCTCACCCCCCAGTTTAGTCACTGGCCCAGCCCCTCTCAGGACCAGGTGGATTATTGCAGATGACAGTGGGCTGCTGTAAACTCCACCAAATGATAGTTCCAATCGCACCTGTCTAGTATGGCAGCTTTACTGGAAGAGTTTCTGGCATTTGTACATAAGACAAAAAAAAATGTAGGTTGTCACCTTCAGCCCAAAGACAGCGTCAAGAGAAGCATCCTGCGTGTTGGCTACACTTCCTGCAGAACACCCCGTCATCAGCTCTGTGGCTGGAGGCAGGGATGCACTTGGACTCCTGGATCACAGTGAAGACTCAGCCGTCTGGTCCGGGTCCAGGAGTTGAATCTTCCCAGTGTTGCATCTTCCCAGGTTGAGGCCTGTCCAGGAGGGCATTCATTCTCTGGCTGGAATCAGGTGGCCATCCTTACCTGAGGACTCACAGTGTGTCTGACTTACCCACATGGCCTAGAACAACTTTATGGAGATGGAGGTACAACAAGGGGCCCACATCAGTCATCTGCCAGCCCCGCTCTCTGGGTAGCACAGAAGCGGTCAGCTGGATGCATGTCGGAACCTCAGGAGGAGAGGAGGGAGGTGGGTGAGTTCTATTTATTATGTGATGCCTCAGACCGACATCTGCAGCAGCGATCTTACTTTGTCCTTCTCACTCTCCTGCTGTCTCCTGTTGGGTGGGTGATTACGAGAGGCCACCTCCTTGAAGGGTCGGTAATGCAGCAGAGCAGACCAACATGGGTGTGCATTGACTTGAGCAGCTCTGCAGGCTCCACAGGCTGTGGCTGCAGACAGCGCCTCCTCCCTGCAGGTGGAGACCCCTCCCATTGCAGATCCCCTGTGGAATGTGACTGCATCTATTTTTTTAATTTATAAAATATTTTAAAACTTTTTTAAAAATAAATGCACAGGCCGGGCGCGGTGGCTCACGCCTGTAATCCCAGCACTTTGGGAGGCCGAGGCGGGCGGATCACGAGATCAGGAGATCGAGACCACGGTGAAACCCCGTCTCTACTAAAAATACAAAAAATTAGCCGGGCGCAGTGGCGGGCGCCTGTAGTCCCAGCTACTCGGGAGGCTGAGGCAGGAGAATGGCGTGAACCCGGAAGGCGGAGCTTGCAGTGAGCGGAGATCGCGCCACAGCACTCCCGCCTGGGCGACAGAATGAGACTCCGTCTCAAAAAAAAAAATAAAAAAAAAAAAATGCACAGAAGGATCAGTTGAAGGCAGAGTGGTAGCCCCTGGTGGCTGGCCAGCACATGGACCAAGCCTACCATGACCTCAGATGTCCTGTGCTCACTGGCAAAGGGGAGCAGGGGGCAGGTGTCCCAATCAGTCCTGGAGCACACAGCAGCCCGTGTGGGAGGGGGTGCCTCACTTTCCGCCTCGGCCCCCTCAAAACTCCCCAGGACCCACACACAGACACTGCAGCGGCGACTGTAGGAGGGGGCACTGGGAACAGGAACGACACTGCCACTCAGCCTCAGGCACCTGAGGGACACCCTGGAGCCTCCAGGGGCACCGTGAAGGTCCAGGCAAAGCCCACCTTAGCGCGACTGGGGAAGGGCAATGAGATGGCCCCACTGCGGGGGAGAGGGGGTGCCCACAAGGCAACAACCATAGGAGATGAGCAAGGGGTGCCTGCTGCGAGCAAAAGAGGAGCCCCCAACCCCCCTGAGGTCACGAGGCAGAGGGCAGGGCAGCCAGGTTAGATTCCGCACCCCTGCCTCCCACCACCACCCACAGGCAGGAAGGAGAGGGAGAGAGGGAGGGGCCCACAGCACAGCCAGGACAAGAAGAATGTCCATCCCTCATGTGTCCCTGCTCAGGCCACCAGGGAAAACGTGATGTCACCACGTCAATGACTGCATCTAAAGGGTAATTAAGGGTAGAGGAGGCCATCAGGGTGGGCCCTAATCTAATCTGCCTGAAGTTCTTCTTAAGAAGAATTAGGGGACCTGGGCAAGATGGCCAAATAGGAACAGCTCTGGTCTGCAGCTCCCAGTGAGATCTATGCAGATGGTGTGTCATTTCTGCATTTCCAATTTAGGTACCCGGCTCCTCGCACTGGGACTAGTTAGACAGTGGGTGCAGCCCACAGAGGGTATGCCAAAGCAGGGTGGGGCGTTGCCTCACCCAGGAAGTGCAAGGGGATTGGGGAACTCCCTCCCTTAGCCAAGGGAAGCCATGAGGGACTGTGTTGTGAGGAATGGTGCATTCTGGCCCAGATACTACACTTTCCCCACAGTCTTCACAACCCACAGGCCAGGAGATTCCTTCGCATGCCTACACCACCAGGGCCCTGGGTTTCAAGCACAAAACTGGGCGGCCGTTTGGGCAGACACTGAGCTAGCTGCTTTGGGCAGACACTGAGCTAGCTGCAGGAGTTTTTTTTTTTTCATACCCCAGTGGTGCCTGGAACACCAGCAAGACAGAACCATTCACTCCCCTGGAAAGGGGGCTGAAGCCAGGGACCCAAGTGGTCTAGCTCAGTGGATCCCACCACCATGGAGCCCAGCGAGCTAAGATCCACTGGCTTGAAATTCTCACAGCCAGCACAGCAGTCTGAAGTCTGAAGTCGACCTGGGATGCTCAAGTTTGGTTGGGGGAGGGGCACCCACCATTACTGAGGCTTGAGTAGGTAGTTTTCCCCTCACAGTGTAAACAAAGCCCAGGGGAATTTCAAACTGGGTGGAGCCCACTGCAGCTCAGCAAAGCCTCTGTAGCCAGACTGTCTCTCTAGATTCCTCCTCTCTGGGCAGGGCATTTCTGAAAAAAAAGGCAGCAGCCCTAGTCAGGGGCTTATAGATAAAACTCCCATCTCCTTGGGACAGAGCACCTGGGGGAAGGGGCAGCTGTGGGCACAGCCTCAGCAGACTTAAATGTTCCTGCCTGCCGGCTCTGAAGAGAGCAGCGGATCTCCCAGCACAGTGCTCGAGCTCTGCTAACAGACAGACTGCCTCCTCCAGTGGGTCCCTGACCCCTGTGCCTCCTGACTGGAAGACACCTTCCAGCAGGTGTCAACAGACACCTCATAAAGGAGAGCTCCAGCTGGCGTCTGGTGGGTTCCCCTCTGGGATGAAGCTTCCAGAGGAAGGAGCAGGCAGCAATCTTTGCTGTTCTGCAGCCTCCACTGGTGATACCCAGGCAAACAGAGTCTGGAGTGGACCCCCAGCAAACTCCAGCAGACTTGCAGCAGAGGGGCCTGACTGTTAGAAGGAAAACTAACAAACAGAAAGGAATAGCATCAACACCAGCAAAAACGATGTGCACACAAAAACCCCATCCAAATGTTACCAACATTAAAGACCAAAGGTAGATAAATCCATGAAGATGAGAAAAAAACCAGTGCGAAAATGCTGAAAAGTCCAAAAACCAGAATGCTTCTTCTCCAAAGGATCACAACTCCTCACCAGCAAGGGAACAAAACTGGACAGAGAATGAGTTTGACGAATTGACAGAAGTAGGCTTCAGAAGATGGGTAATAACAAATTCCTCCAAGCTAAAGGAGCATGTTTTAATCCAATGCAAGGAAGCTAAGAACCTTGATAAAAGGTTAGAAGAATTGCTAACTAGAATAACCAGTGTAGAGAAGAACATAAATGACCTGATGGAGCTGAAAAACACAGCATGAGAACTTTGTGAAGCATACACAAGTATCAATAGCTGAATAGATCAAGCAGAAGAAAGGATATCAGAGATTGAAGATCAACTTAATGAAATAAAGCATGAAGACAGGATTAGAGAAAAAAGAATGAAAAGGAATGAACAAAGCTCCAAGAAATATGGGACTATGTGAAAAGACCAAACCTATGTTTGACTAGTGTACCTGAAACTGATGGGAAGAATGGAACCAAGTTGGAAAACACACTTCAGGATATTATCCAGGAGAACTTCCCCACCCTAGCAAGATAGGCCAACATTCAAATTCAGGAAATACAGAGAACACCACAGATACTCCTTGAGAAGAACAACTCCAAGACACATAATTGTCAGATTCACCAAGCTTGAAATAAAGGAAAAATGTTAAGAGCAGCCAGAGAGAAAGGCTGGGTTACCCACAAAGGGAAGCCCATCAGACTAACAGCAGATCTCTCGGCAGAAACCCTACAAGCCAGAAGAGAGTGGGGGCCAATATTCAACATTCTTAAAGAAAACAATTTTCAACCCAGAATTTCATATCCAGCCAAACTAAGCTTCATAAGCGAAGGAGAAATAAAATCCTTTACAGACAAGCAAATGCTGAGAGATTTTGTCACCACCAGGCCTGCCTTACAAGAGCTCCTGAAGGAAGCACTAAATATGGAAAGAAAAAACTAGTACCAGCCACTGCAAAAACATACCAAATTGTAAAGACCATCAACACTATGAAGAAACTGCATCAACTAACGGGCAAAATAACCAGCTAGCATCATCACGATAGGAAGAAATTCACACAAAATAATATTAACCTTAAATGTAAATGGTCTCAATGCCCCAGTTGAAAGACACAGCCTGGCAAATTGGACAGAGTCAAGACCCATCAGTGTGCTGTATTCAGGAGACTGATCTCATATGCAAAGACACACGTAGGCTCAAAATAAAGGAATGAAGGAATATTTACCAAGCAAATAGAAAGCAAAAAAAAGCAGGGGTTGCAATCCTAGTCTCTGATAAAACAGACTTTAAACCAACAAAGATCAAAAAAGACAAAGAAGGGCATTACATAATGGTAAATGGATCAATGCAACAAGAAGAGCTAACTATACTAAATATATATGCACCCAATACAGGAGCACCCAGATTCATAAAGCAAGTTCTTAGAGACCTACAAAGAGACTTGGACTCCTACACAATAGTAGTGGGAGATTTTAACACTCCACTGTCAATATTAGACAGTTCAACAAGACAGAAAATTAACAAGGATATTCAGGACTTGAACTCAGCTCTGGACCAAGCAGACCTAATGGACATCTACAGAACTCTCCACCCCAAATCAACAGAGTATACATTCTTCTCAGAACCACATTGCACTTATTCTAAAATTGACCACATAATTGGAAGTAAAACACTCCTCAGCACATGCAAAAGAACGGAAATCATAACAGTCTTTCAGACCACAGTGCAATGAAATTAGAACTTGGGATTAAGAAACTCACTCAAAACCACACAATTACATGGAAACTGAACAACCTGCTCCCGAATGACTACTGGGTAAATAACGAAATTAAGGCAGAAATAAATAAGTTATTTGAAACCAATGAGAACAAAGACACAACATACCAGAATCTCTGGGACACAGCTAAAGCAGTTCTTAGAGGGAAATTTATAGCACTAAATGCCCACAGCAGAAAGGGGGAAAGATCTAAAATCGACATCCTAACATCACAATTAAAAGAACTAGAGAAGCAAGAGCAAACAAATTCAAAAGCTAGCAGAAGACAAGAAATAACTAAGATCAGAGAAGAACTGAAGGAGATAGAGACACGAAAAACCTTTCAAAAAATCAATGAATCCAGGAGCCAGTTTTTTGAAAAGATTAACAAAATAGACTGCTAGCCAGACTAATAAAGAGGAAAAGAGAGAAGAATCAAATAGACACAATAAAAAATGATAAAGAGGATATCACCACTGATCCCACAGAAATACAAACTACCATCAGAGAATACTATAAAAACCTCTATGCAGATAAACTAGAAAATCTAGAAGAAATGGATGAATTCCTGGACACAAACACCCTCCCAAGACTAAACCAGGAAGAAGTCGAATCCCTGAATAGACCAATAACAAGTTCTGAAATTGAGGCAGTAATTAATAGCCTACCAACCAACAAAAGCCCAGGACCAGATGGATTCACAGCCAAATTCTACCAGAGGCACAAAGAGGAGCTGGTACCATTCCCTCTGAAACCATTCCAAACAATAGAAAAAGAGGAACTTGTCCCTAACTCATTTTATGAGGCCAGCATCATCCTGGTAACAAAGCCTGGCAGAGACACAACAAAAAAAGAGAAAATTTTAGGCCAATATCCCTGATGAACATCGATGCAAAAATCCTCAATAAAATACTGGTAAACCAAATCCAGCAGCACATCAAAAAGTTCATCCACCACGATCAAGTCGGCTTCATCCCTGGGATGCAAGGCTGGTTCAACATATGCAAATCAATAAACATAATCCATCACATAAACAGAACCAATGGAAAAAAATGCATAATTATTTCAATAGATGCAGAAAAGGCCTTTGATAAAATTCAACACCCCTTCATGCTAAAAATTCTCAATAAACTAGGTATTGATGGAATATCTCAAAATAATGAGAGCTATTTATGACAAACCCACAGCCAATATCACACTGAATGGGAAAAAGCTGGAAGCATTCCCTTTGAAAACTGGCACAAGACAAGGATGCCCTCTCTCACCACTCCTATTCAACATAGTATTGGAAGTTCTGGCCAGGGCAATCAGGCAAGAGAAAGAAATAAAGCGTATTCAAATAGAAAGAGAGGAAGTCAAATTGTCTCTGTTTGCAGATAACATGGTTGTATATTTAGAAAACCCCATCATCTCAGCCCAAAATCTCCTTAAGCTGATAAGCAACTTCAGCAAAATCACAGGATACAAAATCAATGTGCAAAAATCACAAGCATTCCTATACACCAATAATAGAAAAACAGAGAGCCAAATCATCAGTGAACTCCCATTCACAATTGCTATGAAGAGAATAAAATACCTAGGAATACAACTTATAAGGGATGTGAAGGACCTCTTCAAGAACTACAAACCACTGTTCAAGGAAATAAGAGAGGACACAAACAAATGGAAGAACATTCCATGCTCATGGATAGGAAGAATCAATATCTTGAAAATGGCCATACTACACAAAGTAATTTATAGATTCACTGCTATCCCCATACCATTGACTTCCTTCACAGAATTAGAAAAAACTAATTAAATCTCATATCTAATTAATCCCATAATTAATGGGATTGACCCAGCAATCCCATTAAATTTAATATGGAATCAAAAAAGAGCCCGTATAGCCAAGACAATCCTAAGCAAAAAGAACAAAGCTGGAGGCATCACGCAACCTGACTTCAAACTATACTACAAGGCTACAGTAACCAAAACAGCATGGTACTGGAACCAAAATTGATATATAGACCAATGGAACAGAACAGAGGCCTCAGAAATAACACCACACATCTACAACCATCTGATCTTTGACAAACCTGACAAAAACAAGCAATGGGGAAAGGATTTCCTATTTAATAAATGGTGTTGGGAAAACTGGCTAGCCATATGCAGAAAACTGAAACTGGATCCCTTCCTTACACCTTATACCAAAATTAACTCAAGATGGATTAAAGACTTAAATGTAAGACCTAAAACCATAAAAACCGTAGAAGAAAACCTAGGCAATACCATTCAGGACATAGGCACGGGCAAAGGCTTCATGACTAAAACACCAAAACACCAAAAGCAATGGCAACAAAAGCCAAAATTGAGAAATGTCATCTAATTAAACTAAAGAGCTTCTGCACAGCAAAAGAAACTACCATCAGAGTAAGCAGGCAACCTACAGAATGGGAGAAAGTTTTTGTAATCTCTCCATCTGACAAAGGGCTAATATCCAGAATCTACAAGGAATTTAAACAAATTTACAAGAAAAAAACAACCCCATCGAAAAGTGTTTGAAGGATATGAGCAGAAATTTCTCAAAAGAAGACATTTATGGCCAGGAGCAGTGGCTCACGCCTATAATCCCAGCACTTTGGGAGGCCGAGGCCAAGGTGGGCAGATCATGAGGTCAGGAGATCAAGACCATCCTGGCTAACATGGTGAAACCCCATCTCTAGTATTAATATAAAAAATTAGCTGGATGTGGTGGCACATGCCTGTAGTCCCAGCTACTCGGGAGGCTGAGGCAGGAGAATCTCTTGAACCCAGGAGGTGGAGGTTGAATTGAGCTCAGATCCCACCACTGCACTCCAGCCTGGGCGACAGAGCAGGACTCTGTCTAAATAAAAAAAATAAAAAAAAAAAAGAAAAGAACACATTTATGCAGCCAACAAACATGAAAAAAAAGCTCATCATCACAGGTCATTAGAGCAGTGCAAATCAAAGCCACAATGAGGTACCATCTCACGCCAGTTAGAATGGCGATCATTAAAAAGTCAGGAAACGACAGATGCTGGAGAGGATGTGGAGATAGAGGAATGCTTTTACACTGTTGGTAGGAGTGCAAATTAGTTTAACCATTGTGGAAGACAGTGTGCTTATTCCTCAAGGATCTAGAATCAGAAACACCATTTGATCCAGCAATCCCATTACTGGGTATATACCCAAAGAATTATAAATCACTGTACTATAAAGACACATACACACATATGTTTATTGTAGCACTATTCACAATAGCAAAGACTTGGGACCAACCAAAATACCCATCAATGATAGACTGGATAAAGAAAATGTGGCACATCTACACCATGGAATACTATGCAGCCATAAAAAAGGATGAGTTCATGTCCTTTGCAGGGACATGGATGAAGCTGGAAACCATCACTCTCAGCAAACTAACACAGGAACAGAAGACTAAACACATGTTCTCACTCATAAGTGGGAGTCGAACAATGAGAACACATGGACACAGGGAGGGAAACATCACATGCTGGGCCCTGTCAGGGGGTGGGGGGCTAGGGGAGGGATAGCATTAGGAGAAATACCTAATGTAGATGATGGGTTGATGGGTGCAGCAAACTACCATGGCGCATGTATACCCATGTAACAAACTTGCACATTCTCCACATGTAGCCCAGAACTTAAAGTATAATAATAATAATTTTAAAAAGAGGAAATTAGGGCAGAGACAGGCACAGAGGGCCCCCTGATAGTGTCCTCTACCTTGAATCGCCTCTTCAGATGCAGTCATGTTCTGAGGGCCTGAGGGTCGAGGCTGCAATGGCAGAATTTGGAGGGGACCGTCAGCCCCTCTCACAGCCCTCCTCCTTTTCTGACTTTTACAATAGCTTTCTGTGCTTATCTGCTTGTACACTTTGGGGTTTGGGGTGAAATCATGTTTGGGAAAAGCTTTGCTTCATCACAAAGGTCTGGAAACCCTGAGATGGACTGAGGCTCTGCCTCTCCATCAGCTTGGGCTTGGAGCTTCCCTTTGCAGACCCCATGTGGACAGGAGCTGGTGGCTCCAGGACCCAGTGGCTCCAGGACCCAGTCTACAGCCACGGTCTATGGAGGCGGCTCTTCAGTGGGGCTGAGGCCCCCAGGGTGTGTCCCTCCGTGAAGTGTCCAGGCATCAGCAACCCCCTGCCCTCCCAGCCAGCCAGAGCAAAAAGCTTCTTGGTTTCCCCTTAAGCCAGAGAAGAAGGCTGTTTCCACTCAGCAGTACTGTGGCTCTTCATGGCTCTTCCAAAACCATGTCCTGTCTCCTGAAGCCCAAGTCAGGAAGAGCAGGGGTTTAAGAAGGCCTGACTCACTCTGCAACCAAGCTTGTCCTGCAGTTTGCTGGGTGCTGGAGGCCTACGTGGGCTCTGCTTCTGGGATGTCCTCCCAAGCCACAGTGGGAACAGGACCTGGCTGTGGGAGCTGGGATCCATGGAGGACACGTCCTGCCTGTCTAGAAGCTGAATCTCATGTTGTGATGTCCTATTCTGGCCCACAGAAAAACAGGCTGACTCAAATAAGGATATTGAAACAGTCTCCCAAATCTTCCCACTTCAATAGCTTAAGTTGGGCTGGTTGGGGCTGAATTGGCCAGTGGTTTAGGCAGAGCACATAACAGAACTTTCATGACTGTTATCTCATTTTACTGAGTGACCATAAGAAAGGGGAGATGAAACATGTACGAATCTCTTGTAACGTTTGTAATTTACCCCTCTCCTGAAGGACACGGCTCCTTTTCTCAGAAACGTATTATATTATCCTACAGAGCAGAGGAAGACATTTTCTCAGCAACAAAGAGAACTGGGGCAGGAGTGAATCTGAAGAAGACGGGAAAAGCAGTATCAGGATTCAGTTCTTAAGACTTCAGGAATAACTGCAGAGTTAAACTGAACACGACTACCCGGGGCTGTTTGATGCACTTTGCCTTGGACTCTGGGGCAACTTCCCTCCTGCTCCCTCTGTCTTCACATGACTAATGGAGAAGGGAAGGAGGTGGAGAGGCTGCAGGGCACAGTGGGGAAAAAGCTTCCTGCTATCACGAAGCACAGACGATAACAACAGCTAACTCCACGGGACAGCCACCTTGGCATTTTCAGACATGGTAGCGTTCTCCCCCAGGGCCCTGTGGCAGATGGGTGGCTAATTCCTCAGGACATACACACTGAAGAAACACAGAATCTGCCTCAAAGCCCGGACTCCCAGCTCTTCAGGAGTAAGATCTCTACCCTCCTCGCTGTGCAGTTTCCACAAAACCATCGGCAGTGAGGAGACTTCAAAATCACCCTTGTAGAAAGAAATTAATTAATTTAAGATAAATTAAAATAAAAAAACAAAATCACCCTCATGTCAATTCCAGCACTATAGCAGGAAGCTCTCAGAGTCTTATTGAGAAATTTCTTTCTAACTTGTAAGAAACATCCTTATCCATCCAAACCCAAAGAATGGACTCAGGGACACAGAGAACAGAAGAAGCGAGACTTTAATGGCAGTCTTGCAAGATTGGGTGTCTGGCATGAGGCACACCCAGAAGGGCTTCAACAAGAAATTTACTCCCTAGTGCACAAGTCCCTCCCCCAGTTCCTCATTGGCTGAGTACTACGAGGTTACAATCTTCCTGGACGTCGAATATTGGTAGTTGGATTAAGTTTTCGAGTATGTTCATTAGGGTCTTTCTGCTGCATTTTATTGCATCCCATAATGCATTGTGACTGTCTCAGGACTCTTCGAACATTTGACGTATGGCCCTAGATGGCTGTGCTTTGCTGATAAGAAAGGATAAAATTATCTATGTTGCAAGCTAGCCTAAACTAAATTCTTCGGTGGGGTGGGGAGGGGGTATTTAAGGGGGCCCTGACCGATAGGCACCTGGCTGCCAAGTGAAAGGAGAAAGCAGGATGGGGGCAGGGGTGGCTCAGTACATTCTGCTTCTTTATCTCTTTATTTCCACATAGCCTGCTTAAACCTATACTAAGACACTTAAAATTAAAAATGGACCACCACATATAGGTTATTTTTTACATAACTGACACCCGGTTTTGAGTATCTTATATTATAATCTGTTTTGCTTGCATTCTAGTAAGTCATTTCCCCAGTAACACGATTGCAGACTCCTTAAAGGGAGAGACATGCCTTATACACAAAACCTGACACAGACAAGGAATTGGTCAATCATTCCAATAGTATTTCTTAATAGCATCATTTTCTTATTTAGTTTGTCTCACAGTTTCTTCTTCATACTTTGTGAAAGAGTGGCTAATCAAATTTCTCTCATAGACTTTATTTATTTATTTATTTATTTATTTATTTTTGAGATGGAGTTTCACTCTTATCACCCAGGCTGGAGTGCAATCGTGCGATCTTGGCTCACGGCAACCTGTATCTCCAGGGCTCAAGCAATTCTCCTGCCTTAGCCTCCCAAGTAGCTGGGATGAGAGGTGCCTGCCACCACGCCCAGCTAAGTTTTGTATTTTTAGTAGAGACGGGATTTCGGCATGTTGGCCCAGCTAGTCTTGAACTCCTGACCTCAGGGGATCCACCTGCCTTGGCCTCCCATAGAGCTGGGATTATAGGCGTGAACCTCTGTGCCCGGCCTCTCTCACAGACTTTAAAAACACATTTGTGTGAAGAATAACATTAGGAGACCATTGTGTAAGCAGGCCTGTGAACTAGGTATCTGCTGTTTAGGAACACTGAAGAAGGCAGTCTAGGGAGAAATGGGTGCCCGTGCATCAGAAGGGAAAAGGGGGCTGGAGAGAAGTTTAGAGGTGGAGACAAAATGGCTTTGTGGCACAAAGGGCAAGGAAAAAAGCGAATTAGGGATGACTCCTGGGTTTATGGTTGAGCTGGTGGTGCATAAGGGATTGGATTTTGTCATGATGAGGTCACTTCTTCCAAGAGCGTCACTGAGTTCAGTTTCTGGGGAATGGAAGGCCAGAGTGGAAATGTCATGATAAAACAAATTGCAAGCCAATTACCCTCCTCTCCCACAGCCAAGCGAATATCTACATTTAACAGGCTTTTTAAAACTTCATCTATGTAGATTCTGAGTAACTGGGAAAAGGAATCTCTTCTGAGGTCCTGATTGTTCTTACAACCTTAACCTGTAATCGCATCTACGCAGCCCACTTTCACTAGCTTATAAAGCAGTTGAATATTCCAGTTGCTTTGAGTCAAAACCCAAAGCAAGATTAGACTTCATCGATACTTCAGGCACGATGGCAACAGGTATTCATCATATTTAAGCTTCCCTTTCTTGTTCCACAGAACTTAAAAAGCTAATAATTTACTTCTGCAGTCTCTCCTACTGCAAGGACACCATTCCAACCAAGCAAAGATTATGGCAGGTCAGAACGACGAGCACGTAGGTAAGAGTCAAATAATTTTCATTTAAATTAAGCCAAACTTTGTAATTTGCTTTTTGTGCCTTACTTTTATATTTTTATTTTTTGCACTAAACAATATTCTTCAAAAATGATGCCAAAAAACCCTGGTACTGTTGTTATTATTATACTTTACTTTGTCTATTTTTGGGCACTCTTTCAGGAATGGAAAGTAGATCTGAAACTATTTTTGGCCTGAACCATGTCTTGTTAAGATGCAGATCCTGATTCAGTGGGTCTGGAGTGAGGCCTGAGGTTTGCGTTTCAGATGAGCTCACAGATGCCACCCTTGCTGCTGGTCCTCGGGCAACACTTTGGGTAACAACCTCCAGGGGTGGCTGGGGGGCCGGGAAACCCTTCAGAGCTGCCCCACTGAGGCAAGGCTAGTTTTGTGCCCCTACAACCTGCATCAAGTGGTAACTGGATGGAGGCTGCCCCTGGTGAGGCAGCTCCTCGATTCTGTACACCACCAAATTGGGCATTTCCAGTTAATTAAATCCAAATCTATTTTGAGTGCAGTCCGGGCACAGTGGCTCATGCCTGTAATTCCAGCATTTTGGGAGGCTGAGGTGAGCAGACTGCCTGAGCTCACGAGTTCGAGACCAGCCTGGCCAACATAGCAAAACACCCTCTCTACTAAAAAAATACAAAAAAGTTAGCCAGGCATGGTGGTGCACACCTGTAGTCCCAGTTACTTGGGAGGCTGAGGCAGGAGAATTGCTTGAACCCAGGAGGCAGAGGCTGCAGTCAGCCGAGATCGCATCACGCACTCCAGCCTGGGTGACAGAGTGAGATACTGTCTCAAAAAAAGAAAAACAAGAAAAAGAAAAAAGAGTGCAGTTGTGTGGGGGAAGGAGAATGACACTTGGAGCCAGAAGACCTGGGTTTGAATCTTATCTCTGCCACTTAAGGCAGCAGCACCACGTGTTCAACTTAAATTTCTAATATTAAATCCACAGCATATATCACCTCAATCATATAGTTTCCAAAATCATCAAGTGACATATTATGCTTGTAAAGATTTTGCCAAGAATTCTTAGTGGGTTCTCATGACCTTAATTGTAATCAAATCCAAAACCCATACTATATTTTGTGTAGTCCTATTTTTTGTAACAAATAGAGCTATTACACAAATGCAAAAGTGTTGTGTATGTATGTATTATGTGTAAATAGTAGCAAGATGATAGATAATGGATTGGTAGATGATAGATAATAGATATAGATAGAGAATACATAGATAATAGATAAAATAAATAGTTATAGACAGGTAGATGATGGATAAATAGACAATGGATTATATGGATGATAGATATAAAGATAATAAATATGGGTAGATAATAAATAGAAATAATATTATAGAAGAGAGATTTGGAAAGCTAATAGCTATAGACAGATAATAGATCGATGATAGATAAAGGTAAATATATGATCATTAGCTAATAAGAAATAATTAATTCCCTTATTGCCTTATACACTTTTGCCTATCTGGGCCGTGAGTGTGGCCTGCAGCCATGTACCTGTGCCTAGCCCATGTTTCTCATCGTCCGAGCTTAGGGGGCAGCTGGTGAGCTGAGGTTGTCATTCCCCCTGCAGGTGAGAAGGGTCTCCATTCTGCAGCTCACTCTCCCCGCCTCTCCATCACCCTCTCCTTTTTCTGGCTGTGGAAGGGACAGGAAGGGCTGAGAGGTTGACCACATAAATGAGGTTTGATTGGAACTGTTATGCTTGGGTTTCCTGGAAAAAGACTCTGAGGAAGAGGCTATGGGGCAGGCTCTGGGGAACCCCTCCTGGGGAGGAAGACAGTACCTGCAAGTGGTCCTGACAGCTCCCATGGGGGCTCAGGACTGAGCAGGCACTTCAGAGCAACCCCACTGAGGCAAAGGTGTGGGGCTTGTGCCCCCAGACCCAGTGGTACCTGGGCAGGGCTCCCCTGCAGGGCCACCCCAGGCACTGCACAGAGGCTCCCTGTGGGCCTCAGCCACCCACACTCCCACGAGCTGGACACAGGGTATCTGGTTCCTAATGGGCACCACCTTGCCTGGCACAGGAGGGGACAACATCTCAAGGCATTGATGGGCATCACACCGATGCTACCATGAAAGCCACGGCTCCTCAGAGCCCCACACACAAGACAAGGGCCACAGCTCCTCGGCACTGTCACCCAGGACTGCACAGTGTGGGTTGGGACTCACAGAGGTTTCTCTTGAGTGGGCACTGCCAGTCTTTAGGCACCGTTGAGATCTTGCTCTTGATTTAGCTCTTACGAGATGCAAGCCAGGCAGAGGTGTCTGTAGGGAGTTGGCGTGACTGGTGTGATTGGCAAGGTCCATGTGACTGGTGAGGTCGGTGTGCATCCTAGGAGAGAACCAGAGGTGGGCATCCCTCATGCTCTACCCAGAGCCATGCACTGCTATGCCAAGATGGCGTCCTACAGCCCAGCACAGAGCCACAGGTAGGATGCAAGTAGGACTCAGGTAGGATGCAGGTGGGATGCAGGTGGGACTCAGGTGGGACTCAGTTAGGACTCAGATGGGATGCAGGTGGGACTCAGGTGGGACTCAGGTAGGATGCAGGTAGGATGCAGGTAGGATGTAGGTGGGATGCAGGTAGGATGCAGATAGGATGCAGGTGGGATGCAGGTGGGACTCAGGTAGGATGCAGGTAGGATGTAGGTGGGATGCAGGTAGGATATAGGTGGGATGCAGGTAGGATATAGGTGGGATGCAGGTAGGATATAGGTGGGATGCAGGTAGGCTATAGGTGGGATGCAGGTAGGATATAGGTGGGATGCAGGTAGGCTATAGGTGGGATGCAGGTAGGATGTAGGTGGGATGCAGGTAGGATGCAGGTAGGATGTAGGCGGGATGCAGGTAGGATGCAGGTGGGATGCAGGTGGGACTCAGGCAGGATGATAAAGGTGGGACTCAGGTGGGATGCAGGTAGACAGAGTGCAGGTGTGTGCACTCAGCTATGTCCATAGCACACCCTGGACCTTAGCACCATGCCTGGAATGCCAGAATACGATGGGTCCCAGAGGGAGGGTAGCATTCAAATGAAGACTACGAATGTCACATGTGCTTAGCCTGTGTGCCTGGAAAATCCCCTAGTGTCCTGCACCAGCTGGCCCGGGAGGGAAGAACAGGCAGCTCTGCAGGCCGCGCTCTGGGGACCGAGGTACCCGTGAATGAATCCACGTGGATATCAGAGAGACTGAGCCTTCAGCCCAAAGCCCAGCTCCTTCACTGGCCTGTTGGGCAGCTTTGTGCCCTTTCCTCAATCTCTCTGAGCCTTAGTTCTGTCCTTATAAGCAATGTGTCGGTGCAATAATAATTCCTGCCTTGATGGTCCTGGAATGACTGAATAAGATCTAGTTCCTCGAGTCACCCGATTAGGTTTCCTTCCCTTCCTTTTCCTTCCTAATCTCAGAAAGAAAGGGATGGGAAAAGCAAAAGGAAGGAAAATGCTGGCAAAGCAAACGTAGGTGTGTGGCACCTGGCACCCTCGCAGCGAGCGTGGCTATGGTCTGTAGCAGCAAAGAGCCCCACAGCCACGCCCAGCTCCGGGAGAGGGGCCAGACTGGGACCTGGGCTCTGAGCCCCCGTGGCTAGCGCGGCACCTGCACTCCTTGATATGTTCAGGACACCTCAGCATGGAGGGGGGCCGCACTGTGCCCCCCACCACCGCCATCCTGCCAGCCCAGCAGACTCTAGGGACTGGGCCTGACCTTGCCAGCAGCGCCGGAAACCCAGAGGCAGCCTCCTCCTCCCCAGCACGATGCCTATGCACGAGGGCCTGGGTCCAGGATGCAGACGGGGCCACTGCTGCACTCTGCAGCGGTGCGGACCGGGAGCAGCTGCCTAGTGGCCCCTGCAGGGGGTCGGTCTTAAGCCAACTGGTCCCTCTTCCTCTTGTTCAACTTCCTGCCAGGAAGCTTGGAGGGCAGCTGTTATTCACAACTAAACATCTTAAAAAGGAATGACTTGGTTCTTAGTCCTACCCCAAATGGGTCAGGGTTTTCTTTCCTCCTTTGAAATGGCTTTGGCGTTACAAGGGCCTTTCTTATCTGATTGTTGCATTAATATGATCCTTGAAAATGGACCGAAGGAGAATGAGGATAAACGTTTTGTACCAAAAAAGCACTAATTTCAGTTGAGATAGGATTTTAAGTTTTAGAGGAGAGAGGAGTGGAAAACAGATAATATAAAAAACGAAAATGTGAATACAGATTTAATCCCAGTGAGGCTAGAACGTGCAGGGCTTGGCCTCGAAAGAGGCAGAGCTGCGTGCTGACTCACCAGAGGGGCGTGCGGATCCTCCCAGGCCGCTGTTGAGGAGTGTTGTGGGTGGAGGCTCCACTCTGGGGGGACTGGCTTCCCGAGTTTGCCTTCCTTGCTGTCAGCATGGCCTCACGGCCCTGAAGAAGCAGGGCCCCCAGCCAACGTAAATGTTAACACCGTTGTAGGGATTATAGCCGCTGGTTTTCAATCGTGCTTTTTTTTTTTTTTTTTTGAGATGGAGTCTCGCTCTGTCGCCCAGACTGGAGTGCAGTGGCGCGATCTCGGCTCACTGCAAGCTCCGCCTCCCGGGTTCACGCCATTCTCCTGCCTCAGACTCCCAAGTAGCTGGGACTACAGGCGCCCGCCACTACGCCCGGCTAATTTTTTGTATTTGTAGTAGAGACGGGGTTTCACCGTGTTAGCCAAGGTGGTCTCGATCTCCTGACCGCGTGATCCGCCTGCCTCGGCCTCACAAAGTGCTGGGATGACAGGCGTGAGCCACTGCTCCCGGCTCAATCGTGCTTTTACAAACGCTCTGGATGCTTTTGAAGTTCATTTGAATTCTATCCCTCAGATAAATGGACTCTCCTGAGAAAGACAAACAGTTTCCTAGGCTCACTAGCAACAGCACAGTCCTTGGGTGGTGGTTGTTATTGTTGCTGTTTGTTTTAATATTTACCTAAGGTCACAGTCACAGCTTGTAATTTATTATATCTGAATTATTTAGAGTGATTATTAACTGTCGATCTCAGGGCTTAATGTTAATGAATGCTTCTGGGAAATGAACAGAATGATAAATTCAGGCCGATGCAGGCACCTCCCCACTTTTATGGGAAGAAGGGCCCCACACTTGTGCTCTGCACCCGGGAGGAGGCCTGACCCATCGACTCGCTTCCCGTCCTCGTGTCATTACAAATCTCTGCCTGGTTCCTCACACAATAACAGAGGAGATGGCTGAAACGCTGCCTTCTGGGCGTTTATAAACCACAGTCGCTGCCTATTTTCAGGCGGAAACGCTCCAGGAGCTGAGAGAGCTGTGCTGCCCTGTGAGGCTCCCATCCTCTTAGTCACAAGACTGCTGTCTCCCCTGGGGACCACACGCTGTGCAAATCCGCCATCCATCCATTACCGTCTACACGCTGTGCAAATCCACCATCCATCCGTTACAGCCCATTATCAGATGGAAGCCTTCCAGCCCCCTGGTGAGAAGCCAGAGAGCACTAATGTCCACATGGGGACAAAATTATTGACCATGAACTGAGGAAATGTATTTTTTTTTTGCTTCTTCCCACTTTGACCGGAATTACTAACTTGATCAACATGAAATTAAAATGAAACACTTGGGGAAGAATCTCTTCAAGTCCATTTTTTTATCACTGGGCTGAGACCATATTATGCAGTCACAATGCCAGGTTATTTCAACTTAGCCGAATTAATGAATCTAACTCAGTCCTGGGCTATATTACCCATCTGTTTTAGGATATTATAAGAGAAAGTATGTGACTTTTTCACCAAGTTACACATGAGAAAATTAAGACGAGATGTCCAAGTTCACAGTCATCTCATCATGATGGAACAGAGGGATAATCACAGGAAAATGTAGGTGCTTCCCCAGAACACTGAATTTCTATGTAATCAGGTAAAATTAGGCCATCTCGGTTGTCACCTTCCTGCACAGGATGTGGAAATAGCTGTCATTTATAAAGAAGGGGCCGTGCAGAGGGGCAGAAGCCACTGGAGAGCAGCTGTGGCTGGCGCTCACTTCTGGGCTCCTGGCGGGGTCTCAGCCGGGTGGTAAGTGCAGCAGTGGAAAATGGCCTGGACTCCTCGCCGGGGGCTCTAACCTCTTCCCTAGCTTGGCTATCATCCTGAGTCAACACCGCTGGGCCTCAGTTGCAGGTCCTGTTGGAATTTGGGATTGGGGACTGGAAAGGACTCAGGGGTTTATGCCGTTGCACTGGTATATAAGAAGTGTTGACAGCTAGAAGGAGGATCTAAGTTCAGGGACACCACACGGCTGTGTGGAGTCTCACCTCCTGGTGCCCTGAGCAGGGTCTCCCACTCCAGAGACTGTGGGAGTGCCATGCCTCCCAGAGATATGGCTGCTCTATCGTCTGGGTGCTCAGTCCCACCCTTGGAGACTCTCCGTGTGATGTTTCAAACCAGCCCAGCAGTGGTCCTGGGTCCTGAAGAGTCTTTGTCAATAATAGGCAACCTCTTTGGGATATTGGGCTGCCCAGACCAGGCAGTTTCTTTCCAGAGGCAAAATGGCTTTGTCCTCACTGAGCGTGGGAAGTCCAGCCCTGCCATTCTTTAACTCGGCGACCTTGGGGTGTTGCTGGCTGCCCTTAGCCTTGGGTCTCCATTGCTTTCCTCAATGAGAGTCAACACAGGCAGCTGTATTCAAGGCATTTGGTAACCAGGAAAGGTGTAAATAAATATCTGTTATTATTATGACTCCAGAGGCAATTATTTCTGCTGCAAAGATGGAGATGTTTATTAATTTGGATCACAACTGGCTTTCTGAGATTTTATAATCATTGTAACTATATCACTTTTAAAAATATAGCATTTCTCACTCAGCTTATCGCTTGATGGGTCTCATTTAATGTAATTTTATATTTACAAAATTCTATTACCTATGTGATCTCATGTAATCCCCATGGCAACACTGTGAAGAGGTGCCACTACTTCTATTTGCAGAGGAACATGATGCCCCATGAGGTTTAAGGTTGTATCCAAGGTCACACAGCAGCAGAGCTAGGGACAAATGCAGGACTCCCGAACTCCAGGCCAGTGACATCTATGGCAAACCCCCAAACCTTAACTTCCTCAGACTGGAAGATTCCCGTGGGCATTTGCTGCTTTGCGTTGAGTGATCTTGGGCAAGTCACTGCGAGCTAAGGACTAGGCAAGCTGGGGTTCAAGGGATGCAGAAGTTCTTTCCAGATCTAAAATTCTGAATTTCTCTGGTGTTGTGTTTGCAGATTTTGCTTTTGCCAGTGCTTTATAGGGCCGTGCCTTCCTGCTATGCCAGAAATAAAAGGGAGGACAAGAGCTGAGTCTTGGACACATTTTCTGTTGCACCCCCTTTTCACCCAGGGTAGGCTACACACAATATGCCTCTTTTTTATTATTAATTTTAAAGGCAAGAGGCTTATTACTTATTAGCCATTCTGAGATAGTTTATTTTGAGCCATTATTGCCTATTTTACAAACACTCATTAGCAATATGTACATATATTGAGGTGTGTGACCCCGCAGATGAGAGTTTATTAGCTTCAAATGCTCACACTGCCTGTAGAAAAAAGTAACATTAATAGCTCACATTTTCCCTCCCTGTGGCTACTGCTAAACCAGCAATCTGTGTTAACCATTTGCTGACATTCTCACAGGGAGGAAGAAAAAGGACCTCTTATGCTTCTTGTGGGTATGAAAAATGGCAGAAAGTTGAAGGAAAGGTAAGCAGTTAAGGTTTTAGGGCTTTTTTCATTTTCAGATGTGCATGTTAGAAATAAATTTTCGGTGCCAAAAAAGAAATAGCACTCAAACATAAATTTAATTTTCTCAGCAAGGCAATTTTACTTCTATGGAAAGGTGTGACTCGCGGATGGAGCAATGGCAAGAGCACACCTGAACAAGGGAGGGGAAGGTGTTCTTATCCATGATGCAGGCAGCCCCTACTGCTGTGTCATTCCCCTATTGGCTAGGGTTGGACTACACTGTCTAAGCTAATTCCGATTGGCTATTTTAAAGAGAGCGGGGCACGAGTCAGAGTGGTGGGGTGAGTAATTGGGCAGGAAGGACAGTTACAGAACAGGTGACTCAGGATGACTCAGGTCAGAGCAGGTGACCAGGGGTGACTCAGGATGAAGCAGGTGACCAGGGGCGACTAAGGTCAGAGCACGTGATAGAGGATAGGAGGGGGTTGTTTACTGAAACTAGGGGCAAGGAGACAAAGAGAATGAGGAAGTTAAATTTTAAAATGAAGAACAAAGAACAGGGAAGCTGAACACACTGATGCACTGGTTCTTTGGAGAGGATCTCAGAACTCGTTGTACTTAACAATTTACAGGCTAAAACCTTTGAAGAGGAATTTATTATATCCTACAGGCAGAACCCTCATGGAAATTCTTGCTGGGCACAAGAATGGGAGTAACTACACTTTGGAGTGCTGGGTCTGACTTTACACAAACTTATTTATTGCCTAAACTCGACTTTGACATGGGATGTCCAGATATGTGTTAGAAATGCAAAATGCTTGTTCCTCGATATCACAAAGAAATAGCACTAGAACATAAATTTAATTTTATCAGCAAGGCAATTTTTACTTTCTGCAGAAAGGGTGCTCCTCACAGATGGAACAATGACGAGAGCACACTTGGACAGGAGAGGGGAAGGAGTTCTTATTCCTGACACAGGTAGCCCCTACTGCTGTGTCGTTCCCCTATTGGTTAGGGTTGGACTGCGTAGTCTGAGCTAATTCCAACTGGCTATTTTAAAAAGAGCAGGAGTACGAGCCAGAGTAGCGGGGTGAGTAGTTTGGCAGGAAGGACGGTTAGGAACAGGTAACTAAAGGTGACTTAGGTCAGAGCAGGTGACGGGGATGAGTCAGAACAGAGCAGGTGACCAGGGGAACAGATGTGAACTACTGATTAAAAGTGGTGGAAAAGGTTGTTAACTGAAACTAGAGGCAAGAGGGCAAGGAGAACCAGGAAGATAAACTTTAAAGTGGAGAATCAAAGAATAAGAGAGCTAAACATACTGCCATACTGATTCTTTGAAAAGAAACTTGGGGTTCACTATATTTAACACGTGGACATGAAAAACCATCTGCTGAGAAGTGCAAACTCAGAGTCTACTAAACACCAGCAATTGTCCTGCCCAGGATCGTTCTGAGCTCTCTGGGGCTGAGTAATGCCAGTCAAGGAAATGAGAGGCTATCCAGCCACCAGACCTTCTAGAAAGACTATGGAGTGACTTACCAATCTTGAAGTGGGTCAGGGGTTTTGGGGAAAGGTCATATGTAAAGCTTGTAGCATTGAAGAGGCTGGGCTTAGAATCTCAGAGCTCTGGCAACTGGACTTGGAATCTCAGAGAGATGTTGTAGAAAGTAGAATAAGTTCCTCTTCAAAGTTCATCTTGGTTTAAAAATAAAATAATAGACACTAGGAATAATAGTTCCTTACTCTAAAGCCTCCTATCAACTGTTAGTTCTTACACTTTAGCCCAGTTAGTCGCTTTGGCTTATTCAGGCATGTCTGGACAAGCCCAGGCAAGACTTAGCTCATAGCTTATGCCCCTTCCTTATTTGGAAATGTTATTGCTTCCTTAAACTTTTCATAAGCAACTTCCTCTCCTTCTTTGTTCTCCCTTGCACTTACCTATTTAGGAAAGTTTTAGGTTATCAGTAAATCAGGTGTCAGTTTAAGACTGTGAGGTCCAGCTCCAGCCAATGGATGCAAGACATAGCAGTAAGGAGGACCCAAATGCGTAAGGGATAAATATGTCTGTTTTCCTTTGTTCAGGTGTGCTCTCACCATTGTTCCATTTGTGATGGGCACCCTTTCTGCAGAAAGTAAAAATGGCCTTGCTGACAGAATTAAATTTATGTTCAAGTGCTATTTCTTTGCAGCACTGAAGAACAAGCATTTTGCATTTCTAACAGATGTAGGTGCAGTAGATAAAGTAATAGGCAAAAAGAGATCTTCCTGGGCTCCTGTCCTCGTTCAACTCAGCCAGTGAGTGGACTTGGTCACTTAATCTCTTTGAGCCATGGTTAGTGCATTCAGTAAGTGGGGGTGGCACAGCCAGCTTGTCCAGCCCCTCCATCCTACAAATCAGGAGACTGTAGCTGACTTGCTCAAATTTATCTAGTGGAATAGTCAGAACAAGGGCTACAACTGTACCACGTTTTCTCACACACAGGCCAGGACACCTCCTAGGACCTGATATTGTTTAATTTCAGTGATTCTCCATCAGATTTTCTATACCCCTTTGGAGGCTTTTCTATTGCTTCAGAGAGTCTACTTTTAATGCATTTTGTATTTAACTAAATTGGTGTTACTGGGGACAACCATAGTAAGTGTTAATACAAGAGGAGTGGTTTGGGAGCTGTGAAAGGAAAATATCTTGGGCCCCTAAAATCACTAAGGAAAACTCAAGCTGGAAACTGCTGAGGGCAAACCTGCCTCCCATTCCAGTCAAAGTCACTCCTCTGCTCACTGAATTGCATATCTGATTTGCCTCCTTTGGAGAGGCTAATCAGAAACTCAAAAGACTGTAACTGTTTGTGTATCACCTATCTGTGACCTGGAAGCTCTCTCCCTTCGAGTCTTCCTGCCTTTGCTTCAAGTTGTCCCACTTTTCCAGACCAAACCAATGTACTTCTTACATATATTGATTGATGTCTCATGTCTCCCTAAATGTATAAAACCAAACTGTGCCTTGACCAGTTAGGTGGTCGTAAGCATTTGCTGAGCACTTCTGTGAACTCAGGGAAGATACATAAATGCTTTGGAGGATACTCAGGAGTTAGGCTGTGTCTGCCAGGGGTTTTCTAAAGTGGTCATGGTTTTAACAGCAACATCCTCAGGCCTTAAACTGACTCAGGTCCAGGTCTCGTAGCCGGGTCTCTTCAGATGTCAAGTTATATAACCCAGGGGTATTCAACCGCCAGGCTGTGGACCAGTAGCAGTCCATGGCCTGTTAGGAACTGGGCCACACAGCAGGAGGCAAGTATTACCACCTGAGATCTGCCTCCTGTCAGATCAGTGGGAGCATTAGATTCTCAGAGAAGTGCAAACCCTCTTGTGAACTATGCATGCGAGGGATCTATGCTGCATACTCCTTATGAGAATCTAATGCCTGATAATCTGAGATGAAACAGTTTCATCCTGAAACCATCCCCCATGTCCCCACTGACCCTGTTGGTGGAAAAATTGTCTTCCATGAAACCAGTCACTGGTGCCAAGAAGGTTGGGGACTGCTGATAGAAGCCCTATAGGTCTTGTTTCCTCACCTGTAAAGTGGAGAAATGAATATCTATCTCTTCATAATTTTGTAAAAACACAAGTCCTTGGTTTACAAACAGTGCTTACAAAACAGCAGCTGTCATCAATCATAAGCAATTAATGCCATATCAGGCAGGATAGGCTGGATTACACTGTGGTTAGCAGGGCTCCACAACTCACTGTATGTGCTTTGCCATATGCATTTATAATCAGTTTGACAGCTTGTGCCAGAAAAACAGCCTGATGGAATTTTCACTTAAAGTGCCTTGTAAATAAAATACTACCTCTCTATATTTATTTCATCTTTAATTTTCCTCAGCAATATTTTGCAGTCTTCAATGGATAGAAGTTGTACATATTTTGTGAAATTTATCCTTAAGTATTTCGTGGTTTTGGTATGTTTGTAAATAATATTTTTATTTCAATTTCTACCTGTTCATTGCTAGTATAAATATGATTGATTTTGTATGTTGACATTTATCCTTGTCTTATAGCTTTTTTGCAGTTTTCTGAGATTTTGTATATGGACCATCACATTCTCTGTGAGTAAATGCACTTTTCCTTCTTCCTTTCTGATATGTATGCCATTTACTTATTTTTCTTGCCTTATTGCATTGGCTAGGACCCCTGGTACCACGCTAAGTAGAAGTGGCTAAAGGAGACATTCTTGTTTTGTTCCCAATCTTAAGGGGATAAAATTTAGTATTTCACCAACAAGTAGGATGCATGTCGTGGGCTCCAGGCACAAATCTTACCAAGTTGAATGAGCACCAACTTGGAGGGAGCCAAGCCTGGATCAAACTGTAGCCATGCCACTCGAACGTGTGTGACTTTGAGTGAGTTGCTTCCCCTTTCTGAGTTTTGTCATCCAAAGAGAAAGATAATGCTATTAGGACCATTGAAATAATGAACAGGAAATAAACTAAAGCTCATTAGAAACTGTAGAGTGCTGTGAGGCTGTATTACCCAGTGAAATCACATCTTACATGGGTAAGGTAGTTTTTTTTTTTGTTTTTTTTTTTGAGACGGCGTCTCGCTCTTTCACCCAGGCCAGAGTGCAGTGGTGCGATCTCGGCTCACTGCAAGCTCTGCCTCCTGGGTTCACCCCATTCTCCTGCCTCAGCCTCCCGAGTAGCTGGGACTACAGGCACCCGCCACCACGCCTGGCTAATTTTTTGTATTTTTAGTGGAGACAGGGTTTCACCGTGTTAACCAGGATGGTCTCAATCTCCTGACCTCATGATCCGCCCGCCTCGGCCTCCCAAAGTGCTGGGATTACAGACGCCCGGCCTGGGTATGGTAGATTTTAAAGTCAAGACATGAAGTGAAAACAGCATATCATCAAAACTCTGCTGATGATCCTATAAAATTATAGCTAAACAGCCTTATACATAGTTGTGAGACAATAGAGCTAGAAATTAATAATAAATGTAATAAATGGAAACAGAGCAGGGTTCTTCCCATGGAAAATTTAAGACTCTATTAAACAACTCTTGGGCGAAAGGGGAAATGCAAACCAAAATTTCAGAATTTCTAAAAAGTAATGGTAATGAAAGCACTTCATGTGAGAACGTATGGAGTGTGTTTAACATAGCTCAAACTCTTATCACTTTTAATATTTACATCAGTTTTTAAAAAGCAAAAAAAATGAAAGAATAAAACAAATGAACCACATTTTCAACTAAAAAACTAAAAAAGAATAACAAAGTAATAACAAAGGAAGACACCCAGAAAAAGAAAATAATAAATATTACATCAGAAAGAATTTGGGGTAGCTGAGGTCATGGAGGCAGCATAAACCTGAAATTCTTAACAAATCCTCCAAAAAATAAAGAATAGAGAACAAATAAAACCTTACTGAGCCCACCCCACCCACTGTAACTAGAAGACGGCAAACATCCAGACTTCAAAGTATATGTGAGTAGAAGGACAAGCACTGAGTCCTGGAGCACTCTCTCCTCTGGGCTCCTGGCCTTTGTCAACAGCAAGGCATGACGGGAAAATCTGTGTGGAAGAAAACAGCAAGCTAGCGATGAGCCTAAGCTTTATCTAAAACCACCACTAGCACTTCCACTGTTAAGTATGAAAATGCTGAAAAAATATACACTGTGTAAAACAAAATAAAAACTTAAGACCTCCTGTTCTCAGCCAAAGCCATTCATTCTAAAGAAAACCTGAAACATAAGTTGAGGCCATGATGACAGTGGATGGTCAGACATGCCTCATGCCTTCCTCCCTTTGGAATTCAGGCACAGCTGTCCAAATTCCATTGTTTGGACCAGCATTCACATTAAAACAGAGACCTTAAGGCCCACAAAACAGATTCTGTAGCCATAAGATACCAACATGAGATAGCAGACCCTGATAGAAATCAAAGTATTTTACCCCTTATCTTAACCCAGGCATCCCTGTCTATTGATTCCAGGTCTTTAGATAATAACTCTTTTAACCAGTTGCCAATCAGAAAATCTTTGAATCCACCTATGACCTGGAAGCCTCTTCTTCAAGTTGTCCTGCCTTTCCAGATTGAACCAATGTACATCTTACATGTACTGATTGATGTCTTCTGTCTCCCTAAAATGTATAAAATCAAGCTGTAGCCCAGCCACCCTAAGCACATGTTCTTGGGATCTCCTGAGGCTGTGTCGTGGGCCATTGGTCACTTATATTTGACTCAGAATAAATCTGTTAAAATATTTTACAGAGTTTGACTCTTCTCATTGACAGTAATTGGCACCCTACCCGTGGGGTCTCAGAGACGACTCAGAATCCCAGAGGAGTTGTCTGAACCCAGAGCTAAGGTACCAGCAGGGGCCCATTGAAATCTCTCCCAATCTCGAACTTCTCCTCCAGTGGAACTGGTTAGTCCTCCTGAGCCCTGGACCTCCCATTTGCTTGATGGTCCTTGGTTTATTCTGAGCTGGTGTTTTTTTGTTTTTATTTTTGTTATTTTATCCAAGGAAGTTGTTGTTTAGGATCCTAATTTTGGTTCAGAGGTACATTCTAAAGAGTATTCTCCATTGCCTTCTTCTAAAGACAAGGGGAACAACCCCCTTTCAGGCACCACGTTTTGGTTTTGTTTAGGATCCTAATTCTAGTTCAGAGGTGCATTCTAAAGCTGTGGTCCCCAACTTTTTTGTCACCAGGGACTGGTTTCATGGAAGACGATTTTTCCATGGACCAGGGAGGGGGGATGGTTTCAAGATTATTCAAGTGCATTACATTTATTGTGTACTTTATTTCTAGTATTATTACATTGTAATATATAATGAAATAATTATACAACTCACCCATAATGTGGACCCAGTGGGAGCCCTGAGCTTGTTTTCCTGCAACTAGAAGGTCCTGTCTGGGAGTGGTGGGAGACAGTGACAGATCATCAGGCATCAGATTCTCATAAGGAACATGCAACCTAGATCCCTCATATGCACAGTTGACAATAGGGTTCGAGCTCCTATGAGAATTTAATGTCATTGCTGATCTGACAGGAGGCAGTGCTCGGGCAGTAATGTGAGCAATGGGGAGTGGTTGTAAATACAGATGAAGCTCCGCTCACTTGCCCACCACTCACCTTCTGTGGTATGGCCTGGTTCCTAACAGGCCATGGTCTGTGGCCCAGGGTTTGGGGACCCCTATTTTAAAGGGTCTTCTCATCTAAGAATGAGGAAAGACAAGGAAAACAACCCCCTTTTGGGCATTCCATTTGGTTTTATGGTGCTTGCTTTTACTTGCAAGTGTTTGTGTAAGTGGAAAATTTTGAGAGCATGCCAGGTTTTCTAGTACTCCCACTGGTTACATATTATGGTCTGTTTTGCACATTTTAAACTGATGCACAAGTACATCAAGGAAAAATTCAGACCCCCAAAGGTTGAGCTGCAACTAAGAGTTCCTAAGGTCTCTATTTCTCTATTTTACTTTCTGCCTGCTTTAAATCTGCTGTTACTTTTCTACTAAGATAAAAACCACTGTTTGGATCCAATCATGTTTGTTTTTTGTTTTTGTTTTTATTTGGTAAACTGATAAGTTTGTATTGATATCTCATGGTTAGAGTTCTGAAGTAAAAGTTAGAGGATCTTTGTATGAGTGTGTATGTGTGTGTTTATATGTATGTACATGTATTTTGTTATGTGTTGTGGCCATAAGGTAACAAATTGGCTTAAAGTTAAGGAGTACTCATAAATTAAGTAAATAAACCCAAATGCTTTTCAAGTTCACATGACTTAAGTAAAATATTTAATAAATAAGCTGACTTTGACATTATTGGTAAAATAAAATTAGAAATGTCTTCAGAATTACTGATATACATTATCATTTAGATTTATTGGTCTAGTAGTCCTATATTTATTTCTGCTAGGTATTATAAGGTGTCAAGATTGGGCATGAAGGTTATAAAACTATAAACCCAGCCTCAAACATAATTATCTTTGTGTAATTATCTTTGTAGGTGGGTGGATGGCTTAAATCCAGGAGTTTTAGACCAGCCTGGCCAACATGGTAGAACCCTCTCTACTAAAAAATAATAATAATAATAATAATAATAATAATACAAAAAAAATTAGCCAGGCATGGTGGCTATACAAAAAATATAATACAAAAAAAATTAGCCAGGCACCTGTAATCCCAGCTACTTGGGAGGCTGAGGCATGAAAATCACTTTAATCTGGGAGGTGGAGGTTGCAGTGAGCCGAGATTGTGCCACTGCACTACAGCCTAGGTGACAGAGTGAGATTCTGTCTCAAAAGAAAAAAGTTATAAATATGAAGAAGTATTTTTTGTTAAGAAAGATTTAAAGAAGAATAATTTTGCATGAGAAAAAATCTTGTATGGTAAATTTTTGTCCTGAAATAAAATGAGTGATTGTTTAAGAAAGAGCTGTGTGTAGTACAAACCAGAAAGTTCAAGCATGTCACGAAGGGTTTGTATAAGTCATAATAAGGCTCATAAAAAAATGAATTTATTTTTTTAAATGTTCTGTTATTGAGTTGGCCATAATTAAAAGGAAATTATTATAGTCTTTCTAGAAATTGGACTTTGATATTAAAAATACACTAATAATAAAACTAAAGAATTGGTTAGAACAAGATTTTCTTAAAATATTGATTTACTCCTAATGAGACTGCAAGTTTTTCATTTTTACATTCTATAAACTGTCTTTTTGAAATTCTTCAGATTGATGTCTCAGAAGTTCAACTTCCACTGTATCCCACTGCTTCAGCTCTTTCTCCCTTTGAGAACGCCTGGGTTGGTAACTCCTCTTCAACTTTTGTTGGCTCTTGTAACTTTTTTTTTAGTAGTAGTCTAAAGTAATTTAGATAAATTTAGAGAGAAATTTTGAAAATAGGTAAATAAAAAATCTTAAGGGGTGATTACAAAGGATCTGCCTCTGTTTATGTGCCTGGAGTGCCTATATGTGTATATGTGACATGTGAAAGTGATATTTCACTACCAACTTATATGAAAGAGCTCTAATCAGTTGGATTAAAGAAAAGTAAGTATTTATCAGACTAACAGAAACTAGCTAAGATGCCTTTTAGTTCACATGACTTTAGTAGTCTTTGGTAAGATGAATTTGATAAATTTAATCTCAAAATTCTCTCCAGTAGTCATATTATGTTAAATTAAGTAATCTTAGGTTTTTCACTGGGAATTTGGGTTATCAAGAGGTATAACAGCAGAAGACTAAGATGTGTTTTTGGTGAGGTTTATAAAAACATGAGGATATGGTTTTTCCTAAAGAAAATGTAATTTTTCCTAGTTTAGAGGCTATTTAAGGGTTGCCTTAAATAAAGTGATGCATGGCAGGTGAGCCCCAGAACTGGGGCTTATCCCAGGAGCATTCTTGGCTTCACCCTAGAAAGAATTCAAGGATGAGCTGGTGGTGTTAGACAGCAACTTTGATTGAAGCAGCAGTGCACAGCAGCAGAAAAGGTGCTGCTCCTTGCAGAGCAGGGACACCCCATAGGCTGTGTGCCCAGAGCAGAGCTCAGAGTTCTGCACTCACATTTATACCCACTTTTAATTACATGTGAGTTAAGCAGTAGTTATGTAGAAATTTCTAGGAAAAGGGTGGTAATTTCTGGGTCATCAGGTCATTGCCATGAAAAGGGGTGGTAACATCAGGTGTTGCCATCGCAATGGTAAACTGACATGGCACAGTGGCAGGCATGTCTTATGGAAACCAGCTTTTGCCTTGTCCCTGTTTTAGCTAGTCCTCAGTTTGGTCTGGTGACCAAGCCCCACCTCCAGAGTCAAGTCCCACATTCTGCCTAAAAAGGAGAAATTATATAGACAAAACTAAATGGATAAAAAGAAAAGGAAAGGGTTGGGAATGAGAAACCTTTGACTCCTGGGTGGCCACATGGTTACCCATCTTAAGGAGCTACAGCTGGACTGCATTCAGTTACTAAAGGTGAAAGCCACCAGTGGAATTTAGAGATAGATCATACTCCAGGAAGTTGGTTCACTGGATGCATAAGGAAATGCAAACTAATAAGGCAAAAGCAAAATATTCAATCCCATGGCTATTGTTATCTGTGATAGGTAAAATGACAGTGAATGAGTATTGGGTTTGGCCTTAAGGCTGGACCAAGCTCAGATGTGGGTTTGTCTCAGCTCAGGCCACCAGCCTCAAAGCTACCCGCAAAAGGAAAAATTACGGGCAGCAAAAGGTACTTCCGGAACCTGTGGTTACCTAGAAGAGAGTCAACATTGGAGAAGGGCAAAACCAAGTAACAAAACTAGATGGTATAATGTAAAGGAATTGTTCCATTTTGTAGATTGGTATCGTCAGCTTCCTAAGAAACCTTTACTAAAATGGACTGTAAGAGTAACTGCTTTAAGGATAGTACCCTTAATTTCAAATGCTACAGAATGAAAGAGCATCTTTGAGTTGATGTAGACCCACAGCTCACTATTAGATAATTGCTGATGAGTATATGTGATCCAAATGCACAGAAGGTTGTTGCTGAGAGAATGACCAGCCTAGTGGACCTGATAAACACCACTGTAAGGGCTGTTTACCCTGAGAGGACTGCCCAACTTTCCCTATAAAATACCAAGTGGATCACCCCAGAGGAAGCAGTTGATATGCTTCTTAAACAAGTCATATGGGACTGACTTTGTGATGACCAGATATTCACCCACTGAATGTGCCTATTACTCAGGTCACAGTAGATGCTGTGGTTAAGGGGACCCCTTCTCCATGGGCACCCCAGGTGACATTACTTCTGCAGAATCGAACAATGTCTTGAGAAGCCTTTTCAAATTTGCTATCCTTCATGGGTCTCACAGATGCTAATAAAACATTAAGATAGTTAACAAAAAAAAAATGGGAAATGCAAAAGGGAGTCAGGGGACTGATCCCAGAAGAGTGGAAATCTTCCAATGGTTATTAAAAAATGAAATAAACAAAATGAAAATTCATGGAGTTAAAACAAAGATCTTTACAACACTATCAAAGCTTGGATGGACCAAAGGGAGTTCCTACCACTCTCTCAACATTAAAGGGCCCCATACCAATTGTTTGGCATTTGCCCCAGATTAGAGAAATTTAAGAAAAATCAAAAGGCAAAGGTGATAATGAGAAGCTGACATTGCCTAGGGCAATGCTAAGGAAAAATGAGATTAAGATTCACAAAAGGGCCTGAGTCCCTTGGCTCAATCCCCTGCTGGGAACCCAAATCTTTTTTCACCAGAAAAAGTAAAATAGTCTGTGGGTAGAGAAGAAAAAATCCTGGGACCAGAACATAAGAATGTGAGGGATGATAGAATTATGAATTTTGAGATGTTTAAACAGGTTTATGTAAAGTAGTTGTGACTCCTTTACCTAAACGCCTTATGAAAATGGGTACTGTATCTGTAAACAAAAAATAAAATTCTAGGCCAGCCACAATGGCTCATGTCTGTAATCCCAGCACTTTGGGAGGCCAAGGTGGGCATATTAGTTGAGCTCAGGAGTTCGAGACCAGCCTGGGCAGTATGGTGAAACTCCATCTCTACAAAAAATGCAAAAATTACCCAGTTGTGATGGCACATGCCTGTAGTCCCAACTACTAAAGAGGCTGAGGTGGGAGGATCACTTGGGCCTGGGAGGTTGAGGCTGCAGTGAGCTGAGATCATGCCACTGCACTCCAGCCTGGGTGGCAGAGTGAGATCTTATCTCGGAAAAAAAAAGGAGAAAAAACCAGAGACCTTAACATTGAAAAAACAGACCCCTTAAGGCTGATACGAAACACTTACAATCTATTCTCTCTGAAGCCTGCTACCTGGAGGCTTCATCTGCATAATAAGAACCTTGGTCTTGGCCTGGCGAGATGGCTCACACCTGTAATCCCAGCACTTTGGGAGGCTGAGGCAGGCAGATCACCTGAGGTCAGGACCCTGCTCGAGACCAGCCTGACCAACAAGGCGAAATCCCATCTCTACTAAAAATACAAAAAATCAGCTGGGTGTGAGGGCTCGCACCTGTAATCCCAGCTACTGGGGAGGCTGAGGCAGGAGAATCACTTGAACCTGGGAGGTGGAAGCTGCTGTGAGCCGAGATCACACCATTGTACTCTAGCCTGGGTGACAGAGTGAGACTCTGCCTCAAAAAAAAAAAAAAAGAACATTGGTCTCCACAACCCTTATCTTATCCCAGACAGTCCCTTCTATTGAATCCAGATCTTTAGATAAACTCTTTCAACCAATAGACAATATGACAATCTTTGCATCTACCTATCACCTGTAAGTCCCCACTTTGAGTTGTGCTGCCTTTCCAGACCAAACAAATGTATATCTTACATGTATTGATTGATGTCTTTGTCTCCCTAAAATGTATAAAACCAAGCTGTAGCCCAACCACCTTGGCCAAATGTCATCAAGACCTCCTGAGGCTGTCATGCGTATGTCCTTAACCTTGGCAAAATAAACTTCTAAATTGATTGAGATTTGTTCCAGATACTTTTTGATTTATATATCTGACTGGGGAATGTTTCTCCCACCTAGTACTATAAAACTGAAGGTATGTAAATCTGCCCTTGGAGAAATGTTAATTGGACACGCTAAATGGGAACTGGTAAGATTGCCTGAGCCCACAGAATATAGAGTAGAAGCTGGAGTGCGAGCTGGAACAAAACCTCCACTTCATAGTCTTCCGTGGAGTGTTCATTGGGGCTTGTGGCAAAAGGCTGTGAGCACTTCCCAATGAACTGCTGGGACTTTGGACTCGAGAATTTCCACCTGAGGGGCATTTTCTGGCTTGCTGTGGGATGTTAAGTGAAGCTAACCCCATGCTAATGGAATCAATGGTGCCCAAAAGAGTTGTATGGTAAAACAAAAATGGTTTATATAGGATATGGCTGCCTGGGGAATGCAAGGAGGAGATACTCAGGAGCAGGGAGCCTGTTTTTCCCCTAGGAATGACTCAATGTGAGGAGCTGCTGGGTTCTACAGTGCCTGACGGCTCTCATCTGACTGACAAGAGCTGCTTAGCGTATGACAGCTCCAAGGCGAACACACGACATCTTGTTTGGAAGCTGCTGCTCTGGTTCAGGAAGACTCAAGGAAAGCTTTTTCTTTTCTTTTTTTTTTTTTTAATTTTTAATTTTTTTATTTTTATTTATTTTTTATTTTTTTTTGAGACGGAGTCTTGCTCTGTCGCCCAGGCTGGAGTGCAGTGGCACAATCTCGGCTCACGGCAACCTCCGCCTCCCAGGTTCAAGCGATTCTTCTGCCTCAGCCTCCCGAGTAGCTGGGATGACAGGCACACACCCACATGCCCGGCTGATTTTTGTATTTTCGGTAGAGACGGAGTTTCACCATATTGGCCAGGCTGGTCTCAAACTCCTAATCTCATGATCCACCCACCTCAGTCTCCCAAAGTGCTGGGATTACAGGCGTGAGCCACCGCGCTCGGCCGGAAAGCTTCTTCTTTTGAGTTATTTATAGTTTAGAGCAATCGGGTAAAGTAAGTTTTTATGAGTAAGTGTACCTTTCTCTCTATCTGAATTCTTCAAAATTCAGACACTATTAGCGAATATTCTGATTTTATGGCATTTAGTTGTTTGCATAGGTTTAGTAAGAATGTTTTCTTTTGAAATGGGACACAATTGGAGACCCTGGTTATTTTACCAAGGCTTTGACTGGAATAATATATTTTTAGGTAAAGTTCCAGCAAAGTCAACTTGAAAGGGGCCGGTATGGCCAATTGGTTCTTGCTGCACTTTATAATCAGGGAAGTATAATAAGCCTAAAACTTGTTTTGCACACAGATTGGTCTTACTACAATTTCTCTTTAGTAGAAAAGGAAGGCTAGAGAAAGGGAAATTTTTTCAAAGGAAAACTATACTACACCCATTACTAGATTCCAGCCCTGACTTTTGTTTGTTAGTGTGGATTGAATCATGAATTATTTCTTGGCTATAATAATCCTCTAAAGATGAGCCAGGTTATCATTTTCTTCGTGATGCTTTTAGTCAGTGCCCTAATGGAATAGATTCCTTTTTCTCTTCTGACACACACATTCTCTTTTGATTGTCAAATTATTAATGTTGTTTATCTCTCTTTGTTTTACTTCCGAGGAAACCAGAATATGGTATTCTGAAAAATAGAGGTGCAACTCTCCCTCATTGGCATCTCACTGGGCCCGAGCTGTTTTTCACTGCAAATACCTGCTGCTAAAATTATACCAGCACTCTTCCTCTAGGCCCACGACTGTCACAAATGAGGCAGGCATGTGAGATTGTAAGGGCCAATTTAGGGAGACAGAATTCATTCAGATCCTCCAAATCAAGGTTGGGCAGAGATGCCTGAATCAGTGGCAAAAAAAGGGACTTTGCCTCCTGGGTTATTATGTGGCCTGTTTTCATCCATCTCAACCATAAAGAATTTACTGTTTTCCATAGAATTCAAAGAAAATTACTGAGAATATATAAAGACACCTCATGACAAAGCCTCTTGGGTATAATACTCCCAGTTATGAGATTTATACAATTAGATATATCTGCATAAATTTATATATATACATATGTATGTATTTGTGTGTGTGTGTGTATACATATTTATACATATACAAACAGTTTGGTGGAATTTTAAGGGTTGATGAGTGCCCATCCACCTCCATTCCCTTCTGGCCTAGAATGTTTAAATTGGCTGTGAGTCTTTTGACTCTAAGCCCCTTGGCCATAGGGGTCCCACTGAGGGTCACAATGGACCCAGGACAGGCAGCCGAAACACCCAGTAACGCTATGGGACAAAATAAAAGTTTGGTGGCCATTGATGTTGCCTCTGGCAAGTCTTGGCCAGAGGAGGAGAATATAAACCAAAAATAAAATTCCAAGTTCCCCAACCAACTGAATGGAAGGGCATTCATTCTAAAGTAAACTTGAAACATTAGTTCAGGCCATGATGAGAATGGGTGGTCAGACATGCCTCATACCTTCCTGCCTTTGGAATTCAGGCACAGCTGACCAGCATTCACATTAAAACAAGAACTTAAGGCTGACAAAACAGACCCTTCGTAGCCATAAGATACCGCTGTAATGTCAGATAGCAGGCCCTGATAGAAATCAAAGTATTTTACCCCTTACCTTAAGCCATGTATCCCTTGCTATTGATTCCAGGTCTTTTACATAATAACTCTTTTAACCAGTCAGAAAATCTTTGAATCCACCTATGATGTGGAAGCCCCTGTTGGAGTTGTCCCGCCTTTCCAGATTGAACCAATGTACATCTTACATGTATTGATTGATGTCTTCTGTCCCTCTAAAATGTGTAAAACTAAGCTGCACCCCAAACACCTGGGCACATGTTCTCAGGATCCCCTGGGGCTGTCACAGGCCATTGGTTATTCATAATTGATTCAGAATGAATCTCTTCAAATATTTTAGAGTTTGACTCTTTTTCTCAATAATTGGCAGATCAGCGCAATGGCTAAATGATGAGGGAGAACTCTAGGAAGCTTTTGAAAAGGCTCAAGAGGAAGACAGAAGTCTTCTTTGGAAACAATACAGTAGAGGAAAAGGGAGGGGGCTAGTATTTTGCAAGACGAAAAAAATCAAAAGTTTGCAGGACAAAAAATTCTCTTCTCTCACTGTATGCCCCCCACCCTGCTCTAAAAAAAATTATGTTTTCCAAGACTGACCAAAAAAGAAGCTCATAAACTGGCATCTTTTAAACCACTCTATCTTGCCATCCTTACGCACAAAAATGCAGAGACATAGTCTTCATCTATACAAAGGTTCTGGAAGAAAAAGCAGGAAAAAGTCCAAACAATTCAACTGATATAAATTCCCTCACATTTAAAAAAAGCAAAACCCCAGTTACACCTTATAAATCCTTCATCATTCTAAGATAAACTCAAATGGCTTACAATTCTTCCTTATATTATATGAAGTGTTTTGAGCCTATGTTCATGACAATATTGGTCTGTAGTTTTTTGTTCTTAGAATGTCTTTGTCCAGTTTGTATATCAGATTATTAGATTAATGCTGGCCTCCTAAAATGAATTGGCATGTTCCTTACTCCTGTTTTCTAAAAGAGTTTTGCAGGGTTGGGATTATTTATTTTTTGTCTATCTTATAGATTTGCCAGTGAAGCAATTTGGAACTAGAGACTTATTTGAGAGAAAGTGTTAAATTACGAGCTCATTGTTTTCATATTGAGAACTATTCATGTTTTCATTGTGTCTTTCAAAGAATTTGACCATTTCATCCAAATTGTCAAGCTTATTGGCATACAGTTTATTTTTACATTCCACCTTTACCATTTAAGTATCTGGGACCGGTAGTGGTATCCCCTCTTTCGTTACCAATATATAGGTGATTTGCAGTTTCTCTTTTTTCTTTTCTTTTTTTTTTTTTTTCTTTTCTTGAGACAGGGTCTTGCTCTGTCACCCAGGCTGGAGTGCAGTGGCCTGATCTTGGCTCACTGCAGCCTCAACCTCCCAGGCTCAAGCCATTCTCCCACCTCAGCCTCCCTCTCTTGAGTAGCTGGGACCACAGACATGCACCACCATACCTAGACAATTTTGTTTTTTTTGTTTGTTTGTTTGTTTGTTTTGTATTTTTTGTAGAGTCAGGATTGTGCTATGTCACCCAGGCTAGTATCCTAGTATCGAACTCCTGAGCTCAAGCACTTTTTGTTTTCTTAATCAGTCCATCCAAGGTTATTCCATTTTATTAATCATCTTAAATAAAACACCTTTGATGTCATTGCTTTTCTCTACAGCTTGTCCATTTGCTGTTGTCTTGACTGCCAGTCTTACCTGTGTTGTTTTCAACCTTCTCCTGATTTGGCATTTAACCTGCTGAGCCCCTTTGCCTCTTCTGGCCTGTGTTGCAGTCCGGAAGCCACCTCCAGACAGAAAGTTTGGGTGAGCATAGGGCGTGCCCATCAGCTTCCATTTTCTTGGGACCACAGTCCTGCTCGGCCTGTTGTCTAAATTCACAAACCGTGTTTTGGTTTTTTAGATTTTTATAATGGGAGGGTGATTCCAGCCCCTATTGCCCCTTTAGAACCAGAAGTAGAAGTCGTCATCCTCTTTCTTGAAGCTCCAATCCTGTCACATGCCACAGTGCTCCTGGTCCCCATGAATGTTATGATGATCAAGTCCAATAGGCAAATGGTCCCCCAAGGCACTGACTTCAACATAACCCATCACAAGTGCTTGTTTGATTGATGATGAGCCACAGAGTGGCATGGATCACCAGTGTCACTGACCAGAAACTCATCACGACAGTCAAGGCCAAGGACATGACCAAACCAAGCCTAAATTACCATGTTTCCCCTAGGACCTTTCAGTACCAGCAGGGACACAGTCAGTAGGCAGAAGCTACCTATAATTTTGAAGGGATGATCTTAAAGAATTGTTCACTAGAGACTGAAAAACCAAACACGTACAAAGGGAACACTAAGGTATTAGAGAAGAAACAACTGCAAAAAGAGCCGCCACCCCGGGCACGGGGAACAAAGGAAGGAAGTTAAAACTATTGAAATTTAGGACCAGTGGGGACGACTAGAGTGTAATTCAGGCCCCTGAGGGGGCTCCCAGCCAGTTAGTGGCCAGTGTCTCCAACAGGAAACAATGGGTCTGGTTTTTCAAGTGCTGGGAAAACTGCAGAAGTCCACTGCTGCTACAAGGTGGAGAAAGTTGCTGCGGGCCAGGCATGGTGGCTCACAGCTATAATCCCAGCACCTTCGGAGGCCAAGGCAGGAGGATTGCTTGAGATCAGGAACTAGAGACAAGCCTAGGCAATGTATCGAGACCCTATCTCTATAAAGTTAAAAATTTAAAAATTAGCCAGACAAGCCTCTGGTAGCCTGGCACTTGGTGCATGCCTGAAGTCCCAGCTACTCAGGAAGCTGAGGAAAAAATGCTTCAGCTTGCAAGTTGGAGGCTGCAGTGAGCTGTGATCATGCCACTGCACCTCAGCCTGGCCAACAGAGTGGCATTCTGTCTCAAAAAGAGAGAGAGAGAGAGTTGCTGGGGCAACTCTGACAGGGAGTGAAAGTGAAGCTCGAAAACATAAAGGAAGATGGACTAATTGGAAAGAGTCAGACAATTGGAGGGGTAGGGGAACTGGAAGGAGTGGGACAATAGGAGGGGTGGGACAATTGGAAGAGTGGGACAGTTGGAAGGGTGGGACAACTAGAATGGTAGGACAATTAAAAAGGTAGAACAATTGGAAGGAGTGGGACAATTGGGAGGGTTGGACAATTGGAACGGTGAGACAATTGGAAGGGTGGGACAATTGAAAGAGTGGGACAATTAAAACTGTGGGGAAATTGGAAGGGTGGGACAATTGGAAGAGTGAGGCAATTGGAAGGCAGTACAATTGATAGGAGTGGGACAACTGGAAGGAGTGGGACAACTGGAAGGTGAGACCATTGGAAAGGTGGATCAATTGGAAGGTAAGACCATTGGAAAGGTGGGTCAATTGAAAGAGGGGGACAATTGCAAGGGAAGGGCAATTTAAAAAGTGGGACCATTGGAAAGAATGGGGCAATTGGAAGGAGGGGGACAACTAAAAGAGTGGGATAATTAAAAGGATGAGGCAATTGGAAGGCTGGGACAATTGGAAAGAGTGGGAAAATTGGAAGGGTGGGACAGTTGGAAGGCTAATGCAATTGGAAGGTGGGATAATTGGAGGGTGGGACAACTGGAAGGAGTGGGACAAATGGAAGAGTGGGACAATTGGAAGGAGTGGGACAAATGGAAGAGTGGGACAATTGGAAGGAGTGGGACAATTGGAAGAGTGGGACAATTGGAAGGAGTGGGACAAATGGAAGAGTGGGACAATTGGAAGGAGTGGGACAAATGGAAGAGTGGGACAATTGGAAGGAGTGGGACAATTGGAAGAGTGGGACAATTGGAAGGAGTGGGACAAATGGAAGAGTGGGACAAATGGAAGAGTGGGACAGTTGGAAGGAGTGGGACAATTGGAAGGGTCGGGCATTTGGAAGGGTGGGACAGCTTTAAGGTGTAAGACAAGTGGAAGGCATGGAACTTATGAAAGGGTGGGATGGACAATTGAAAGGAGTGGCACTATTGGAACTGTGGGACAACTGGAGGGAGTGTGGCACTTAGAAGGGTGAGATATTTGGAACGTGTGGGGCGATTGGGAGCACTTCCCCCACACCCCTGGGCCATCCTTGAGTGACCACCCACTGGTAGGGCCTCCCAGAGCGGTGGCAGAGCCCAGGCATGGTTTACAGAGCCTCGGGCACCTGGCAGCTCGGATCCTGGTTTAGGAAGGGAGGATTTGAAGCTGAGACACAACTCAGCAAGCGGCACTGCTGCCTGTCAGATACCAGCCCCGCATGGACGTCAGACACCAGCGCGACACATTCATCAGACACCAGCATTGCACAGACGCCAGACGACCTGTGTGCGGCCCCTCCGTTTTGGGGATGGAGGATGCCGGTGCCCTGGGGGATGCCTGCTGATGTAGTGACAGGTCAAAGGCCACGTGCGGGAAACTTGCTCTCACTTGGTCCGCAAGAGGAGAGGTCAGGCGGACTGCGCAGAGTGGGAAACGCTCCGGAGCAAATCCGTGCTGTTTCTGCACTCTTCTCTACCTCGGAGATTTTTCTAAAGACAAAGATGAGAAAAGAGTTGCTAGGGCCTGGACTCGGGGAGGAACAGAGGCCAAAAAATGACCTTGTTTTCCTTCTCTTGGCACGTCAATTGCGATCTCCCTTAAGGCAGGGCACTGGAAGGAAAGGCACGGTCTGAAACGGGACTTGAAATCACTGAGTTCACGAGGTCTCCCGGAGCCTGACGCTGCTGTATGTGTTTGATTCTCCTCGGCCGGGGACCGCGCGGCAGCTTCTTGACACCGGCCATCTACTCTGTGCCTGCGAACGAGGCAGGAGGGACGGCCTCACGCACATCCCCGCTCCTCCCCGCGGTCCCACACTGCCTGGAGAGCTGGGGCCGGCAGCCTGTGCTCTGCGGAGAGAAAAACACATTTTTGCTGCAAGGACAAGTTCCGCCGGTAGCCCGGCTCTCAGCCGGCCCCTCCGAGGCACAGATGGAAAGAAGTGGTCCCTAAAGGGCCCTACAGGGCTTGGTGTCTCTGAGCCAGGAGTGCCAGTGAAGTCACAGCTTGGCTGGGCTCCACCCAGAGATCTCGTGGTTTCCTCTGCCTGCCAGGCCTGCCTGGAAGGCTGCAGGGAGGTTCAGGGTTTCTCTTGCTGTCCACACCTGGGCGAGAGCTGAGCGGAAGAGAAGGGGTCCTCAGAGAGACACCTTCCTGACCGGCCCCATTCCAGCTGGATGCCATGTGACTCGGAGGAGCTGGTGGACACTGAACAGGAGCCGCCCAGAGGCTCTGGGGACTGGAGCCCTCGGCCGCGGCCAGGATAGATCCAAGGCCCAGGGTCAGAGCAGGCAGGGCTCGGCCAGTCCTCTGCCCCAAACGGTGAGTAGCGCAGGTGGCTGGATCAGGGTGGGTCTCTGGGGCCGGCCCAGGCGCTCGGCATTTTCTGGGCTCTTTTGCTGGCCAGATGGTGGCAGGGGTGGGGCGTGGGCAACAGCAGATGCTATCAACAGGGAGCTCTCCAGGCTGCAGCCTCCGCCCTCTGACGGGCCGCACCACCTGGTCCGCAGCCAGCCCTGGGCTGAGTCTGGAAGAGGACGATAGCTTGGGTGATGGCTCCCCAACCCCCCACCCCCGGTGGCTCTGTCTCCTGTCTGCCTTGCTTCCTCCATGATCTAGAGTGTTCCCTGCAGGTGCAGACTCTCAAGGGGAGTCATGGGGGCAGCCGGGGATAGGCCCTCTCCTCCCTGCCACACCTGGGTGCTCAGCCTCAGGGCTTCTCAGTATTGGCTGTCTGGGCGGGACACAGAGCCACTCCTGGACCACCCAGGGATGGGGAATGCTGTGCCTCCCTCCTCTTCTGTTCCATCGTCCTTCCCCGCCTCCTCCCCTCCTTCTCCTCCCCCTCCTCCTCCTCCCTCCTGTTCTCTTCCATCGTCCTCCCCCGCCTCCTCCCCTCCTTCTCCTCCCTCTCCTCTTCCTCCTGCTCACCAAGGATGCAACAAACTCCTCTACTCCCCACAGTCCTGTAACCCAACTGTGGCGACCCTTCCTACAGAGCTCTGCCTCCCTCCCGAGCCCCCAGTGGGGCACATGGTCCCACAGGGAGACCTCCTCCAGGGTCACAGCAGAGAGGGGGCAGCAGCAGGGTCTGGCTGAGCTCCGTGGCTCTAACCCCTTGTCCCCCTGTTCTCCTCCCTGTTTCCTTCTCTGTCCCCCATCTCTTCATGCCTCTCCCCTTCCTGCACTCTCCCCTCTCCCTCTATGTCCATCGCTTCCCTGCCATGCTCTCTCCCTGGGGCCCACCCATGAGGCCCGTGTCCTCCTCAGCCATGCAGGAGGTGAGATAGGAGAGGGACCATGGCCCTTGGTGGGCCACAGGCTGGAGAAACCCCACCTGTTGCTTTGGGGCTGGAGCTTGCTGGTAGATCCCGGAGATAGCTCCGTCCATGGGTGGACGGGACTTGTGCCTGGGAGGGGGTCCACCATCAACAGACTTAAGACCTCCCAAAACTCATCTCTGCCTCCCTCTGGGCCTGAGGGTTGGTGACCCCCCCAAGCTATCCTGAGTAGGAGAGCATCTGTCCCCCTCCCCACATCTCCCCACCTGCCATGGCAGTGATGCCCCGTCTGCCCCACTCAGGGTGTCCTCCTGATGATGCTGGCCCAGGTGGGGCTCCCTCCACCACCACCTCACCTCCCACCCATGGTCTGCCTTCCCGGGGCCTTGGGTGCTAGGATGGAGCACAGGGACAGGAGGAAGAGCCCTATATCTCCAACCAGGCTTGACTCCACCCGCAGGAGATTCAGACTGGACCACGGGCAGGACTCAGCTTCCTGAGGTGCTGGGACTGGGGCCTCCTCTCCACTGAGCCCCCCACCCCCATGCCCACCCCTGAGGCGGGGACAACCTCAGGCTGTCATTTCACCCCAGTCAAACAAAAGACCACAGAGCTGAGGGTGTAAGCCGAGGGAGATGACCAGCACCTCACGGGGTGGCTGGCACCTCTGTGCTCAGCGATAGCCCCGCCCCGGGCCACCTCTCCCCAGCATCCCAGCACCGCAGCGTCCCCCTGCATGGTCTCGGGTGCTCCTATCACTGGAGGGAGACAGCAGGGGTTCTGAGCACAACCTTGAGGTGGGAAGAAGCCGCTAAGACCAGCTATGGGGGTTTCTGCTTGTACCCCCACCCTCCTCACCCCAAACCCCAGCCCTCCCAGGACACAGGAGGACCAGCCACCACCAAGGTGGGAGGGGCACCTGGTGTCGGCCCCTGACCCCAGCCAGTCTCTGGGGAGAGGCAAGGCCCCATCCCCTCTCCCCCAACCCCAAGAGGAGAAGCTGGGGTCACCAAGCACTCAGAGACACATGACGGGCCAGGTAACCACAGGGGCAGCATGGGGCCGGGTATCTGCAGGCATGTCTCCGGCTCTGAGCACCTGGCAGTCTCCTAGAGTCTATTACTTGCTGTATTTCTGGCAAAGCTGTGATGAAGACTCCGATTCCAGCCTAGGTCCCCTGGGATTTGTGCTGCCTCCCAGGACTCAGTACCCCTCCCGCAGGACCTGTCCCCGTGAGCCGACTGCCTTGGGAGGGGATGGAGGGAGGCTGGAGACGCCATGGAAGCTCAGGGCCCCTCCCAGCCCCATCATCAGACAGCTCCCTCTTCTCCCCATGGGGAAAGGGCGGGCAACGTTGAGCAGGATGCAGCCTCCTCATGTGCCCCCTACCCTGCAGAGGGCTGGAGTCCTGCTGTAGGACAGCAGGGACATGGCCAGGGGAAAGGGAGTTTTCCTGTGGCCCTGATGTGGCTGCATGGTGTGACCAAGCTGGAGGGCTGGGGACTGGGAGCCCACTGGCAAACAACCCCTCATGGATGTCAAGGAAAGGCCTCAAAGAGTTGAGGGCTGCTTTAAGATGATGACGAAAAGCCCCACAGCCACTGTAAGCTGTCCCTCTGTGGTCACACCACTCATTAGACATGGGCGGTGCCTCCTGCTCTGCCTATGACTTTAAAATAAGTCATATTTTATTCTTTGGGAGTCCAAGGCAGGCGGATCACGAGGTCAGGAGTTCGAGACCAGCCTGGCCAATATGGTGAAACCCTGTCTCTACTAAAAATGCAATAAATTAGCTGGGCATGGTGATGCACGCCTGTAATCCCAGCTCTTCGGGAGGCTGAGACAGGAGAATCACTTGAACCCGGGAGGCAGAGGTTGCAGTGAGCCGAGATGGTGCCATTGCACTCTAGCCTGGGGCAACAGAGCCAGACTCCATCTCCAAAAAAAAAAAAAAAAAAAAAAAAAAAAAGCCCATTCTGAGGATCAAGGCACCACTAGCAACAGGGAGCCCCATGGGTCTCAGACCCTCTCCCCACATCTCCTGGTCCCTGCCCCCACCTGGCCTACAGGGACCAGCCCCACGGAAGGCTCTTGAGGCCAGGTAACCATGGGGAGGGGAGGAATGGGGACACCTTCCTCCTGAGTGTCTTAGGGAAGAGAAGCTTAGGTCAGGTGGCTGAGGGTGGAAATGAGAGAGGGGTCTTCTCCTGGAGGGTCTCACCATTCCCTTGGTCACCCACCCAACTCTCATCTCCCCTGATGTGGGGAGGAGCAGGGGGCATGGATTCCTGAGCCCCAGACTCAACTGTTGTGGTTTACAGGGGCATCAGGAGAGAGAGCGAGCAGAACACACTCCTGCAGCATCCCCTGGCCCCCCGCCCCATGATGGAGCCCAGAGAAGCTGGACAGCACGTGGGGGCCGCCAACGGCGCCCAGGAGGATGTGGCCTTCAACCTCATCATCCTGTCCCTCACCGAGGGGCTCGGCCTCGGTGGGCTGCTGGGGAATGGGGCAGTCCTCTGGCTGCTCAGCTCCAATGTCTACAGAAACCCCTTCGCCATCTACCTCCTGGACGTGGCCTGCGCGGATCTCATCTTCCTTGGCTGCCACATGGTGGCCATCGTCCCCGACTTGCTGCAAGGCCGGCTGGACTTCCCGGGCTTCGTGCAGACCAGCCTGGCAACGCTGCGCTTCTTCTGCTACATCGTGGGCCTGAGTCTCCTGGCGGCCGTCAGCGTGGAGCAGTGCCTGGCCGCCCTCTTCCCAGCCTGGTACTCGTGCCGCCGCCCACGCCACCTGACCACCTGTGTGTGCGCCCTCACCTGGGCCCTCTGCCTGCTGCTGCACCTGCTGCTCAGCGGCGCCTGCACCCAGTTCTTCGGGGAGCCCAGCCGCCACTTGTGCCGGACGCTGTGGCTGGTGGCAGCGGTGCTGCTGGCTCTGCTGTGTTGCACCATGTGTGGGGCCAGCCTTATGCTGCTGCTGCGGGTGGAGCGAGGCCCCCAGCGGCCCCCACCCCGGGGCTTCCCTGGGCTCATCCTCCTCACCGTCCTCCTCTTCCTCTTCTGCGGCCTGCCCTTCGGCATCTACTGGCTGTCCCGGAACCTGCTCTGGTACATCCCCCACTACTTCTACCACTTCAGCTTCCTCATGGCCGCCGTGCACTGCGCGGCCAAGCCCGTCGTCTACTTCTGCCTGGGCAGTGCCCAGGGCCGCAGGCTGCCCCTCCGGCTGGTCCTCCAGCGAGCGCTGGGAGACGAGGCTGAGCTGGGGGCCGTCAGGGAGACCTCCCGCCGGGGCCTGGTGGACATAGCAGCCTGAGCCCTGGGGCCCCCGACCCCAGCTGCAGCCCCCGTGAGGCAAGAGGGTGACTTGGGGAAGGTGGTGGGGTCAGAGGCTGGGGCCAGCCGGACCTGGAGGAGGCCTTGGTGGGTGACCCGGTCATGTGCTGTCAAAGTTGTGACCCTTGGTCTGGAGCATGAGGCTCCCCTGGGAGGCAGCTGGAAAGGCAAGGTCTCTACATGCCCAGGCAGGCGGGCCGGGTCTCTGGGGAGAAGGCCGAGGAACGTGCATTTTTGGGAAACCTCCCCAACGGTTCACGCACTGGCACTCGAGAGCTGCTGCTGCTACCCATTCCCTGCTCAGCTGCAGTGAGGAGACCCCGGAAAGCAAGGAAGCAAGGCCAGACGCCAGGTGAGGGGCAGGTCCAGGCCTTTCCGCAGGCCACCTCCCCTCCCACTCCAGCTTCCTCAATGCTGCAGGTGCACCCACAGATAACACAACCATCCCCTCAGCTCGCCTTGTGCCCGCTGTGGAAGCTAAATTGACCCTAAAATGGAAGACTGCCCAAAACTTGACCCCCTCCCCGTCCTTGATCATCAGCCAGTTGCTCAAGGCCGTGCACCTCAGACCGGGACGATGCAACCCTCACTCGGAGCTTCAGAAAAGCCGGCCCCATGGGTGTCCCTGGATATTAGGAGGGTGCACCCTGGGTGGGTGGAGAGGCTTCTTACAGCCCCACCCAGCAGCCTGCAGCCCTGTCTCCCCACAGGACCCAGGTCTTCAGCAACCAGAAAGCTTCACACCGGCCCCATCCAAGGCAGTTCACCCGCCTCTGTCCTGAGCAAGTCCCGCTCCAGAGGATCCCTCTGAGGAAGGAACCCAGGCTTCACCCCTCAACAGGTTTCCGAGCTTCCGCTGAGTGCCAGGCCTGGCTGCCATCCAGGAGCATGTGCCAGGGGTGCTAGAGTGGGGGCTTTGGAGCCCACAGCCTGGGCTGAGCCCCGCTAGCCACCCCACTGTGCTGCCAAGGCCATCTCTGAACATCCCTACGCCTCTGTTTGCTGGTCTGTAAAATATGAGAACCCAGTGCTTTGAGGCCTGTCCAGCCTCTCGTGAGCCCAAGAGAAATGTCTGTCGATTCTACTGCCACCAACGCCACACATCCAAGTCCACAGTGCAATTCTTAGCCACAGACCAAGGCATCTGAGAGTGTTTTCTTTGATTTCTGACTCCGGCCTCCATGGCTGGTGATGGAAGGACATTCCCTCTGGACCATGACTGAACCAGCCCCTCTTGAGTCTGGGTGTGAGTCGCAGATCCCTGGTCAGCACCCTGGAATCCGGCTGCACCGGGCCCCTCCCAGCCCACACAGTGCGTTCACCTCAGGCTCCCGCACGTGCCCAGCAGGCCTGGGTCCAGGTATCCCTTGAGACTGGGAGCCCCAGGGGCTGGACCCACCTCTCCTAGAGCACCTCCAGCCCCCACTTGGGGACTTACCTCCTCCCAAATTATCTCCAGCCCAGGATCTGCACAGGGCCCTCTCTCCCCACCTCCAGGACGTGATTAGCAACTTCAGTTCCTCAGCTGGAGAAACAAGAACAGAAAGGGAAGTGGCCTGTCCACAAATTCCACTTTCAGCCCCAGGACATAAACTTCCCCCAGAACAAGGAAGAACCAGGAGGAAAAGCACAGATTCATCTCACGGACATGACCTCACCGTGGACGTGTTCCCGGGGAATCCTCGTAATAATGTAGGAAGGTGCTCCCACTCTGCAGATGAGCCACCAAGGCTCCGAGGGGCTATGTGGCCGTTCAGGACCACAGGAAAGCTGCAAAGCCAGAAGGTGACTCCCAGCACCACCCTCCCACGCCACACGCTCCGCCTCACTGGACCAGGGCTGGCTCAGGTGTCCTCAGCCCCACACTGGCTCCCCCAACCCTGGCCCCATCCCCACGCAGACCCCTTTGCTGCATAAGGGTTCAGAGAGATTGCGGACCCTTAGAATGCTCACTTCTTCCCAGAGAGCCTGCTCTCAGCATCCAGGGGATTGGAGTGGCTCTAGATTCCTCCTTATTAGCCCCTTCTCGAGGAGTCCGGGAAATGTGGCCTCATCTGAGGTCTCCATGGAAACTGGGCCCAGCTCGTCCCCACTCTAGTAGCTGCTGTGGCAGCAGGTATATGGCCTGATGGCCCAGGATGCTGGTGGGGTATCCCCTTGGCCCCAGATGTGCCAGCTTGGCCTCCAGTTCTGTGGTCCTTGAGCCCTCAGGACATTAGGACCATGTGGGCTGGCCTCCAAACTGGAGGCTGAGCTTCCGTCCAGGCTCCCACCTGCCCCTGCCCAGCCTGCGCCTCCTCTGACCTCCCCCGCTGCACCTCCTCTTCTGCCCCCAGAGCCACAAGGCCCCACCAGGGACCCCTGGCTGCCCTAGACCCCACCCTGCAGGACCCTGGGGCCTCACTGCTCAAAGGCCACCTCCACCTGGGTCGCAGGCAAAGCTCCTCGGTCAGTGCCCAGCCCACCCCATCCACCCGCAACCCCGGGCCCCTGCGGGGCTGCCGCGGTCAGCACAGAATTCCCAAGAACAGGCGGCTACTCCTGGGGGCAGCCAACATTCCAGGGAGCCTGTGTAACCCGCTCCGTCCTCAGGGCCCAGGGAGGCTGTGGGTGAGGACTGTGTGTGTGAGGACAGGAGCGGAGACAGGCCTGCGGCCAGCTTCCCTATCCCCTCCCCAGCGCCCGGGTACGAGTCTGTAAATCAGCCTGCGCTGCATGGCGTCTTCACGGGGAGAGGCAGGCTCACTCCTCAGCTAGTTCATTAGCTCACACGCTGGAAAAATAAAACCAAACATCACACTTAAAACATGACCACGGCTTTAGTTTTGTTGTTCTCATGAAAGCGCGCAATTCTTCCACAGCCCTGATGCTTTTCCTCTGAAACACACCCCATCCCCCCTGACGGTGCCCGCATGATGCCCAGCTGGAGAGAGGCTGCTCCTGGCAGCTCCCAAGGTCATGGGGTTTCCTGTCCATTCCGCCTCCCGCTTCCCCACCACCCCCATGTGTGGCCACTGAAGCGTGTCAGACCTGGTTATTCTAATGAAGGGGTGATTTTCTTTTAGCTATTGGATCTCACTAGCAGCAGAGCCAGTGCGTTCCGAGTCATTACTCTGCCTTGGGTGCTGGGTCACACATGTAACATGCATAATGTCACATGAACTTCCCAAGTAACCCGCGGAAAACTGAGGCTTCGAGAGACTGAGAGGGCCGGGCAGAAGCCACCGCCGGACACAGCAGAGCCCAGTGTTGGCCGCCACCGAGGGTCTCTGGTTTCTAAGCTGGGTGCTCCCAGCCCGGAATCCTCTGTCCCCTGGTGGAAGGAGGGAGCAGCAGCCCTGTGAGAGCCCCTAGCTCCAGGCCACGCAAGACTCCGACCTGGGAGGAAGGAGGGAGGGAGGCAGAAGGAGGGCAGCCTCAGGTCCAGTCCACCAGCCTCCACAGCTCCTGGTACTCCCTGTTCCACCCGGATCTTCTTTTCTGTGTTCTGAAGCTTTGGCATCTGGGGCCTTGCAGACCCCAAGAGACGGCCCTTCCCAGGGTCAGTCAATTGCTAGAGAGTGACAACGCCTTCATGAGCTCACCTTTCAAATGCAGACCCACCCCCAGCCCCTCCTCTATCCAGCTCCCACACTCCCAGCCACTATCCCTGCCCTCATCACCCCAGGGCCAGATTCCAGACCACCAGGGACAGGCTCTAGGACCCAGAGCTCTGAAATTGTTCCAGCTGCCAACCCTAAACCCACTTATACTGGCTGCCTCATCCACTCCTTCCTCCAGAAACTATGAGGACGCTCCCATCCACATTCCCCCTCCCCTCTCCCTCTGCCTCCTGACCAACCCAGTACTGCCCTATGTGGCCCCATGGGGTCACCCTCCCCTCCTCCTGGGAGCTATGAGTTAGCAACCATCTCTTCAACGGCAGCATCTCCTGACCTGGCGGCCTCACCTATCTGAATAATAATAATAATAATGCCTATATTAAAGCACTCCCGCTGTCGAGCTCCTCTGAAGACAGATGGGGGTGAGGGTGCGCAGGACCCTGCTGGACACTCAGTCCCCACTCTCCATCTGACCTGGGGGACCTGGGAAATCCTGTGTTCTCCCTTGGGCTGCGGTCAGATAGGATGGTGGTGGCATGGAAACCACGTGAATGGAGACGGGTTCCTGGCGAACCGGCTGAATCCTGCACTGTTCCTGCCTCTTCAGTGGCCCCCAGCCAGCCCCCACATAGATCACCACTGAGTCCCCACAACACATCCGAGGTGATAAAATCATTGCCCACACTTTCAGACTAGGACACTGCCCAGGGCCACAGAGCTGCTGTAGGGTGAGCTGCACAGTCGCCACGCAGCCCCAGCCCGCAGCTCAAACCATCAGACAAGCTCAGGACAGCTGTGTTCAGACAAACCACACCTGGGCGTCTGCACCACCTGGACGAGCAATTTAAGTTTCCGACGTCTTGGTTTCCCCATCTGCAGGCAAGGATGACAAGGTCGCCGTCTCAGACGGCGCTGTGGGGGCGCGTGGGAGGCTGGGTGGAGTGGCCGGCACTCACTCAGAGCGCTCTCCTAGAATGGCACCGGCACCACCTGAGGCCCAGTGGAGCAGCACGCACTCACGCAGAGCGCTCACCTAAACGGTACCAGTGTGCCACCTGCTTTGCAGTCGTTTCTTGCAGCAGCCGGAACAAATAACCACAACCGGATGGCTTCACACAGCAGGACTTTATTCCCTTGGTTACAGAGGACAGAAGTCTGAGATCAAGGTGGCAGCAGGGCCGCGCTCCCTGAGGGCTCCAGGGGAAGGTGCTTCCTCATCTCTTTCAGCTTCTGGTGGCTCTGGCCCTCCTTGGCCTGTGGCTGTGTAACCCCTGCTGGCCTCCAACCTCACGTGGCCTCCCCCTGCTCTCCAGTGTCCCTCCTCTCCTTTCCTGTATAGGGACACTTGTCATTGCATTTAGGGCCCACACAGATACTCCAGGACGAGCTCATCTCAAAATCCTTGTATCTGCCAAGGGCCTTTTCTCCAGGAAGAGCTCGTGCACAGCTTCCAGCGACTGGGGACGTGGACACATCTTCTGAGGCCACCGTCGGCCATGACACGATGGGGCGGGCATTGGCTCTGTCCTCCTTGCAACACCGGGAGCAGTTGCTCCCCCCACGGAGGCTCCCTCCACGTATTCCACCCGCACCAGACCCCTCCCAGAGAGAACAAGACAGACCAAAGCCCAGCCTCGGCGGGGCCGACACCCGTGCCCCATAGGGGATACCCAGCCAGGTGAGAAAGTGGAAGCATGGCCTAGACGGTGGGCAAACACGAGAAGGGGCTGTGGGAGGGGTCAGGGGTGATGGAGAAACCAGGGTTGGTGGCTGCCTGGGCCTGACCGGGGCTGGCCGAGCTGCGCAGGACCTCCTCCCTAAGAACTTCACTCCAAGCTGCCTCAAACGACTGCCCTTGCCCAGCACTGTTTGAAGTGCCCAATAGAAAGCGACCCCAGAAATTAGGCCATCCCACTCCCAATGGCCCTTAGACAGGGGAAGTCCTCCACGGGCAAAGGGTTGCGGTCGCCGTCGGAGACCTGGGATAGGAGACTCTGCTACCTGGGATAGAAGCCGGGCGCCCTGCCTGGCTCGAGGATGTACGAGGGATCAAAACTCTTCACCTTGCGCACTGTGGCTGAGGCTGAGCTCCTCATCCCGCCCCTGATGGTGAGGCAGCCAGGAGGGACCCAGGCAGCCGGTCTCCCTCTGTGCGTCCCTCTGGGCCCCTGGTGACTGCAGGTGACCGGAGCTACCAACTAAGTTAATAGAGATGCTCCAAGTTTCACCCAAACAGGAGGCAGGTAAGCAAGGCTTGGAGGCGCTAGTTGAAACAGGCCTGGACGGTGACCTCGAGGAGGAGGTGGAGCCACGCCGGGAGAGGTCCCGGAGAGCAGCGAGGACCGGCATCTGGGGTGGAGGCAGCAGGCAGGGTGGCAGGAGGTGCCCCTGGGCCACACGAGCTGTGCCGTGCGTTTCAAAGCCATGTGCAACAATGCCGGGAGCTGGGTAGCCGGCATGCCCCCGCCCAGAGCTGCACAGGCTGCTGGTTTGTGTTGCAGAAGTGATTTCCGAAGCCAAGTCCATTTGAGAAACGTGAAGAGAAACAGCATCTTTACGACCGAATTTCTGGCTTGAGCTGACACACTCTGCACCCCACCCAGGAGCTGCGGAACGCAGTCCGTGGAAGGAAAAACTCTCTTATCAAGAACATCTTACTGTCCAGTGTTCTGCAGAGCAAAATGCGGAAAACAATCCGTCAACGGCTGGGAGCCCAGGCTCTGAGGCAAACAGATGGACAGTGAGGGGGTCTCCTTAGGAAGGGGTGGGGGCCGCCCCTGCAGACCACCCACAGACGCAGTGGTCGGCTGACACATTAGGAGAGCCAGTCCCAAGCCTGGGAACCCAGGCTTCGAGCTGTCCATAAACGGTCAGTCCAGTGAGAGGGGGAAACCAAGGCACAGAGAGGTTGGGTTATTCTCTCAAGGCCACACAGCCAGGCCCCTGTCCACAGTTCTAGGCCCCCTGTGCCCACAGCCAACCAAAGACTAGCAGGAGCAGCCCAACATCAGTGGAGTACCCGGAAGGTGGCCCAGCCTCACTGGGCACAGAGGGTCTCCATTCTCCTTCTCCCTCCCCTCCATGCACCAGGTGAGGTGGGAGCGGGTGGAAAGCACTGACCTGGTGCCTTCAGTTCCCCTGCCAGAGGGGCTGAGGAGGAAGGAAAGGCCTGCCCACACTGACAACTTTTTGTTTTAGCTCATTCCTGCAATTTCTGTGAACAGTGCCACACCCTGTCACTTCTAGGGAACTGGCCGGGTGCCCTCCGTCCAGCCAGCTGGGTCCCAGAGGACATGAAAGGATTTAGGGACCGGGAGGAGCCTCCAGGCAATGAGCGCTGGTCTGAGCACAGAAGGGCCTGAGAGAGCTGGGGGCAGCCTCGTCACAGGTGAGAAGGCTCCGCCTGCCCCCACTGCACCCCCCAGGTGAGGCACTGGCACCCTCCCCTGCCCTCCGCAGTGGCCCCTGCTCTCAGCCTGGCTCCCCGGTGGATGGGGCTGGCTGGGATGTTTGGATTTCCTTTGGGAAGGGAAGGCAGGGCGGGATGCGGGTGGGAATTCCGGCTAAGTTGAAATGTGTGGACACCAGAGCTCAAGGGCGTCGCTGGAGCGGGCCGAGCAGGTGAACCTGTTCTGATAACAATGAAGATGCCCCCTCCTGCCGCCGGGCCACTCCTCTCTGTAACTCTCTCTCCAGGAATAGAGCCTAACCTCACCCCAGCATGGGGGGCCTGAGCGCCGGCCTCACCCCCAGCCTCAGACTCTGAGCCAGAGCCAGAGCACAGCCAGGAGAGTCTGGTTTCCTCCTTGAGGAAATTGAGGCTCAGAGAGGGGAGGTGTGTTTCCACCCCACCACCCCACCCCCAGTCACCACACTCACCACCACAAGCCAGGGCCCGGCCGAGGTCTCCCACTGCCCCTGGTTGGGCTCGGAGGACAGGCCACCATCACCGTGTGCCCGGCCATGGCAAGGCACAGGAGCCAAGGCCCGAGCCGCACTCCCCAACCCCTGACTAGGGGCAATGACAAGCACAAAGAAGGTGCCGGGGGATGCTCAGCCATGAGGCAGGGGGCTCACGGGGGTCGGAGGAAGCTGCAGGGGGTTGCAGGCCCCTGAGAAGGAGCAAAACCTTGAAGTAGGGTGGGACCTGGGTCAGGGGAGAGGTATTCAGGGCTGTCTGGGCAGGGGACACAGCCCAGGCAAAGATGTGACAGGGAGGGCTCCAGGTGTGTGTTGGCGGCTTGATGGCTCTCTCTCTGTCTGTCTCTCTCTCTCTCACACACACACAGTCTGTCTCATCTCTGTTTCTCTGTGTCTATCTCTGTCTCTATCTCTCTGTAGCTCTCTGTCTCTGTCTCTCTGTCTCTGTCTCTCAATGTCTGTCTACATCTCTGTCTCTCCCTGTCTCTCTGTCTCTCTCTATCTCTCTTCTCTCTCCCGTGTCTCTCACCGCTGACGCCGCCACTGCTGAGCCTGGTCCTGATGCATCTCCCAGGACTAAGAACATGACCCATGTGGATCCTGGGGGAGGAGGGATGGCTGGAAAGGGAAGGGCTGCTCTGAGACCCTCTGCCTTTCAGCGCAGCTTCCGGTGGCCAATCTCTCTCGCACTCTGAGAACATCCTCGGGACTCTCAGCCTCGCTCCTTGCAAGTGGCCACTTGTATCTGCCCCTCCCCTTGTGTTAGTGGCTCCTGGAGAGGCCCCCTGGCCCTGCCACCATCACCAAAGCCCCTCTCTTGGCTTGAGGCTTCAGAGCAGCCTCCTGAGTGCACCGCCGGCAGCATGAGCCCCGGGATTCAGCTTCTGCTTAGGCCAGGAGTGCACAGGGAAGGCTGGGGGCTCCCTCCAGCTCCTCACACCGCATCTTCCCTCCTCCCTCCTCCTCAGACCACCTGCAGCCTCTGCCTTTGGGCACCTCCCTGGACACCTCCAGAGACCCTCCGGGGAGGGGACTTCGCCAGCAGGCTGGTCTAGGCTCACCAGGTGGGAGCCCCATGAGGGTCCACCGTGGAGAAGCTCCCACCTCTGGGGGAAGAGGAAGGCGCCACACGTGGGTTCCCCATGCACGTTCCCTCTGTCTGCAGACCCTTGTCTGGCACACGGTGGAGGGTGCAGCATCACCCTCACCACATCCATGAGGGACATGGACATCTTTTCAGCAAGTTAGTCCACCCTGCCAGGAGCCCAGGGCCTGCCCTCAGGTATGGGGAGGCATTAGGCACGCCTGACCTGAGGTGCAGAGGGCTGAGACCCGGCTGAGGTCCCGCCGCTGGGAAGGGTGGTCCAGGGGCTGCACCCAGAGGGCACCTGCAGGGCCATGGATGCCACTCCCTGTGCCCCCAGCGGGGGCACAAAAGACTCCTGAGGACCATGTCTGTCTCCATCTTGCAGGTCCCTCGCCAGCACCCTCTGAGCCGGCCAGGATGTTTGGGCTGTTCGGCCTCTGGAGAACCTTCGACAGTGTGGTCTTCTACCTGACGCTGATCGTGGGCCTCGGGGGACCGGTAGGTAACGGGCTGGTGCTCTGGAACCTCGGCTTCCGCATCAAGAAGGGCCCCTTCTCCATCTACCTGCTGCACCTGGCCGCCGCCGACTTCCTGTTCCTCTCCTGCCGTGTGGGCTTCTCCGTGGCTCAGGCTGCCCTGGGCGCCCAGGACACACTCTACTTCGTGCTCACCTTCCTGTGGTTCGCGGTGGGGCTCTGGCTGCTGGCGGCCTTCAGCGTGGAGCGCTGCCTCTCCGACCTCTTCCCCGCCTGCTACCAGGGCTGCCGGCCCAGACACGCCTCGGCCGTCCTCTGCGCCCTGGTGTGGACCCCGACCCTGCCGGCCGTGCCGCTGCCCGCCAACGCCTGCGGCCTGCTGCGCAACAGCGCGTGCCCCCTGGTCTGCCCGCGCTACCACGTGGCCAGCGTCACCTGGTTCCTGGTGCTGGCCCGCGTCGCCTGGACGGCTGGCGTGGTCCTCTTTGTCTGGGTGACCTGCTGCTCCACTCGCCCGCGGCCCAGGCTCTACGGCATCGTCCTGGGCGCGCTGCTCCTGCTCTTCTTCTGTGGCCTGCCCTCGGTCTTCTACTGGAGCCTGCAGCCCCTGCTGAACTTCCTGCTGCCCGTGTTTTCCCCGCTGGCCACGCTGCTGGCCTGCGTCAACAGCAGCTCCAAGCCCCTCATCTACTCGGGGTTGGGCCGACAGCCCGGGAAGCGGGAGCCGCTGAGGTCGGTACTGCGGAGGGCCCTGGGGGAGGGCGCCGAGCTGGGTGCCAGGGGACAGTCCCTGCCCATGGGTCTCCTATAAGTGGGCTTGCCCCGCCCACAGGGCCTGCCAGGAGGTGCCCACCCCCACCGACCCTCGCTCACCCCACACCCAGATGCTTTCAGGACCAGGAGGAGCCCCGCCCACCACCTAGCTCTTACCCTGAGCACCCAAGGGCTGGACACAGCTGGAGAGACTTGGCCCTGACCACCCCCCAGCCAGGCCTGCTGAGGATGAGGGAGGCAGAAAATGGAGCTGGAGAGAGGTCAGGCAAGGAGAGAGAAAGGAGAAGCCTCCTGAATAGGGGTGAGGACAGGCACCACGCCCCCAGGCCCAGCCCAGATCCCCTTACCCGGCCCCTCCCCACCCTGCTGCACCTGAGTCACAGGGGAGAAAACTGCACAATAAAACAGAGCCAGCCACCAGCCCACAGTGGCCGGATTGGAACCCAGGCTTCCGGACTCCTGGGCTAGGTGGGCGCCGTCCATGCCACCTGCTGGCTGAGGCTCTGATTCGCCCCCTACAGAGTTGAGGTGGAACTACTCCTTACTCCCCGCCCTGCTCAGCCATCATTGTCCTGCCCACCCCGCGGGGACCACACCCAGGGCTCTGTCCCCCTCTCTGAGGCCCAGGACTGGCAGGTGCCTGATGTCACCAGCAGAGGCCACCAGGTGGTGCTGCTTCTGCACAGAACAGACCCAGCCCCGTGGGCCGGCGGATGCAGGAGCCTCCATCCCCTCGGTCCCCTCCCATCCCCTCCCACACTGGTCCCCACCCGGCCTCTCCTGCGTCCCCAGGGCCATCCGCTCTCTGCGGGTTGCTCCCGTCTCCCACCTCTGCTCTCACCCTCCCTCCTCAGCCCTGGATCATCTGGAGCTTTTGCCCCAAGTGTTTGCTTTGGAGAGAGAGAGAGAGAGACAGAGAGAGAGAGAGAGACAGAGAGAGAGAGAAAGAGAGAGAGAGAAAAGAAAAGAAGGAAAGAAGGAAGGAAGGAAAAAGAAAGAAAGAAAGAAAGAAAGAAAGAAAGAAAGAAAGAAAGAAAGAAAGGAAGGAAGAAAGGAAGGAAAAAGAAAGAAAGAAAGCAAGAAAGCAAGAAAGCAAGAAAGCAAGAAAGAAAGAAAGAGAAGAGAAGAGAAGAGAGAAGGGGAGGGGAGGGGAGGAGGGAGGGAGGAAGGAAGCGAGGAAGGAAGGAAGGAAGGAAGGGGATCCAAGTTTCCAAAGTGCAAACCATTTGATGTGTTTTCTGACCATGAAATAAAATACTTTCTGGTCATTTTTAAAACATTCAAGCCCTACGGAAAATACTAAAAAGAGAAATCGCCAAAATTTTTTTCCACCCAAATGGGGACATTTTTGATGAAAAGCACTCCAGTTATGTATTTTTTTAAATAAAGACCTGCAGAAATTTTCTTTTTTGCCCAAATGAAGGCATTCAATGGGTGCTCTTGGTGCCGGGTGGGACATTCTGCAGCTGCCTTTGCATAAAGTTGTTCTTTTTCCACTAGAAAAGTAAAACGTTGCTCGTTTATGGAAACTTTGAAGAAGGTTAACAACTGGAAAGAAGAAAAGCTTACATGTAGTCCCCCAACCCAGAGGCACGCACCTTTGCTGGTTTTTCTTCCTTCCCCGGGATGAATGTGTTCTGGCCACGCCAAGTCCCGTGCCCGCCTGCCCGCTGCCAGTTCTCCCTAGACCGTGCTCTCAGGACTGGAAGCTCAGCAGGGAGTGTGGGCACTGTTGGTCTGAAGGCCATCTGGGGGGCTCAGGAGGATGGGAGTGTGGGCACTGTTGGTCTGAAGGCCATCTGGGGGGCTCAGAGGGACGGGAGTGTGAGCACTGTTGGTCTAAAGGCCATCTGGGGGGCTCAGGGGGACGGGAAAGCCTGAGCCCTGGTGGCAGGGGGAGGCTTAGGCTTTGAGGGCAGGGTGGGAAGGGTTGTTCATTCTTGTGACACTTCACACAAGACCCCAGGAGCTGTGTGGCCTCCTTCCTGAAAGACCTGGAAATGGGATAAGGGTGGGGACAGTTTCAGAGGTGAAACCTACAGGATCTGTCCCATCCTCCCAGCCCAGGAAATAGCTGCAGGGCCCCCTATGGGGCCATCCATCTGTGTGCAGCAGGACAGGAAGGCGGCTGGCTGCTGATGGTGTCTGGGGCGCATGACAAACAGCCCAGTCTAGACAGATGGAGAGCGAGGGGCTTCTGCCCCGGCACCCACTGCTGAGCCCAAAGACAACCAGGTCGAATTCTGTACCTGGAGAAGCTACAGCCACATGGAAGGACAAGGTTGCCCTGGGCTGGTCTGGGTCCAGGCAGCCGCAAAAGCTGGACTACAGCCCAGATGGAGCTTCGCTCCGGTCCTGCCCGCTCTTCTCGGGCTGAGTGACCTCCAGCGTGTCACCTGACTGCTCTGAGCCCAGGTCTGTGAGAGACATCAGGGCAAGGTCTCCTTGCCCGGATGGCAGGGATCCAGGTCTCCACAGAGGGCGGCCCGCCCAAACCTTCAAGGCCAAATGAATCACCTGGCCCACCTCTGCAGACCTCCAGGTGTGTCCCGCCCGCCCTGACCTTGGCACACCCACCTCGCTGCCTTCTGCTGTCCCTGCCCCTATCACTGTCTTGCCCAACCTTCAGGGGCCTGTCCTTGTGACTGTCTGTCCTGCTCTGTGATGCCCAGGGCTTCCTGGCAGCAGAAGCTGAATTCTCAGCTCCTCTAGTGTGCACCTGCCCTGTCAGCACCCACGGTGACCACTGTGCCCAAGCAGCCCCCACCCCTAGCCAGCACAGTCCAATGTGTCATGTGCTTCCCATCCCTGCTTATTCGCTCCTGTGTTTGCCTCTTTAGTGTCTGTGTCTCCCTAGAAGATGAGCTCCATGAGGGCACAGAGCCAGCAGCTGACTTGCTGCTGTCTCCCTGGGACTGGCAGGTAAAGCGGCTTGATGAGTTGTTGTCAAATGGATGGACAAGTGGATGGATGGCTAAGTGGATGGATGGATGGATGGATGGATGGATGGATGGATGGATGGATGGATAAGTGGATGGATGGATGGATGGATGGATGGATGGATGGGTGGGTGGGTGGATGGATGGATGGATGGGTGGGTGGGTGGATGGGTGGGTGGGTGGATGGATGGATGGATGGATGGATGGATGGATGGATGGACCATTGAAAGAGATGTGGTCAAATGAATAAATGATGTGGCGAAGACAGAGTGCAGCTAACTGGAATCAGACCAGGCTGGTCCTGGATTATGGAAGCTTCCTCTCCACTCTTGTCCTGACCACTGACCTGAAAGCTGAGCAGATCATCAGAAGAGGGGCCCAGGTTTTCTCACAGCAGAGTCCAGTGCTCCAGGCCCTCTCCCTCCCCTTTGGGTTCACAAACATCACTAAGTTAGCTCCATGCTGGGCACTGGGCCTAGGGCTCAAGATGTGGACCCACCATGCTATGACCCCTGTCCCCAGAGAGCTTGACGTCTGGAGAAGACACAGACATAAACACAATTCAAAGACAGTGTGCTGAGGGTGCACGTGGTGTACAGAAACGCTGGGGAGCCGCCATTTGTCCCAGCTTGCCCTCAGCGCTCCCAGTTCATGGCTGTGGCCCAGTGGCCTTAGTGTCCCCTTTATTGGCGAGGGCCCAGTTGGACCTCAAATCATCCCGTGGTCCTAATGTTAGAGGAGCAGGAGGGTCACATGTCCCCACTCGGAACGCAGGGGAGGCTTCCTGGAAGTGTGTTGTCTGCGACTTCCAAGGGCAGTGTGGGTGCAGAAGAAAGAGTGACCGTCTCTAGCACAGTCAGGTCAATCTAAGAACCTTGAAGGGAAGGCAGACCCTCCCAGGGAAACGGAGCCAAGGCAGGGTAAGGTACGGAGGCGCAACCCGGGCACCATGAAGAAGAAGGAACCCCGATGCTAGAGCCCGGTAAGGAAGCTGAGGTGGCCAAAGACACCGAGGGGAGATGAGAAAGGGCTGTGACGAGGGGCGTGGCTTTAAAGGGCTGTGACGAGGGGCGTGGCTTTTCCTCGGTTGCTCTGTGGGGGATTGCAAATGGATTGTAAGCAGGAGAGGGATAATATCAGACGTATATGAAAGAAATAAAACTAACAACTGAGAGGGGGTCAGCGGGGGTGGGGGTCCAGGCTGAGCAGGGGACACACAGGAAGCTGCTGCAGCAGCAGCAATGCAGGGAAGAGGGAAGAGCTGGTGCAGCCTCCAAAGAGGACAATGGCAGGAAGGCTGCAGGAGAGGATCTGAGGTCTGGGGGGAGACGTAGCGTAGAATTTGCAGTGGAACAAGGTCCGATCAGGAAAGGAAGAAGTCAGGAGCCTTCACAGAGGGGAAGGGTAGGAAAATAAAACACAGGCACCTGCCAAGAAGAACAGAAAGATCAGGATCCTGAGAGGGGGCTGTGGATCCTGAGATGGGGCTGTGGACCCTGGGAGGGGGCTGTTGATCCTGAGAGGGGGCTGTCGATCCTGAGAGGGGGCTGTGGATCCTGGGAGGGGGCTGTTGATCCTGAGAGGGGGCTGTTGGCAGCTGACCCTGGGATGGGAATAGGGATGTATCAAGCATGGAAAAAAGACACCCAGGGGCCAATGGGTAAACTCCCAGGTTTGCATTTCCTGTGTTCATCTCAGATTAAATGTAGGTGGTGAGAGATGATGATCAAAGTTCATTTTGTCTGTTTCTTTCCCATGCATATCCAGTTGTTCTGGTAAAACCCCTTTTCCCATTGGATTGCATTGGCATCTGTATTGTAAATCAACTGATTGTATAGGGTGGGTCGACTTCTGGACTCTATTCTGTTGACTGCTCTATTTCACTGTCCTTCTATCAACACCGCACTGTCTTCATTACTGCAGTTTTACATTAAGTTATGAAATCAAGTGGTGTTACTCCTACACTTTTATATTTCTTCTTCAAGATTTACATTTCTATATAAATTTCAGAATCAGCTTGACAGTTTGTGCAAATGTCTACTGATTTTGACTGGGATAGCATTGACTCTATTCAGTTACTCTGGATCAACTTATGGAGAACGGACGTCTTGGCAACATTGAGTTTACCAATTTATGAACATGGTTTTTCTCTGTTTATTGTGGTCTTCTTTCATTTCTGTCTCTGTAGTTTTCACTGTAGGTGTGTTATACATTTCAGGTAAAATGTATTGCTAGTTATTTAAGGTTTCTCAATGCTATGTAAAAATAATCTTTTATTTGCTTTTTCCAATATTCATTGATAGTTTGTATATTGTTTGTATATTGATAGTTTGTATTATTTTTGTATATTGACTTTGATTTTTTTATATTTATCTAACAGCTATCCTGTGAACTTGCTGAATTCACTTATTCTAATAGTCTTTTTGAAAACTGCTTAGGAGTTTCTACGTATACAATCAAATCATTTGCATGACATTATTATTGTAAATAATGAATAATGAATAATTATTGTGAATAATAATTAAAATGATGCATGATTAATAGTGATAAATATAAGAATTAGGAAAATTTTAATAATTATAATTAACACATGATTAATAGTTATTATAAATAATAATAATTAGAAATAATTTTACTAATTCCTTTCTGGTCTTTGCACTTTTTGTTCTTTGTTTTATATCACTCATTAAGACCTCCCATACAATGTTAATAGAAATAGTAAAAGTGGACATCCTCACCTCATTCCCAACCTTTCAGGAAAGTGCTCAATGTTTTGCCATTAAACATGTTAGCTGCAGGCTTTTTGTATGTGCGCCTCATCATAGTGATATGATTCCCATCTATTCCCAATTTTCTGACTTCCTTTAATCACACATAGGTATTGAATTCCATCAACTTTTTGTTCCTTCATTTATTAATGCGACCATGCAGTTTGTCTTTGTTAGTCTGTTAATGGGAGGAATTGCACTGATTTATTTTCAAATGTTAACTTTGTATTCCTTGGATAGTCCCTGTCACGCATGTCCATGTGAAGAGACCACCAAACAGGCTTTGTGTGAGCAATAAAGCTTTTCAATCACCTGGGTGCAGGTGGACTGAGTCTGAAAAAGGAGTCAGCAAAGGGAGATAGGAGTGGGGCAGTTTTATAGGATTTGAGTAGGTAGTGGAAAATTACAGTTAAAGAGGGTTTTCTCTTGCGGGCAGGGGCAGGGGTCACAAGGTGCTCGGTGGGGAGATCATGAGACTCGTTGTCCAGGGGAGGAATGTCACAAGGTCGTTTGATTAGTTGGGGTGGGGTAGGAACAAATCACCATGGTGGAATGTCATCAATTGAGGCAGGAACTGGCTATTTTCACTTCTTTTGTGGATCTTCAGTTGCTTCAGGCCATCTGGATGTATACGTGCAGGTCACAGGGGATATGATAGCTTAGCTTGGGCTCAGAGGCCTGACAATCCCCACTTGGCCATGACATATTATCCTTTTTATATATTGGTGGATTTGATTTATGAATATTTTGAAATGGGTATTTGCATTTGTGTTCATGAGAGAGGTTGGTGTCTCATTTATTTTCTAGTGATGTCCTTTTCAGGTTTGGGCATCAATTATTTCCTCTTGCTCAACTCTGTGTAAGAGTTTGGATAAAACCAATATTATTTCACCAATGAAGCCAATTGGGTTTTTGTGAACAGGTTCTAAAACACAATTTCAATTTCTTTAACAAATATAGGGCTATTCAGATTCTCTTTTTCTTCTTGTGTCAGTTTTCTTTTTCAAGGAATTTGTCCACTTCATTTTATCTGAGTTTGAATTTGTTAGCATAAACTTGTATACCATATCCCCTTATTAATCTTTTATTGTCTATCAAATTCACATATCTCTTTTTTATTTTTACTATGGGTACTTTGCATTTTCTCCTGAAAATTCTCATTAGGGCTTTATCAATTTTAGTAATCTTTTCATAGAACCAACTTTTATTGATTTTTCCTATAGTGTTCATCTGTTTTCTATTTAATTTCTGTTTATCTGTATTTATTACATCTTTCTGTCTAAATCATGAAAGTTAAATTTGTTCTTTTTTTCTAGCTTTTTGAGTTAAGCAGCTTAGATAATTTTTTTAAATCTTTTCTTGTAGGCTGCATAATGCTCCCTACCAAGATGTTCACCCACTTGTAATATAGAAACACTCCATATGAGAGCACAGATTACCAGAATAGGCATTTTTTCATGATGCAACAATATGCTGCCTACAAGAGACACATTTTAGATTGAAAGGCACAAATAAGTTAAATGTAAAAAGATATAAAATGAGGCTGGTCACAATGGTTTATGCCTGTAATCCCAGCACTTTGGGAAGCCAACACAAGAGGATCACTTGAGCTCAGGAGTTTGAGACCAGCCTTGGCAACACAGTGAGACCTTGTCTCTACAAAAAATAAAAAATTCACCAGATGCAGTGGTGCACACCTATAGTCCCAGCTGCTTGGGAGACTGAGGCCAGAGGATCCTTTGAGCCCAGGAGATCAAGACTGCAGTGAGCTGTGATCACACCACTGCACTCCAGCCTGTCTCAATAAATTTTTATTTCTATTTATTTATTTATTTATTTATTTTGAGATGGAGTCTTGCTCTGTTGCCAGGCTGGAGTGCAGTGGTGCAATCTCAGCTCACTGCAACCTCTACCTCCTGGGTTCAGGTGATTCTCCTGCCTCAGCCTCCCAAGTAGCTGGGACTACAGGCACATGCCACCATGCCCAGCTAATTTTTGTATTTTTAGTAGAGATGGTTTTCACCATGTTGTCCAGGATGGTCTTGATCTCTTGACTTTGTGATCCACCCACCTTGGCCTCCCAAAGTGCTGGGATTACAGGCAGATATAAAATGATATTCCATGTAAACAACAACCAAAAGAGAGCTAAAATGGTTATAATAATATCAGACTAAATAAATTTAATTTAAAAAAATTGTTACTAGAGACAAACAAGGACATTATACCATCATAAAAGGGTCAGTCCATCAAGAGATACCACAACTATAAACATATATGCTCGTGGTAGGCTAAAAACAAAGCCCCCTTAAAACATATGCATGTCCTAACCCATGTAACCTGTGAATGTGAACTTCTATGACAAAAGGGACTTTGTAGATATGATTAAATTAAGGCTCTTGAGATGGATAGATGATTTTAGATTATCTGGGTGGGCCCAGGGTAACCTCAAGCGTCCTTGTAAGAGGGAGGCAGAAGATCAGGGTGAGTAGGAGGAGATGTGATGATGGAAGAAAGAGACTGGAGTGATGTGAGGACAGGGTTATGAGCCAAGGAAGGCAGGCAGCCTCTAGAAGCTGGAAAAAGCAAAGAAGAGACTCTCCCCTAGAGCTTCCAGAGGGAGTGCAGCCCCATGGACACCCTGGTTTTAACCCGGTGAGACTGGTTTCAGACTGCTGACCTCCAGGACTGTTAGATGATAAAGGCATATTGTTTTAAGCCATTGAGTTTGTGTTCATTTGTGACATCAGCAACAGGAAATTCATACAGACCATGTCCTTTCCAGCTTCTGCCTTCTTTTATTTGCTCTCCTGTATCTTCAAACGGTTGCTTTTGATTCTTCCCAGAGTTGACAGTTATTTAATAACAGCAGGACTGCTCTGATGTCAGCTACCCTACCATTACCAGAAACAGAACTCATGTTACCCTTTCTAAAATGAAAAGGATATTCTTGACTTCCAAAGCACATGGGTCCCCAAGGGTTTGCAGATCTGTACCTATCTCATAGGCTGTGTGAGGGTTAAATGAGAGAATTCACGGCACAGGTGGTTTACAGGAAGCTGGCATGAACTGAGCCTTCAGGCATGTTGGTTATGGTCAGAAGAATAAAAGGGAGTCATCCAGGCCTACAATTTATAGGTGCATTCACAGGACTTAATGACAGGCTGGGTTTAGGGGTGCCTTGTACAGGCTGTTCCTGGGACATCCTCCCGTTCCCTTCTCCTTGTCTGTCACTGCCTCCTCCTCCAGGCAGCCACACTGCCAAGTCAGTTTCTTCCTTATGTGGACACCTGTATGTAAGCACAGTCCCAGGCAGGAGCTGAGGGTTTGCAGAATAAATAGATGCTGGATCTGGAGGGAAACTGTTCTAAAGTCCAGGGAGGCCCTGTGTCATTCCACCTGCACTGCGTCCTGGCATCCCACCTACTGGCTGACCTTAGCCAGCTAGAGCTTCCCAGAGACCCATCTGTCTGCACTGGATTCCCCTCCAACAGCTACAGGCCCCACAGCAGGGGCCCTGAGTAAAGACCCAACTCCTCCAAATTGTGTTGAGCTGCTGCCAGAAGACGTTTCATACCTTGAGACCACCTGGCATCCCTAGTGAGCATCATAGAGACCCTGCTTGGCCAGAGAGCTCACCACATGCATCACAGCAAAGGGCAGGCCCTCACGGGCCATCCCCTTGGGCCAGAGGTCAGCAACTGTTGACCTACAGACCAAACCAGTGGAGCCTGCAGATGCGCTTGGCTGGCATTCAGTAATTAAAGTCTTTTGGCGTTAGTTGCCAGCACTGAACAATAAGAAGATTTTACATTAAAATCCAGCTTTCTAGCCCTCCTGAATATCAGCGGCTGGCAGACCTGGCCCTCAATGCCACCTGGCCACAAAGGAGGAGTTGGAGAGAGTCTGGGGCTTCAGGCAGGCATGCCCTCCACCCCCGTGAGCCCTTCTCTACTGTCACCCTGAGTCCCAGGTCACCCATCATGGCACCGCACTGTTCATTTCTAGATTGAAGATATAATTGAGTGGGTTTTTTGCCACCATTTTTTGTGAGAATGGGGAAAAACAGATCCAGAAGCCTCTTGTTTCAGGAAAAAATTGGAGCTGGCCTATTTCTTTGTGGATATAATGAGTAGATAACAAGATGTGTCTGGCACTGAATTCACCTGCCATGGTAAGAATTCATCCCCCTTGGTCTGGACCCCATCCTTCTGCAATGGAGAAACTGAGGCCCAGGCAGGGTGAGACCGGCCCAAGGTCAAACAGCAGCTCAGCAGCGGTGCCTGGGGACCTAGGTGTCACCCACAGCCTCCTCTGACAGGTATGTGAGGACATCTGTAATTCTCAGAGCCACACACCCCAGGACTCTGACGAGGACTTTGTTTCAGTCTCCCAGGGCCTGAGGAGTGTAGTAGGCTCAGGCCTCCTAGAGATATGCTGTCCCAGCCCTGTCCCCCAGACAAACTTGTGGGGCTTCAGCAAGGGTGGCAGATGGCCCGTAGCTGGGCTAATGGCCTGGAAAAGGCTGCCTGCAGGAGGAGGGAGGCGGCTGCAGAGACACAGAATAAGAATACTTGACAGTGTCCTGTAGGGAGCCAGTCCCAGTCTCGCCAAAGAGGCCAGGAACCCGGAGCAGACAGATGGAGCTGTCCTCTCTGAAGCCAGCCAGCCTGGCCATGCAAGCTTTCCTCCTTTTCAGCATGTCATCACGAGGCTGCTCAGCATATGCACAGGGAGAGGGGCCAAACCCCTGCACAGTGTGGCCTTTTGGAGCTGATTTGCAGATAGGGCTATCCCCACCCCCAAAATATCGCCTCCACTGTCCTTCATAAGATCTGAAATTTCACCATTAACATCACACTTTGGGGGTAAGGTGAGACAGACGGAGCTACCAAATTGGAGAGCTAAATGGCAGGTCCCACACATGGGCTGGGACCAGGGCTGGCCAGAAACCATGAAGTGGGAAGAGCAGGTTTTCAAAATGTCACCCCAGCTGCTGTGCTGAGAGGTAGTGGGGGACCAACTAGACCTCCAGGAAAGCCCAATGCCAGTGATGCCACCTCACACCAGGTGCTTGACATAGCACCCATTTCTCTTATCATCTTAACTTCACCATCACCATCCTCACCATCACCATCCTCAACATCACCATCATCACCATCACCATCATCATCACCACCACCATCATCATTTCCATCACCATCATCATTACTACCATTCTCACCATCACCGTCATCACCATCACCATCATCACCACCACTGCCATCATCATCATCACCATCACCACCATCAACATCACCATCATCACCACCACCACCATTATCACCACCATCACCACCACTACCACTATCACCATCACCACCATCATCATCATTATCACCATCATCACCACCACCGTCATCACCATCACCATTACCATCATCACCATTATCACCATCATCACCATTATCATCATCACCATCATCACCATCACCACCATTATCATCATCACCATTATCACCATCATCACCACCACCACCATCATCACCATCACCACCATCATCATCATTATCACCATCACCACCACCACCGTCATCACCATCATCATTACCATCATCACCATTATCACCATCACCACCATTATCATCATCACCATCATCAGCACCATCACCATTATCACCACCATCACCATAACCATCATCATCATTGTCACTCCTCCTCCTTCTCCACATCCTCCTCAAAGTATTCCCAACTCTCTGCCAAGGAAAAAGGGATGAGGGAGAAAACAAGCCACCCATACCTCCTCCACACTCCACGCCTCGGCCCACAGCCAGCCCTACACCACCCTCCATGCACCTCGGTTCACGCTCCTTACACCCGAGCAACCTCCTCTACTGGGCAGGTCTCCAAATTCCCCTGCTTTGACGCCATCAGTCTCTACATCCTGCCCTGAGAGCAGCCTCCCTGGCAGGTGTACTCACTTGTATCCAAGCTCAGGTACACCTGGAGTCAGGGGCCATGTTTCTACCTTGGGGCTCCCAGGACTGGGTGCAGGCCTGCCAGGGGTTCAGCCACTGCCCAACACAAGTGGGGGAGGGAGAAGGGAGGGGATGAGAGGGAGGTGAGAGGAGGCAGGGGATGGAGCCAGGGAAATGAAAAGGGAAGGGGGGGAGGGGGATGGGGAAGGAAGTGGGAGGGAGGAGAGAAGAGAATCACGGAGAAAGGGAGGGGGCAGAAAGGAAGGAAGGGAGGAGTGTGGAAGCCAAGGAGAAAGGAGGGGAGGGGAGAAAGGGAGGGGACAAGGTGCCTGAAGAATAGCCAAATATTCGCTCTTGGCTCAGACTCATGAATTCCCTGGAAAGTGAAAACTTCCCAAGCCACACGCAGCCTGACTAAGGGCCACTCACAAACCCTGTGGCTCTCTGAGGGTGGTTTCATTCTCTCCCACAGAGAGAATAAAATGTCTGCTCAGCTGAATAAAAGGAAACCAAAATCACAGTGAATCTCCCTGTTATCCCCTGTTCTTGAGACTGGCAGGTTTTCTCTCTTCCTCCATAAACTAAATGCATCCTCTGTGTCCATTGAATCACGGAGGACACTGTGGCTAAAGTCCATTGCAAGAACTTCGAACTCTGGAGCTCAGGGCCAGCAAGCCCTAGAGAAAGCCACACTGCAAGCAGCTCCCGGCCCCAGGACCTGCCACGGAGTTTGCATGGCTGCAGTGGGTGTGAAAAGGCTCAGGATGTGGCAGCTGTGCTGTGTGTGTGGTGGTCCAAGCCCCTGTCCCTCAGACCTGCCCAAACTGCATTCCCCGCCCCTCGTTACCACTGGGTGGTGCCCCCAACCACCTTGTCTCCTTATCAGTGGGCAGGACGCTGGCGATGACCCACACTCCGCTTGGTAAAGTTGGTGGCATCTGGAAGGTTCCAGCTGGCCCCTCTGACTTCTATTAGTGCACAGGACGTCTGTCCTGTCAGGGTTCTCTGCTGAGGCCAGACGGGGGAGAGTCTGTGCAGGGACGTAGGCACTCTCGGTGGCTGATGCGGGGAGCCCCTGGCCCTGGCCAGTGAGTGCAGAATGTCCTAGAATGCCACGATTCCCCAAGATGGACAAGATGAAAACCGAAAGGACAGATGATGACATGTACAAGCCCCTCACCTGCACTCCATCCTTCTCCCCACAGCCAGCCCCACAGAGCAGCCTCCTTCTGCCTTAGCTGCCCCAGCTCAGGTGCACATGGGTTGTGAAGCTTGCCATCCCCCGAGCCACCCTCCCTCAGGGACCTGGGACCAGTCAGTGAGCCATATGGAGACTTGGTGTCCACATCTGTCAAATGGGGAACCGGGTGGATGGCAGGCAGTGTTCTGGTGAGACTGAATGAGAGAAAGCGTGTCACAGTGTCACTGCGCTTGCCGAGCTTGACTACACACCATGAACTGGGCTACACTTCCTTACAGAAATCACCCCCCGATCCTCGTGAGGTCAGCACAGGGCCGCTGAGTGGCCGGTGGCAAAACCCAGGCCGTGGTGTCCAAGGCCTTTTGCTCCCTCCTTGATGGGCGCGGGAGTGGTCTGAGCACCTTGCTCACACAGTGTTCTCAGGATGGTGCCTGGCAGAGGGGGTGGGGGCCGGGCTAGGCACCCCTCTCGGAACCCCCTGCAGCCCTGGCTCCCGCAGCTGTGGCCACTTCCCACAGCACGCTGAGGTGGTCACCCAGCATCTGGGCCAGCAGGGGATCTAGCTGTGCTAAGGAGAGGCCGGCCCTGCCCCACACTGGCACACAGGAGGCAGAGATCCCCACAGCAGAGGCCAGGGATGGCTCAGCTGACACATTCCAGGTGCAAGGGAGAGGGCTCTGAGATGGCCTGTCCACCTGCCCTCCCGCACCCCCACCCACGGGCAGCCTCCGGGATCACCTGTGTCTTGGGTGCCTGCAGCCTTCGGGATCACCTGTGTCTTGGGTGCCTGCAGCCTCCGGGATCACCTGTGTGTTGGGTGCCTGGGTGCCTGCAGCCTCCGGGATCACCTGTGTGTTGGGTGCCTGGGTGCCTGCAGCCTCCGGGATCACCTGTGTGTTGGGTGCCTGAGTGCCTGCAGCTCCCTGGGCCCGGGCTCAGTGCTCTTGCCTCCCAAAAGACACTTCCTAGAAGCTACAGGCATTCCCTGGGGAAAGGTGAACATGGGGACTGTCTGGGGGGCAGAGTGGGGGCTGGGCAGGGAGGGAGCCGAGTGCCCAGGCGATGGGGAATAATTCCAGAATACAGAAAGCCTGAATTGGGGAGGCAGCTAACTTGCTGTGTGACCCCAGGCTGTCGCCCACCGTCTCTGTGCTCTGCCGCACCCCTCCTTGAGGTGAGAGGCCATGGGTGGTCCTGCAGTGCCGTGCCCTGTCAGGGGGTCTTCCTGGTGTTTCTCCATGCAGCGTTTGCTTCCTACTGCAATCCCTAAGCGAGCCCGCCGCGGAGACGGAGCCGTTCCGAGGTGTTAGGTAACAGCAGCGTGCACAGCTCCTGGACTGCAGCGGCTGCAGCCAGGTCCGCCTAGCGCCCAGAAGGCGGCTGCAGCAGCAGGTCCTGCGGGAGGGATAGCTGGCAGCCCCAGGCGAGCGCACGCAGGGGCAGTTGTAGGTGCAGCTGGGATGCGCGTCTCCGGGGCACGCCCTGAGAGCCGCTGTCGCCTGCAGTGACCCCCCACCCCCACCCCCAGCCTGGCCTGCTCTCCCAAAACACCCGCCCGTGCCCAGAAAGTCTTGGATACTCCGTCTGGAGCAGCCCGTCGGCCTGGAGGGGAGCGGTCGTGCCTCCGGCACCCGGACAGGCAGCAGAGCAGAGCAGGCACAGGACCGGCCGGAGGAGGGACCCCAGCCTCGCCCCCATGCCCTGCTGCACGGTGAGTGCCGCCTCCGGGCACCCCCAGCCCACCGCCTGGGAGCCTCGCGCCATCTGTGGAGGGGGCTTCCTTTCTCCACGGGCCACCACTGCCGGTGGTGTCGGAGGGAGACGCTGTGGAGGAAGCATTCAAGGGTCTGGAATCGTGTGGTGGGGAGGGGGCTGGGAGCAGCTTCTGCCTTCTGCCGGGGAGTGCAGGGCCCCCCAACCCTGCCCCAACCAGTTTTCTGCTGACTTCTTCAAAGTTCCCCGGGGCTGGCACCTCGGCCAGCAGGGCATTAGCTCTGGACGCCTCGCTCGCCCGCGGACCCCCAACACTGTTCAGCCTCGTTGGAGCCCCTCGGGCAGGCAGGGCAGGCAGCGGGCTCCAGGGCAGCATCGCGAGGTGCCCCCAGGTCTGGGATGCTGCATTGCACCCACATCCCGGTGCCTTGCTCCCTCCTCCAGGGCAGCACTGCCCGCCGTGGTGGTGAGGGGACTGCCCAACCTCCCTCCAGGGGCGGGACGCCCACCAGGCAGGATGTGGGACATGAGAGATTAGGACTTGCAAGGGCACTTCTGAAGCATCTGTTCACCACCTGTGCCTTTGACTTTTGACTTCTTTTGCTCACAATTTTTTTTGTAAGAAACAGACTTGAAAGGGGGCATTTCTCAATTTGACTTAATATTGCCTTGGCAGAATGGAGTTTATGCTGAGAGATCGGGGTGGTGAGGGAGGGGTCTCCTACACACCCTGAGCTGGCAGGGGACTTGGCTGGACCCTTGGGAACAGACAGGGGTTCCTGAGAGCAGAGCGTGGGGTCAGCAGAGCCCAGCTTCCCAGGGCCTTTGGAGATAGCTGAGCTGTCTGGGACACACTGCCAGGCCGACACCCCTCAAGGGAAGCCAGCCTCAGGCCTGAGATCATGGGGATGCTGACCCTCGGCCTGAGGTCCAGGGTCCCTGGCGTCGTGGGGGTGGGGCAGTGTCACCTTTTTGTCCTTTGGCCTAAAGGCTCCTAAGAAAGGATAGTCAGCTCCCCATGGCTCTAGACATTTTCCTGAGGGGTGCATGAGGAGCGGCGATGCTGGACCAAGCCCCCCACCTGTCCCTGTAGGTCCTACCAGCAAATCCCCAGGGAAGGGGCAGGTGCAGGTGGGAATCCCAGCTCCCTCCTGCCAGCTCAGCCTCAATTTCCAGAGATGCCATGTCTTCCTGTGTCAAATGGGAATTTGAGCAATCCAGGTAGTCATGACAAACAGGACCCTGGTTGTGATGGTGCCTTCTCGGGGCCTCATGCTCAGGGTGCTGGAAGAGGTCAGAGCTTTGGCCTCACGACGGCCAGAGGCTGGGAGGGACGCCGATGGCAACTGCTGCACGCTGTCCGCCCACATTTGCACAGCATGCCCTACAGGTTGAATCTGCTGGGTTTCCAGCCGCCACTCAGAAGCCACTCTGCTCTCACGTGCCATGTTGCATCTGCTCAGCTGCAAGTCCCAAGAGCCAGTGGGGGGTCCCAACGCCTAATGGAGACCACCGTGCTCCGGCACTTACAGGAGCGTGGTCAGCAGGTGGCCTCCCTAGAGGAGCCCTCACAGGGTCCCAGCAGAGCAGCTGATGCCTCTGCCGGGCAGTCCACTGCCAGGGGTGTGCTTCTCTGACCAACTTGCTTCAAAGCGGAGGACACACTACGGGGGCCCAGGACCTGGGTGTGAGTCCTAGCAGTGCAGGCTCAGGCGGGGCATTGAGCCTCTCTGACCTCGGTCTCTTCTTCTGTGGAGAGGGAGAACCGGCCCTGTCGTAGAACCCTCAGGAGGCTGTGAGGAGAGGAAGAGGTGGTACCTAAGGCTCTGAGCATGGCGCTTTGCAAGTTAGTGACATAAAGTTAACCAGGACCACTAGGCAGCTGTGCGTCGTGGCTGGGACAACCGGTCGGTTCACGTGATGTGGTCCAGGGCTGGGACACGAGACCCAGGACCCAGCTGCCGCCATGAGAAAATGGTTGAACTGAGCGGGTTGGATGAGGTTGTCACCAGGACCCCCGGTTTCTCAGGCTCTGGGAGTCTATGGTGGAGAGCACAGAGCGGCAGCAACCCCCTGCCATCCTCTGCTCCGCCAGGAGGCTCCTCCATGCCTTCACTCTGCAGCTCTCCTCTGGCCAGCGTTCCTCTCTCCCACACCAGCGAGCCCCTGCTGCAGCCCCATGCCTGCCCCGGACTCTCCTTCAGAACTCTCTGGAAGCCTGCAAGGCAGCAGAGGTGTCCTGAGGTTGGAAGGTGGCAGTGGGGGGAGGGGAGAGGAAGAGGAGGCCAGGGGCTGTGCGGGTCTTCACCTCCCCAGCATGGGAGCTGATGGGGTTTTGTTCTGGGTGGAGGTTGATCCTAGAGGCAGGTCCTGCCCCAGAACTAAGACTCCCAGCCCCGCACAGCCAGAGGGGCCTCAGAAGAGCCAAGGACCTCACAGCCTCCATGTGTCCGCCCCAGGTGCCCCAAGGGCCTTCCAAGCAGGCCACTGGCTCATTCCTCCCTTCCCAGCAGGGCTGCGCCCCGTCCATGAGGGCCAGGTAGCAAGGGGCTCAGTCAAATCTCACTCCTCTGACCGCCTCAGCTTAGGAGACCCCCAGAGCCCTTCCCTGCAGGGGGCCCGGGCTGTGCTGAGCCTGGTTCCTGCCTCTGCCAGGTTCCTTGCCTGACGTTGCCTCCTCTGTGACTTGGTGGCTCCAACCCATGAGGAAAGCTCAGCCCTGCCCTACCCTCAAGGAGGCACAACTCTGCCTGGAGAGTCGGGGGGCTTCCTGGAGGAGTTGGTGGAGAGTCAGGGGGCCTTCCTGGAGGAGGTGGTGGAGAGTCAGGGGGCTTCCTGGAGGAGGTGGTGAAGAGTCAGGGGGGCTTCCTGGAGGAGGTGGTGAAGAGTCGGGCGGGGGGGGGGCTTCCTGGAGGAGGTGGCGGAGAGTCAGGGGGCTTCCTGCAGGAGGTAAGGCTCACCCAGACTCTCCAGGGAGTTGGAACTGCCCAGGGACTCAGAGTATCAGGAAGCTATTCCAGGCCAAGGGGCTCCACGTTCAAAGCATGGTGGTGTGGATGCTCCTTCCCCTCTTCATTCTGCTCTGAGGGAGCTCTGCTGGGCACCAAGGAGGGTGTGTGCCTGGGATGATCGGGACTAGGCCAGAGGGGCCAGCATTGGCCAGATCACAGAGAGCATCAGACTCCAGGCTCGTGAGCTTAGAGTCGGTCCTAAGAACAGCAGAGACGGGAGGGTTCCAAGCCAGGGGACAATGTGGACAATGTAGGTTCTAGAAGGTCCTCAGGCTGCATCCTGGGGGCTCCCAAGGTGTGGGGAAGGCGGGAGGTGAGGAGCAGAGGGGGCCGAGCAGGACTCCCATGATCCTGCTCAGGGACCTTGGTCATGCCAGGCAGCCCTGTTCCACTCAGCACCCCTGCTGCTTTCTTTCCCCTTGTTCTCTGACCCGTCACCCTCTCTAGCCCCCAGGGCAGAGAAATCTGTTCCTGGGCTTTCAGCCCTGGGCTATCCTTGCTGTATTCCCCACCTGGAGAGCAAACAGCCCTGAAATCCAGTGCCCGTCACTGCCCGCTCCATTCTGGAGACAACCGAGGAATTGGGGATGGAGCGCAAACAGGCTGCAATGGAGCAGCTGAGCCCAGCTGAGCCCAGCTCAGCCGCCTCCTTGCGCAGGGCCCAGCCTCTCTGCCTCTCCACGGAGCTGTGGGGAGGCCCCAGGCAGCAAGGCAGGGCCAGAGCCTTGGGGCGGCAAGGAAGCAGGACCCCGGCCTGGACCCCACACTGCAGTCTGTGGTACTGTGATTCTGCCGCCGGTGCCCTCTGCCATCCACTCGAAGGCTCTCTGGCCCCTTGGGCCCCAACCTGCACCCTGTGTCCTGCACCCTGTGTCCTGCACCCTGTATCCTGCACCCTGTATCCTGCACCCTGTGTCCTGCACCCTGTATCCTGCACCCTGTATCCTGCACCCTGTGTCCTGCACCCTGTATCCTGCACCCTGTGTCCTGCACCCTGTATCCTGCACCCTGTGTCCTGCACCCTGTATCCTGCACCCTGTATCCTGCACCCTGTGTCCTGCACCCTGTATCCTGCACCCTGTGTCCTGCACCCTGTGTCCTCTGAGCAGCAGGTTTTCCGGGGTCCCAGGTACCAGTGCTTCTTGAGACCTGTCAAACCATTGCGGACTCCCAGTGACCTGAGCGGGCCAGATGCCCCGGAACAACTGCAGCTTAGGACCCTTGGCAAACCCTCAGGGCTGAAGCCCTGTTCCCAAGGCAGACCCACGCTGGCTCTCAGAGAACTGAGGTGCGGGGACTGCTCAGGGGGAGATGGAGGCTGGGGCGATCAGGAGTCTGAGCTGGAGCCCTGGGGCGCTGTGCTGAGCCCTGCCGCCTGCCATCAGTCCTGGACGCAGCCCTCAAATGATAACTACGTCTATGGGGGACATAAGAGCCAAGCTAGACTCCGCTAATTGACTGAACAGAGCCTTGCAGCGAGGCACAGCAGGGTGAAGGTTGTGCTCACAGGATCTGAGTTCAAATCCCAGTCCCGGTACTTCCCAGCCGCGTGTCCCTGGGCAAGCGCCTGTGGTCTTTCTCTGCCTCAGCTTTCCCATCTGTGAAGTGGGAAATGATACTAATAATCTCCCCTCACTGTCTCCCTGAGAATTAAATGAGCTGCCTTGTGTGTGGTGCCTGGCACATAATCTGACGCTTTGTGTGGGTGGCTGCTGTTGCTAGAGAATTAATTTTGATGTTGCATTTTCTACTCATTACTGGGAGCCACGGCTTCACGTCTCCGCTATTTTGGTAGTTACCAAAATTCGTGTAGGCCCAAGGTACTGGAGGCCAGGTAGTAAAAAGTCCCTGTGCTCCGGGGCCGTGGCCCACAGCAACATGCTCCATAAATGCAGGGATCAGGGGCATCTGTTGAGGGCGTGTCTGCTCCAGGCTCTGCCCCCAGGAGCAGCCACCCCCAGGGGGTGGGATCCACTGGGCTCTGCAGTGGTCAGTCCGGGGCCTGAGCCTCAAACCCCAGCAGCTAGGAGTCAGAGGACCCAGCCACGATGGCAGGACACCCTGGAGGCTGGCAGAGGCGGCACCCAGACCTCCCCCAAGAAGCTTCCCAGCCCATACAGAAAGGGGACACCAGTTCTGCTCACCTCCCCATCTCCCCAGAGGACCCCTGGGCTGGGCCCACATCCTCCCAGGGGATGCTGTCTGCTGGTCCCAGGAGGCTGAACCACTGGGCACAGTTCTTCAGCATCTCCTTTGCCTGGGGTTCCCACCTGGCAGGAGAGGAGGAGGTGAGGAAAGGCATAGCAATGGGGCTGAGCGGATGCCGGGCCCTCCAGCACTTCTCCTGTGGCCAAGGAAGGGGAGGGCGAGCTGCAGGGGATGCAAGACAGCCTAGTGGCCCTGAGGGAGAAGGCAGAAGGCAGGCAGGCCTCCCTGGGTACCCCCTGCCAGCTTCCCCAAGGCATCCCCAGATGCTGCCCTGCCTCAGTGGGTCTCTCCTGCAAGGGACGTGCAGAGCTGGGATTGCCTTTAGTTGAAGCCACTGGCTGCTGAGGTCAAGTCCAGACTCTTCTCCTGCTTGGAACCCCATGCTGATGGGCAGAGGTGGGTCTGGGAGCTGGCAGGAGCCAGAGGAAGGTGGTGACTATGGGGGGACTTTGAGGGTTGCAACTGGGCTAGTGCCGGCCAGGGAGGAGCAGGGCTTATGGGGGGAGGATTTAGAAGAGACCTGAGCAGCCCCAAACCACACATCCAGCCTGGGCTCCTGCCCAAGGGGCCCCCACAGGCCCCACGGGGATCCCTGAGCTGGGACAACCCAATGGAATACTCAAACTCATGCCTCTTCCCTCAGCCCTGGGGGGTCCTCCCCCAAGACACTGCAGCACCTCCAGCCAGACGCTGGCTGCCTCGTGGCCACCTGACACACACTCCGTGGGTTGGACAAGACTGCACCCACCTTGCCCACTTGCCTCCTGCTTACACCCCCAGGGTGAGGCTGGGGCGGGGAAAGGACACCCAGACTCTGCCAGCCCCTCGTGCCTGCACGGCACCAGCCCAGGGTGACCCTGGGACTTGGGACACAACCTGGGCCCTCCTGGGCCTTCATTTCCAGCTGGCAAACATTTCGTCTTGGCTGGCGGCTGCATCAGGAGCCTGCATTTCAGGACGACTGTCCTTGGCTGGCCTATAGTTCATCCTTGTCACATGAGTGCCCATCTCCCCAGACCCCTGCTCACTCCAGGATCCCACAGCCCCCCAGCTCATGTCCTGACACTTCCCCTACCGCTCCTTGGGCCTCCCAAGCTCCAGCATCTTCTCAGCTCCATCTCCAGGCCTGTGGGGGCCCTGCCCTGCCATCCAGGGACTGGCTGGGCTGGAACCTCCCTGTGCCACTCCAGGTGGTGAGCAAAGCTGCCACTGCTGTCGGGAACCAGCAGGGAGGGGCAGCTGAGCGCGGTCTCCAGGCCGGCTTAACCTTGCCCCTGAGCTGCCTGAGCTCAGCCCGAGCTGCCTGTGGCAGCCCCAGCAGGTGGGACAGTCTCTGCTTTACTCACCACTGGGCAGGGTTCCCAGGGCACACAGTGCCTGGTCCCAGGCAGCCTCGTAGTCACACCTGGGCACTGAGCGACCACGGGGCTGCTGCCCACTAGCCCACCTGGAGAGCAGATGGGGCTCCCAGGACCCCACGCAGGCAGAGGAAAGCCATCCTACTGGCCAGGCCCACACAGGTCAGCCTGTCCTGGGCCTGAGCTCTGACAGTCCCCCACACCCAGGGACAGTGGGAGCCACGGCTCTGCAGGGCTTGGAGCCCTCCCCCTGCCCGGGCCCAGGGACCCGCCCCGTCACTGGCACACTGCAGCCTGCAGTCATCACAGGCCTCATCTGAGCCGTCCTTGTCAGGGCTGTGAGGGAGAAGCAAGGTCGTGCAGGCCTCCTGGCACAGACGGGCCCGTCCAGCTGCTCATATGCCAGCTCACCCACCTGGCTGCTGTGCCTTCACTGCGGGGGTGGTAGGGAGGGCTTGGGCCCCTCCAGAGAGGAGGAGAGGGGGTCCCCACACAGAGCCGCAGAGCCAGAGCCAGATCCCTTGGCCCGGCCCCCTTCTCTCCTGCATGTGCGATCCCCTCCCACTTTCTCTTGTGCAGACTTCGTTTGGCCCAGTCACAGGCCCTGTGGGCAAAAGCCAGAGTTACGTCAGTGACCCACACCCACCTGCTCTCTCTCCCTGTCCTGGCTCACACATCCTGAGACCCTCATCACAGCCTTGGTGCTTCCACCTTCAATCAGTCCATATAGCCCGGCCGTGCACTAGTGACCCGGGGTGGTCCTGACCAAGTCCATCGCCTGGATGATCCAGGCAACAGGAGTTTACTGTCTCACAGCTCCAGAAGTCTGAGGTCAAGGTGTGGGCAAGGCCAGTTCCTACCGAGACTGTGAGGCAGAATTGGTTCCTAGCCTTGGGGACAGCTCATGGGGCCCTAGCCAGAGGCCACAGGCAGGGGAGCTGCCACCAGAAGGAGGCCTTCGAGCCCCAGGCTGCCTCTGACTGCCCAGGGTTGGCCCCAGGGCCACCTAGGTGGGGCCCCAAGCCCATCCCACTTGCTAGGGAGGAACTAAGGTCTGCAGCAAAGACCTGCAACCTGCCTCCTCTGCTCCCCGCTCAATCAGAGTCCCGGGGCAGGTCCAGGGCCCAAGGCAGAAGTGTCCTGGGCCGACTGCTTCCTGCAGGTGAGCTGAGCCGCAGGGGCTACACGAGGTGGCTCGTCTGCCACACCCAGCCCTGCACGGTGACAGGGAGACTTTAGGCAGCTTACAATAGTCCCGGAAGGCTGGGGCCGTGGGAGAAGTCTCCTAGCCAGCCAGGCTTAGGCCTCGGTGGTGCCAGGGAGCCTGCCGGCCTTCCAGCCTGCTCTTGTCTCAGTCGAGGTGCGATGAGTTTTTCCCACTTCCCCATTTTTCCCAGAGCAGCTTCCTCTCTTCCCGGCAGGGGTCAGTGTGGGAGGGTTTGGCCAAGGCCATTGCTGGGAAGAGCAGGTGGGAGAAGCTGCACGTGAGCTGCACAAGACTGCAGCCAGAAGCCCACCCTGTCCATAATGAGTGACCCCGTGGGCCTGGACCCTTCCCAGCACTGGTACTCACTGGTCCCCACCACTGGGATTAGTGGAGCATTAATGGAGTGCCAGCTGCATGCTGGATATGGGGCCCTGATGTTTGTGGGCGCTCTCACATTCAGTCCTACAAAACCTTGCTGAGAAGGTGCTATGAAGATCTCCATTTTACAGATGGGAAGGCTGAGGCCCAGGAAGTTTAAATGGCCTGCTGCGCTGTCTGCTAGGCTGAGGTTTTGGAGAGACCCCCGATGGGGTGTCCCTATCCTTCTCCTTCCCAGCCCTCAGCAGCTGTTCTTCAGGGGAGGAGACGATCACCACGTGCTCCTTTTGGGTCAAGGGGATGAAGGTTTTGTTTCTCAGTAAGAATGTAAAAGCCTCTCAAAGACTCAAGATAAGCGAGTGGCAATCACTCACACCCCAGCGTGAATTAGGGAACGCTGCCTGAGTAGTTCACAGCAGACGACCAGGCAGAGCAGTGGGCATCTTCCTGGATTTCGAGGGGGTCTCTATGTAGGGGGTGCACCCTGCAAGATAGCCTAAGAGGCAGCAGGAGCAGAGCCGGCCCCAAAGGAGAAGGAACATCCACTCTCCCCCACCCACATCCTGGGACCAGGGGTGCGCGGCAGGCCTGCAGAGACAGTTTCCCGGTTCCTAAGACACCCTCTGTCCTCAGCATCCCCCACACCCCTGTCTCAGAAGGGGCCTGGTCCTGGGGCCAACATGGAAGGAGGGAAGGGGGGTAGGGAGGGCAGGGGAGGTGATGCAGGAAGGCCACATCCCTCCCCAGAGGCCCTGGACCCGGGGCTGGGGTGGAGCTGCCCCAGTGGGAGGGTCCCCTTCCTGCTGCACCTCCCTTTGATCAGGAAGGTGGAGGCCTAAATTCAGCAGGGGATGAGGGTTCCAGGAAGGATCTCATCCATCAAGGACCTCTACAGTTCTACTCTGGCCAGAAAACGCCGGAAAATGCCAGAAAGAGCTGGAAAGAGCAAAGAGACCAAGTGGGAAAAGGTGGAGGAGGCCACAGGCCTGGAGATGCCCTCCCTTCTGGTTGGCCCGGCCAAGCCCCTCTGCCCATGCAGTGTTGGGGGACGTGTCCCTGGAGAAGAGAGAAGTGGGGGCTGTGTTCCCAGACCACCATTGGTCCCTCAGTCCAGGCCTCCTATCTCACCCCAAACACACCCTCCAGCCACTTCCTCCTCTCTGGGATGTGAGTCGCATCTAGGTTCCCGGGTAGAGCTCCAGGCTGAAAATCATTAAAGCAAGGGGAAGGGAGACTCCCTGAGATTCCAGGGCAGCGACTTCCTGGGGTGGCAGACACAGGCGGGTCCCCTTACGCTGCCTCTGCCCTCAAATCCCCCCTCATGCCTGGAGCTGAAGTCCCAGTGGGTACACACTCGCAGCATTTTGTGCCAGGTGACTTATTCACACCGTAGAGAGGTTTCTGTGCATGCGTCGGGGGCTGGGGAGCCGGTGTGCCCACATCCCCTGGACTTTCTGCTTCTGAGAAAGGACGGTGGCCGATTCCAGCCGCCTGTGGCCCTGGAGGGGCTGAGCCGCCCCCCACTCCTGCTCCTTATATCGCACAGCCCTTCAGAAGTTGGAGGGATCTTCCCTTGACCCCTGTCCCCTCTGAGTGTCGGGGGCTCAGTTCCCTGGGGCCTGCTGAGCCCTGACTCAGAAAATGAGCTGAGTCGTCCATGGCCTCCCTGTCCAGTTCGGGGGTTTCTGGCAACCCCAAGGGAACCCATTCCTTCCAGGTTTCACCCTGACTACGCTTCCACACCACTGGGGAGCTGGTAGAACCCCTGAGGCCTGGACCCTGCAAGTGCCACCACCAATAAAGTAGGAATCCCAGACCTGGGAGGGAGACCCTCTCTGGGTGCCTCCTGGGAGCCTGCGGCTGGCGTTGTGCAGGGAAGGGGGCTGCTAGGCTGCTAGATTCAAGGGGCTCTATGGAGAGGAGGTGGTGCTCACAGAAGCGCCAGAGCCTGAATGACCGGGCTTGGAGGGAGGAGGGGGCAGCAGTGGCCCCAGGAGAGGCTGTCTGGGGAGCAGTGGGGTCACCCCACCGAGGCCCACCCTGCCCTCCTCTCTGCCAGGGCAGACCTGCCCACACCCACTCGCTTCAGCTCTGGCTGCTGAGCCACAGGCCTTAGCCGGGTTCCTGTGGGAGGGAAGAGACCAGGGGGAGGCAGGGGCTGGGAGGAGAAGGGAGGTGCTCTCGGGAAAGGACTCTGCCACCTGAAACTCACAAGTCTCCACCCGCATGCTCCCTACATGTATGGATGATCACCGGAGCCAGCCCCACCTGCAGTGAATGCGTTCCTGTTTACACATTGCACGTGGGTGCTCCACCAAGCAAAAGCACCCCAGCTGGGAGAAAAGGAGGATAACAAGTCCCAAGAACAAGGACATCGGGGTCCCTTCTGACCATGTCACCCCCCCAAGTCCTCTGGTCTCAGCTGGGCATGGAGTCCTGCTAAGCAACCCCACCTTCTTCAGACCCTGGCAGACAAACCCAGACTGGGGTCTATCTCCCAGGGCTTATGGCCACAGTCACCCCCACTTCCCACCCCGAGGCTTCAGGGAGGTGAGCTGAACTAGGAGGAGATCTGGGAGGGCTTCCAGGAGGAGGTGAGGACAGATCCCAGAGCTGAAGGAGGAGTAGGCTTACAAGCAGTAGAGAAGGAGCAGATGGGTTTCTGTGGAGGCCGCCAGAAACACACCTGGCTGGCGGTGGTGCCTGTCCACTGTTTTATGCTTTCTCCCTGAATATCCTTGGCTTTCGAGCCATCACGTCCTCATGTGTAGCTCCCACATCCACATCCCTCTGCTTCATTGTAGAAACCACCGATTCCCAAGTAGCTGCCCCCATTTATGAGGCCCGTTCCCCTCCTCTGTTAGAGCCACTCCTGCTGAGGACCCTTCCGGAACCTTCCATTCTCAGCTGGGCTGCCCTCTGGAGCTACATGTATTAGGCCCTTCTTGCATTGCTATAAAGAAATGCCTGAGACTGGGTAATTTATAAAAAGAAGAGATTGAATTGGCTGACGGTTCTGCAGGCTATACATGAAGCATGCTGCCAGCATCTGCTCGGCTTCTGGGGAGGCCTCAGGAAACTTACAATCGTGGCGGAAGGCAAAGGGGCAGCCAGCGCTGTATGTGGCCGGAGAAGAAGAAAGGTGGCGGGGGGGCAGTGCTGCACACTTTTTAACAACGGGGTCAGGGGAGAACTCACTATCCCAAGAACAGCACCGAAGTGGGGAATCCACCCCCGTGATCCAATCACCTTCCACCAGGCTTCACCTCCAGCATTGGGGATTACAATTCTACATGAGATTTGGGTGGGGACACAGATGCAGACCACATCACTACGGTTTTTTGGTTGAATAAGCTAAGACTCAAGTGAACCTTTGTTGAAAATGCTAATTCCCTGGTCCCCTCCAGACACTGGGGAGTCTCCACTGGGACCCTGGCGTCTGCCTTCACTGGCTCTGTGCTGTGGGCCCTTGGATCCTTGTCACCGGAACCCCCGTTAGAGCATATCTGGCACCAGATCACACCCTCTGCCATCTCACAAGTATGTCCTGAGGGCTACTGACCAAAGGCACCACCCCGCCACTAAGTACGTTTTTTTTTCGAGACGGCGTCTCCTCTGTCACCCAGGCTGGAGTGCAGTGGTGCTATCTCAGCTCACTGCACCCTCTGCCTCCCAGGTTCAAGCAACTATCCTGCCTCAGCCTCCCGAGTAGCTGGGACTACAGGCGCACGCCACCAAGCCTGGCTAAAATTTTTTGTATTTTTAGTAGAGACGGGGTTTTCACCGTGTTAGCCACGATGGTCTCGATCTCCTGACTTTGTGATCCGCCCACCTCAGCCTCCCAAAGTGCTGGGATTACAGGCGTGAGCCACCGCGCCCGGCCTGAGTACAAATATTTTATATTTTAATAGAGCCCAGGCCTCTTCACGCTTTCCCTAGGGCAGGAATTGGCCTTGGCCATCCTGTGAAAATTCACCAAAGCAACACTACTGTGAATATGGAGCTGAAAACAGGGGAGGAGACCCCAAACCTGCGAGTTCATCCAGCCCCGCCCTCTCTCTATCTTTTCACCACTACAGTCACAGTTGGTGACCACTGATGTGGCGGGGGAGCTAATCTTCTGTGGGATTTGCCTGTGATTTTATAAAATCATCATCTACTCAGAAAGTTGCATTTTGCTACAAATTTCCCCCTACTTAATGCTACCATCTACTTCTAGGTCAGCTGCATCTTACAAACATCCCAATCTGACGGCTTTAAAGTCTATGAATCCATTTTCAGCCAAGTTTATTTTCACTCATAAAAAAATCTTCAAAGGAGAAACTTCGTGCTGCGGACTGAATGTGGCCCCAAAGCTCATGTGTTGGAAGCATAATCCCCAGTGCGACAGTGCTGGGAGTCGGGGCCTCTTGAGAGGTGTTTAGCTCCTGGGCTCTGCCCCATGAATAGGTTAATGCCACTGCAAAGGGTTTGTCCCCCTTCTGCCCTCCCCTCCCTTCCACCCCGTGAGGACACAGCACTCCTGCACCTCAGAAGTCACAGCAGCAAGGCACCATTTTGGAAGCAAAGATGGGGGCCCTCACCAGACAGCAAACCTGCTGGAGCCTTCATCTTGGACATCCCAGCCTCCAGAACTGCAAGAAAATACATTTCTGTCTATAAATTACCCAGTCTCAGATATTCTGTTAGAGCAGCACAAAATGGACTAAAACACTCCCCCTATACACCTTCCTAATCGAATCTTAGAGTTGGAAGGATGCAGAAGTCACCCCCTGGCTTCCCACCCAACTGTGGTCTCCCTGAGTGGATGTGGCCCAGAGATGCCTTGGTTCACCCACACAGACTCCAAGAGCCGACGGTGGAATCTTTCCCACTGAGCCTGGTTGTAATCTCTGAATCCTCAAGAGAACACTCCAGGCCCAGTTCTGCTCCACGGAGCCCTCAAAACGGGGCAGCAAGCTCTCCATTTCCTTCATATTCCCCCACAAGACCCGATGAAGTGGTCTGTCATCAGCCAGCCTGCCCTATTCTAGGTTCACCCCTATTTATTTGTGTCTTTGCACCCATTGCTGATCCACAAGCTCAGGTGTGATTTGATCAGGTTACAACACATTGGGATTATCACCTCCTATGATATGCACGCTATATCTCTGTTAATGTGACCAAAGAGTGAAATTTTATATATGTGTGTACACACACACACACGTGCACATGTGCGCACACATCTGCACCCCACGCCCCAATCACCAATTAATGAGACTCACCTTTGGACGTTATTTGTATTTACAGTTGAGGAGCTCACAGCCACCAGTGCTTTGGACATTATCTGTATTTACAGTTTAGCAGCCTACAGCCACCAGCACTCAGGCTTCTCACCTGTCTCCTTCATGAGGCTCACATTCACACAGGGTTGGCAGTCCTTGTGTCCAGGGAGGGCACCCCACAGACAAGCCTGGAATTGAGCCCCTCATCTGCCATTTGGGGCCGTAGACCTCAGGCACGTCACTGCACCTCTCCAAGCTGCACATACTTGCCTGTAAGGGAGCAATGGCGTGGGCTGTGCTGAAGACCACATGACAGCCCCAGCAGGGTTATTCTTCCCGCCTCCCAGGCCGTATCACTCACGTGCACTCGACCACTCGTCAGCTCTCAGTGGCAGTGGGGTCCTGGGGACCAGCCAGCAGCTGGAAGGCATCTGTCTCCTCCTCCGCTGGTGGAAAGAGAGGCTCCTGAGAAAGAAAAGCGCTGGACTGCTTGTGTGCTGGGTCTCAGGACTGAGTTGGTGGGGATTTCTAAGCTGTGCAGCCACTCCCCGACCTCCACTGCCCCCACCCCCCACCCGCCTCCCTGGCCAGAGTTTGTTAGCATTTAAATGGAGTTTCAAAGCCCTCCCCACCCTCACCAAGACAAATGGCCCTGCCTGGCCAGCACTTGTCCAATGACAACACCGCAAGTCACTTACCCCCTGCCGAGAAAAAGTAGCAATAAGACTAGAGATAACAAAGGAGGCTGGCACGGTGGCTCCTACCTGTCATCCCAGCACTTTGGGAGGCCGAGGCGGTGGTGTGTGGGGAGCAGATCACTTGAGCCCAGGAGTTGAGGCCCTCCTGGGCAACATGGCGAAACCCCATCTCTACAAGAAAAAAAAATACAAAAAATTCCCTGGATGTGGTGACAGATGCCTGTAAATCATTTCAGCTACCTGGAAGGCTGAGGTGGGAGGATTGCCTAAGCCCAGGAGGTTAAGGCTGCAGTGAGCCGTGATCATGCCACTGGACTCCAGCCTGGGTGACAGAGTGAGACCCTGACTGAAATAAATAAAAACACACAAAGAAGGCCGCAGCCCTTCGAGGGACACTGCGGCAGCCTTCTCTACCTGTCAGGTCCAGCAGCTGGGAGGCATGTGATTGGCTAACCAGACTCAGGGTCCCCTGCAGCTCCCTGAAGGACCTTGCCAAGGACCACCCCTGCCAAACCTCTCCTCCTAGGGCTGACTGAGAGCCAAGCGCAGAGGCAAATTGCTTTGGGTGACCACACTCGGCCCAAATGCCACCTCCTCAGATGCCTTTCCACGTTCCTTCTCAGCAACGCACAAACCAGCCAGCACCCTGCCGGCCCCCACCCACGCATTCATACTGTCACTCTGTTATGAGCTTTTGTGAGAGATTTTTTTTTTTTTGAGATGGAGTCTCGCTCTGTGGCCCAGGCAGGAGTGCAGTGGCTCGATGTCGGCTCACTGCAACCTTCGCCTCCCGGGTTCAAGCGATTCTCCTGCCTCAGCCTCCCGAGTAGCTGGGATTACAGGCGAGTACACGCCTGGCTAATTTTTGTATTTTTAGTAGAGACGGGGTTTCACCATGTTGGCCAGGCTGATTTCCAACTCCTGACCTCAAGTGATCCACCCACCTCGGCCTCCCAAGGTGCTGGGATTACAGGCGTGAGCCACCGTGCCCAGCCCTGTGAGAGGGGCCCAAGCTGGGTCTCCTCCCATGTACCTGGAATGACGAGCACAAGCACTAATGCATGGATGGATACATGAGCGTCAAGATGTGGCAACAACAGTTAAATGCATTCCTGCACCCTGGAGACGCCCATGGGGGACTCCGTGAGCTGCAATGAGGTGCTGTGTTTTGAGCGCAGCCATCCTGACAGGAAGAGGTGGCCTCTCAGTGGGGCTTTGATTTGCTTTGATTTGCATTTTCCTAATGATTAGCAATGTCCGGCACCTTTTCGTGTCGGTTGTCCATTTGTTTATCATCTTTGGAGAAATCTCTATTCTGGTCCTTTGCCCGCTTTCAAATCTGTTTGGTTTCTGTTGGGTGGTGGCTGAATTGTAGGAGTTCTTGACATCTTCTCACACTGACCCCTTCTCAGATATGTGATCTGCAGACATTTTCTCCATTCCGCGGGTTGTCTTTTCACTCTCGATAGTGACTTTTGATACACAAAAGTTTTTAATTCTGATGATGTCCAGTTTGTCTGTTTTTTCTTTTGTTGCCTGTGCGTTGGTGTCATATCCAAGAAATCATTGCCAAATCCAATGTCACGATGCTTTTCCCCTATGTTTTCTTCTAAAAGTTTTGTGTTTTCAGCTCTTATGTTTAGGACTCGGATCCATTTTGAATTAATTTTTGTATGCAGTGTAGGATTAAGGGTCCAGCTTGGTGCTTTTCCATGTGGATTTTCAGTTTTTCCAGCACTGTTTGTTGAAAAGACTGTTATTTCCACATTGAATGGTCCCGGCACCCTTATTAAAAATCATTTGCCCGCGTATGCAAAGGTTTCTTTCTGGGCTCCTATTCTACGTGGTTGGTCTCGGTGTCTGTCTTTATGCCAGTCCCAGTGTGTTGACGACTGTAGCTTTGCACAAGCTTTTGAAATCAGGGCCTGTGAGTCCTCCAGCTTTGTCCTTTTTCAAGATTGTTTTGGCTATTTAGGTCCCATGAGATTCCATACAAATTCTAGGATAGGCTTTTCTATTTCCGCAAAAAAAAAAAAAAATCATTTGGACTTTGATAGGAATTGCATTGAACCTGTAGATCAGTTAGGGTTGTCTCAACATCTTAATGGGCAATTTCTTTTTACCCCAGACGCTTTCCACCTGCTAATCACCCATGCATGTCTAAAGGGAGAGAGGTCTCAGCAGAAAAGCAGATAAACTATTATTAAAAAGTCAAAAAAACCACAGATGCTGGCAAGGCTGCAGAGAAAAGGGAATGCTTATGTTATGCACTATTGGTGGGAGTGTAAGTTCGTTCAGCCACTGTGGAAAGCAGTTTGGAGATTTCTCTAAGAACTTAAAACAGAATGACCATTCAACCCAGCAATCCCACTCATCACTGGGCACATATCCAAAGAAAAATAAACATTCTGCCAAAAACACACCTGCACCTGCATACCCGTCACAGCAACTGTTCACGAGAGCAAAGACGTGGAAGCAACCCAGGTGCCCATCAGGGTGGATGCAAAGGAAACATGGTACACATACACCACGGAATACTACGCAGCCACAAAAAATGAAATCATGTCTGTTGCAGCAACATGGATGCAGCTGGAGGCCATTATCCTAAGCTAACTAATACGGAAACAGAAAGCCAAATATCACACGTTCTCACTTATCCATGGGAGCTAAATCTTGGGTTCACATGGACATAAATATGGGAACAACAGACACCGGTGACTCCAAAAGGAGGGAGGGTGGGAGGGGCAAGGGCTGAAAAAGTTCCTGTTGGGTGCTATGTTCACTACCTGGGTGACGGGATCAGTCATCCACCTGACCCCTGGCCTTTGTCTGCATGCACTTGTGTCTGGGAATGGGCCAGACCCCAAGCCAGAGCTGCTGCTGTCAAGAGGGCCACCCCACACTTGCTGCCAAGCTCCTCTGGCAAGGAGCACACAGAGGTGCCCTCTCTCGGGAAAGAGATGTAACTGTCAGGGGTTCTGCCAGGGGTCCTGGAGGCTCTGCCAGGTGTCCTGCTGGTGGTGTCTCGGAAGCCCTGATTTCTTGGGGCAGGAACCTGCCAGAGGCTCCTGTCAAGTTCACTTACCAAAACCTCAGCACCACACAGTATTCCCTTGTAACAAACCTGCACGTGTTCTCCTTACATCTAAGAGAAAAAATGGAAACTTGTTTTAAAAAGACAAGGAAAGGGGTTTGGGGGAAAAGGGAAAGGGGGCGGGGAGAGCATTAGGACAAATACCTAATGCATGCAGGGGCTTAAAGCCTAGATGACGGGTTGATAGGTGCAGCAAACCACCATGGCACTGTATACATATATAACAAACCTGCACGTTCAGCACGTGTATCCCAGAACTCAAAGTAAAATAAAAATAAAATAAAATAAAATCAGAATGTGTTTCCCAAAAAATAAGAACCCTCTCTTTCACAATAAATACAGTTGGGAAGTATTAAAAAAAAATGAAAGAAAGGAAAAGAGAACGACTATCCCCAAATCTCAGTGATTGAACCCAAAAGTTTATTTCTAACTCACACTGCATGTCTATTGAGGTTTTTGGAAGACTCTGCTAGTCACTCAGAGGCCATGTTGAGGAAGGTTCTACCAACCAACTTTTAGCCATGTTATTTAGACCATGAGGCCTTCTCTGTCACTATGGTAGGGGAAGGGAGAGACTGGAGAATCACTTTGGGCTAGTTTACCATCAGCTCCCCATTTGATACAGCATCATTACTGCTATGGGTAGAATGTGTGTCCCTGCAACATTTGTAGGTTGGAAGCCTCCCCCGGAACGTGATGCTATTTGGAAGCGAGGCCTATGGGAGTGAATTACATCTAGGTGAAGCCGTGAGGGAGGGGTCCTCCCCCATAAGTGTCCTTATGAGAAGGGACACCAGAGAGCCAGCTTTCTCTCTGCTTCTGCCAGGTGAGGATACAGCAAAATGGTGACCATCTGCAGACCAGCAACCACGCTCTCATCAGACACCAAACCTGCTTGTACCTTGACATGGTTTGGATTTGTGGCCCTGCCCAAATCTTATGTGGAACTGTAATCCCCAATGTTGGAGGAGGAGGAGGCTGGGGGGAGGTGATTGGACCGCGGGGGTGGACTTCCCGCTTGCTGTTCTCGTGATAGTGATGAGTACTCATGAGACCTGGTTGTTTAAAAGTGTGTAGCTCCTCCCTCTGGCCTCTCTTCCTCCTGCTCCAGCCATGTAAGACTTGCCTCCTTCCCCTTCGCCTTCCGCCACGATTGTAAGTTTCCTGAGGCCTCCCAGCCATGCTTCCTGTACAGCCTGCGGAACGGTGAGTCAATCAAACCTCTTTTCTTTTATAAATTACCCAGTCTCAGGTAGTTCTTTATAGCAATGTGAGAACAGACGAGTACACACCTTAATCTTGGACTTTCCAGCCTCCAGAATTGTGAAAGACAAATACTTGTTGTTTAAGTCACTCAAAAAAAAGCAGATCAACCACTTTATTTTAAATCTAAGAAATAGGTCTCCCTCTGTCACCCAGGCTGGAGTGCACTGGTGCAATCATAGCTTACTGCAGCCTCAAATTCCTGGACTAAAGCAATCCTCCTGTCTCTGCCTCCAAAGTAGCTGGGACTAGAGGCATGCACCAGTACATCCAGCTAATTTTTTTTTATTTTATTGTACAGATGAGGTCTCACTATGTTGCCCAGGTTGGTCTCTAGTTGTAGGGACTACAGGTGTGAGCCACCAATCCCAACCCCAGATAAACCACTTTTTTTTTTTTTCTGAGATGGAGTCTTCCTCTGTCGCCCAGGCTGGAGTGCAGTGGTGCAATCTTGGCTCACTGCAACCTCTGCCTCCCAGGTTCAAGCAATTCTCAAGCCTCAGCCTCCTGAGTAGCTGGGATTACAAGCATGCACCACCTTGCCCAACTAATTTTTGTATTTTTAATAGAGACAGGGTTTCACCATGTTGACCAGGCTGGTCTCAAACTCCCGGCCTCAAGCAATTCACCCACCTCGGCCTCCCAAAGTGCTGGGATAACAGGCATGAGCCACCGTACCTGGCCAGATAAACCACTTTTAAGAGTCTAGATCTGCACTGTCCATAGTGTAGCCACTGGCCACACAGGGCTACTTAAACTGACAACATTAATTAAAACTCGGTTCCTTGGTGGCACCAGCCCCATTTTAAGAGCTAAAGAGCTGTGTGCAGCTGGTTCCTCCTACAGCGAGCCAGGCAGCTTGAGGGACACTGTCATCGCTTCAGAAAGTTCTATTGGTTGGAGCCGTTCTTGACCTTGTTTGGGTTGCAAGAGGCCAGAATTGGAAAAGTAATCCCAAATGCTTATAGGTTCTGAATGGGCTAAGATTTTCCACAAAATAGGTCCTTGAATAGAAATGAAGAGAACCATGGTGAGTTGTTGGGAGGTGGAGTTACAATTCTGTCCCACAGAGGGTGTGGACTTTGAAGAGGACGTGGTGTCCACTAGGAAGGAAGAAGGACGGGGATGGGCACTGGGCAAGGCCTTCTCTGGAGTCCACCTCCCATCCTGAGGAGGTCAAGGCAAGGACCAGAAGCTGCAGGCCCGGCCTGGCCCGGCCGTGGTGCAGCTGGGGTGGGACACAGAGTTTCCAAGGTAGGAAATAATTACCCCTTCCCTCACTCTGTCCTCGCTAAACTGCTCTTGCCAGCCTACCCTTGTCTCCACCCTTGGCAAGTGCAAGAGTGGGGGCCCCTTTACTCCCTGGCCAGAGAGCTTGGCACCAGGAGAGGGTCAGAGAGGGTGGTTTGGATGTGGTCTGTCTCCACCAAAACTCGTCTTGAAATTGGGTCCCCAGTGTGGCAGTGATAGGAGAAGGGCCTAGTGGAAAGCGTTTGGGATATGGGGGCAGACCCCTCATGAATGGATTAACCCCTCCCAAGGGAGAGAGTGAGTTCTTCAGGAAATGATTCATTCCCTGGAGAGTAGGTTCTTAAAGAGTCTAGTTGTAATCCCAGGATTTCAGGAGGCTGAGGTGGGAGGATCACTTGAGGCCAGGAGTTCCAGACCAGACCAGTGTAAGCAACACAGCAAGACTCCATCTCAAAAAAAAAAACACTTTTTTTAAATTAGCCAGGTGTGGTGGCCACACCTGTGGTCCCAGTGACTGAGGAGGTTGAGGCAGGAGGACCACTTGAGCCCAGGAAGTCAAAGCTGCAGTGAGCTATGACAGTGCCACTGTACTCCCGCCTGGGCAACAGAGTGAGACCCTATTTCTAAAAATAATAATTTAAAAGTAAAAAAAAAAAAAGAGGGAGTCTGGCACTCTTGCTTTCTCTCACCACGTGGCCTCCTTGCCCATGCCTGCCCCTTTCCATTTTGCACCATGAGTGGAAGCTGCTGAGGCCCTCACCAGACACAGTTGCCCAATCTTGATCATCCCAGCCACCAGAACCATGAGCCAACCTCTTTTCTCTATAAATTACCCAGCCTAAGGTATTCTGTAATAGCAACACAGAAAGGACTATGACAGAGGGTGACTGTCCCCTGCCCCGCCATAGCCAAGGCTTGTAGCACTGCTCCACAGCCCTGCAGAGCCACTGTGTGCCCCTTCATCTTTGGCCAGAGTACGAGGTGGAGCAGCTGGGCTCTGCTGCTGTCCTATCACAGGACACACCCGGCACCCAACAGCTCAGGAGACCAATGACTGGGCAGGACCTGACCCCTGGCCTTTGTCTGCATGCACTTGTGTCTGGGAATGGGCCAGACCCCAAGGCAGAGCTGCTGCTGTCTAGGAGGGCCACCCCACACTTGCTGCCAAGCTCCTCTGGCAAGGAGCACACAGAGGTGCCTCTCAGCCCTGCGGTGACAGACCCACCCTCACCCAGCTCAGGACAAGGCTGTGGTCATTTTCCAACCGGACACTCACTCAAGGTTCCACATTTGCTTTCAGGGATTTTGAAGTGGCTGCACCCTGGCCTGGCCTGTAGAGGCCCTCGGGCAGTCCTCCCCTGCCAGCATCGATGGCGCCCTGGGGCTGCTCTGCTACCCTCCACAGATGACCAATATCTGTGGGGCCCCCACCTCATGACCCAGAAAGCACACCTTCAGAGAGCTTGGGGCCCCCAGCACAGCCCTGGTGACGAGACCCCAGCATGTCAGGACCAGAAGTGTCTCTGGAAACAGCCACCTCTGGAACCTCTGGAGTGTTTTCAATGCCTGCTGCTTTCTTTTCCCCCCCCACATATAAGTAATAAGCAACGATTCGAAAGCAAGCAAATGTGGTTTGTGCATTAGACAGGATTTGAGCATGAGCCGCGCTCGGGCCTGGATCCTTTTTTCGCCATTCCATTCATATGCCTTTTTTGAGGGGGCCTGGATCCTTTTTTCAGCATTCCATTCATATGCCTTTTTTGAGGTATAGTTGTATTTGGTGTCAATCATAATCCTCAAAGACACAATCCTGAACTGCATAATCCACAATACTGAAATCCCTAAACCTAAAATCCCTCACGTCAGATTAAAATCTGAATGCCAAAATCCTGAAAGCTGAGTCCTGGGGAAAGGATTGGTGCCTGTCTGTCTGTCTGTGGTGCCTGTCTGTGACAGTTGCACCGTGTTGGGCGGAACTACGACCTTGTTAAGTCTTTATTTGGAAGTTAAGTATGATCTAAAGAGATGAGTGTGGGTGCCAAGTGGCAAGAGGTAGACCTGTGTGGACCTAATTTCAGGTATCAACTTGACTGGGCTGAGAGGTACCCAGAAACCTGGTAAAACAGTAGTTTAGTTGTATCTGTGAGGGTGTTTCCAGAGGAGACGGAAACATTCTCAGCTAAGCAGCATCTAAATGCACTTGCTTAATCACAAAACTTGAGAATAGCAGGAATGAACGTCTGCCCTGACAAATCTTTTGTGCTGGCATCATACAAGCGTGTTTCCATCCTGTTATTAGATATCATCCTTATTTTAGAGTTGATAATACTTCACTCACTCATGTGTGAGCCTGAGTGGACTCGGGGGAAGATCAGCCCTCGGTGTTGGCAAGCACCATCCAATCAACCAGGGCCTAGAAAGAATAAATACAGAGGCAGAAAGCAAACCAGTCTTTCTCTGAGAGCTGGGACAGACTCTTCTTCTGCTGCCTTGGACATGAGAAATCCAGGGTTGCCAGCCTTTGGACCCCAGGACATACATCAGCAGCCCCCTTGGGTCCTGAGGCTTTTGTGGACTCAGAGTTAGAGACCACTGGACCACCGGCGTCTCTGGTTCTGAGGCCTTTGGACTTGGACTGAGCCTTGCCCCTGGCATTGTGGGATCTCCAGCTTGCCTGTCATGGGACTTCCCAACCACCATAATCACGTGAGCCCATTCTCCAGGGAAATCCCTGCTCTTATATCTGTATACACATCTTATCAGTTCTGTCTCGCCGGAGAAGCCTAATATAGATCTGGTATTGGGGAAGTCAAATACTCCTTCTTACTGTGTTTCTCACAACATAATGGAACAGGGCTGTGAAAGTGATCCCTTGCAAAAAGGCTGTGATAAGTTAAGTGTACAAGGCTACTTAATGGTGGAAGATATACGATTTAAAGCTAATTATTATTAAGGCTGTGAAAGCAGAAATCGCTTAAGTGCAGCTGCTGATCAATAACCAGACTTGCAAATGGACAGCAAAGACACAGTTTGTAGACCACAACCACTCTCCAAGTGCAACAAGTGTTTCAAAGATCACAGAAGAAGTGAAAATGCAGGTGAAAAATTTAGGAAGTCTCTTCCACCAAAGTATTCAATCATGTACAATTTCCGCCCCTTCACACGTAGTGCCAATTTGTTATGCTGTATTTCATCTTCATATCATTTCCAACACTGGAGGCATAAATTATGTTAAGGTGTGATATGGTTTGGCTGTGTCCCCACCCAAATCTCACCTTGAATTGTATCTCCCAGAATTCCCTCGTGTTGTGGGCGGGACTCAGGGGGAGGTAACTGAATCATGAGGACCGGTCTTTCCGGTGCTATTCTCATGATAGTGAATAAGTCTCACAAGATCTGATGGGTTTATCAGGGGTTTCCACTTTTGCTTCCTCCTCATTTTTTCTCTTGCCGCTGCCATGTAAGAAGTGCCTTTTGCCTCCCACCATGACTCTGTGGCCTCCCCAGCCATGTGGAACTGTAAGTCCAATTAAACCTCTTTTTCTTCCCAGTCTCAGGTATGTTTTTATCAGCAGTGAAAAAGAACTAATACAGACTGTTAGAACCTTCTAATTTATTTTATGCATTTTTTTGTAAATTTGGCTCCATGAAAGTGCATTATCGCACTGTTGACTTTGTGTGTAAGCATTGTGTGTATGCGTAAAAACATTCAGACTTCCTCACTGAATGAAGAGATGTCATTTTTTAAATATCTGCACTTGTGAAAGATAAAATTTCCAAAGATCTCAACATTTTGGGCAACTGCCTATACAGTGTTGACCTTTCTCAGCTTCCAACTGATCCCTTCAAAAGACTTAGGGTGTCTCTCATGGTACTTCAGATGGCTGCAGGTGTGAAGCTGTACATAATTACCAACCATAGTTCTATGCAATTATACGTTTCCCTTTTTGACATACCTTTCTTTTTAAGAAACAGGGTCTCACTCTGTCACCCAGGCTGGAGTGCAGTGGCACAATCTCAGCTCACTGCAACCTCTGCCTTCCTGGCTCAAGTGATTCTCCCACCTCAGCCTCCCAAGTAACTGGGACTACTGGTGCATGCCAACATACCTGGCTAATTTTTTTTGTATTTTTAGTAGAGACGGGGTTTCACCATGGTGGCCAGTCTGGTCTCGAACTCCTGACCTTGGGTGATCTGCCCACCTTGGCCGCTCAAAGTGCTGGAATTACAGGCGTGAGTCACCAATCCCAGCCTTTGACATATTTCTTTATGAATATGGTTTGTCTGCTTAAACTGTTGTTATTAGTACATCTGAGGGTTTATATTTGCAAAAATATGCATGTTACTATTCCCTATTTTATTGTGCAAAGTGGCCTATGAAAGTTCTGATGTGTTTTTATGTTTCTCAAATAAATTCCCTTTAAAAATGTAAATATAGGCCAGAAGTGGTGGCTCACACCTGTAATCCCAGCACTTTGGGAGGGTGGATCACTTGAGGTCAGGAGCTCGAGCCCAGCCTGGCCAACATGATGAAACCCTGTCACTACTAAAAATACAAAAATTATCCAGGTGTGGTTGTTCACAGCTGTAATCTCAGCTATTCAGGAGGCTGAGGCACGAGAATCACTTGAACCCAGGAGGCAGAGGTTGTGGCGAGCCGAGATCGTGCCACCGCACTCCAGCCTGGGCGACAGCGTGGGACTGTCTCAAAAAACAAACACCAACCAAACAAATGTAAACATATGTATTTAAAATATATTTTTTAATTATTTTTTCCTGAATTATATTTTGGGAATTTTGATCTTTCAGGATTCCAACACTTGGAGTTACAGTGTTTGGGATTGTGCCTTTAGGGGTAGTGGCCCAAACCCAATTATATTCTGTAAAATTCACTCTCCTTCATGTATAGCTGTGTCAGTTTCAACAAATGCATCCAGTTGTGTAACTGCCACCACAATCAAGAGGCAGAACATTTCCAACACTCCAAAGACTGTCTGGGTGTTTCTTTGTGGTCAACCCACCTCCCCCTACCACCTCCAGCTCCTGGTCAAACAACCTATCTGTTTTCTATTCCTACATTTTTGCCTCTTCTGGAATGTCTTATGAGACCTATGGTATGCAGACATTTGTCTGGCTTCTTTCATTTAGCAGGATGTGTTTGAGATTCATCCATGCTATTATGGGTAGTTGGTTCCTCTGATTGCGAAATAGTTTTTCATTGAACCACATTTTGTTTATCCACTCACGTTGAAAGGTGTTTGGCTTGTTTCATTCTTGGGCACTTATGAATTAAGCCACCATGAACATTTACATGCATTTTTTATGGATATATATTTTCATTTAACTTAAAATGCCCAGGAGCAGAATGGCTAGGTCCATGATCAGTGTGTGCTCTCCTTTACCAAAAACTGCTGAACTGTCTCCCACAGTGGCCGTACCATCTTGAATTCTCACCAGCAGTCTTTGAGGCTCCACATCCTCACCAATACGTGGCACTTATTATACTCCAGCCATTCTAGTGGGTGCATAGTGCTCTCTCATTGTGGTTTCAGCTGCAATTTTCCAATGACTAATGGTGTCAAGTGTCATTTTGTGTGCTTATTTGCCACATGAATATCTTCTTTGGAGAAGTGATTGTCCAAATCTCTGGCCCATTTTTAAATTTCTTATTGAGTTTTGAGAGTCCTTCCTATATCCTGGATATCAGATATACATTTTGCAAAGATTTTTCTCCCAGTGTGTGCCTTGTCTTTTCATTCTCCTAACAGTGTCTTTCAAAGAAGAGAAGTTTTTAATTTTCATGAAGTCTAATTTATCATTTTATTCTGGTATGGATTATGGTGTTATATGACTTTTGGTGTTCTAAGAGTCCATTCCCTAATCCAAGGTCACAAAGATTTTCTCCTATGTATTTTTCTAGAAGTTTTAGTTTTAGGTTTTACATTTAGGTCTATAATCCATTTTGAGATAATTTTTAGGGCACAAGGTATAGGTCAAGGTTTATTTGTTTATTTGTTTGTTTGTTTGCATAAGGTCACCAATTGTTAACATTTGTTCAAAAGACTATCCTTTCTCCATTGCCTTTTGTATCTTTGTAAAAATTCCACGGACCATATATTTTTGGACTCTCTGCTCTGATCCATCAATCTATGTGTGGGTTCTTTTGCCGATACCAACACTGCACTGTCTTGATTACTGCCATTCTATGGTAACTATTGAAATCAATTAGTATATAAGTCTTCTAACTTTTTTTTCAAAATTATTCTGTCTATTCTAGCTACTTGTCTTTCCATATACATTTTAGAATAAACTTGTCAGTTTCTACCCAAAAATTCCTGCTGGAATTTTGATTGGGATTGCATTGAACCTTTTAAGCAGTGCAAGGGGCAAATGAACATCTTAAAAATATTGAGCATGCCAACTCATGCATGTTATATAGCTCTATAGCTCCAAGCTAGTCCATAGAAATTGGCCTCCAATTGATCTTTGTACATTGACCTTGTATCCTAAGACCTTTTTCAACTCACTTACTAGTTCTAGTAGCTTTTTCATTTGTTCTTTAGGATGTTTTACATAGATAATTATGTTGTTTGCAAACAAAGACCATTTTATGTCTACCTTCCCAATCTGTATATCTTTTATGTCCATTTCTTGCCCTATTGAACTATCTAGGAGTTCCAGTATTCTGTTGAATAGAAATGGTGAGAGTGGACATCTTGCTTTGTTTCCAGTTTAAGGGGGAAAGTATTTCATGTTTCACAACTAAGTACGATGTTAGCCATAGGTTTTTCATAGATGCCTTTTATTATGAAGAGGAAGTTATTGTCTAATACTAATTTTCCAATAGCTGTTATCATGGATGGATAAATTTTGGATGGATTAAATTTTGTCAGATGTTTTTCCTGCAACTATCAAGATGGTTATATGTTTTTTCTTTTTTGGTCTGTTGCTATGGTAAATACATTGCTTGATTTCCAAATGTTGAACCAGCCTTGCATTCCTGTGATAAATCCCACTTGTTCATGATATATTATCCTTTTAATATATTGCTGGATTTGATTTGCAAATAGTTCATTGAAGATTTTTGCATCTGTGTTCATGAGGGTTCATGGTCTATAGTTCCACATTTGCTTTTGCAGCACCTACCCTGAACAAGGCACAAGGGAGACCCACTGGGGAGAAGAATATACATTCTGACCTCAAGGAGCTTGTATCTGACCACATTGCAAAAGAAGATGTTTTTCAAAATAGAAAGTGTGATTCCCATCTGTTACCTCACTGGAGTCTCAATACTCCCTTTAGAGCTGGGAGGCATATTACCATCTAGGCATAAGGGGGAAACTGAGGCATCAAGAGATTAAAACCATCTAGCTAGTGGCAGAGCCAGCCAGAACCCTAACTGCTCTCCCAGGCCCTGCTGCCTTCACTGCCTTTGACTGGAAACCTTCTCTCTCCATCCCTAAGGTCACATGCTTGGGTCAGCTTTGGTTACTTCAAGACGTACCTGAATATGTCCACTTCTCCTGACCTCCCATTCAAGCACCCCAAAACAACCCTGAACAACACTGACTCTGTTTACAAGACTTCCTGTCTCCATTCTGTCTGTATAGCAACAATAAAGACCATCACATTCCCTCCTCAGAACCCCCTAAATGGCTTCCATCACAATCAAAATAAAATCAAACTCCACATGGGGCACAGGAAGCCAGGTGTGATGACCCCTGCAGCCTCCCTGACCTACTTCCTGCCCTTCTCCCTCCCCCTGGCCACACTGGCCTCTGGCCACTATGTGAACATACCAAACTCCTGGCTTCCTGGTGCCTGGGTGCCTGCTATTTCCTCTGCCTGGGACACACTGAACCCCGAGGTGCTGTGGCTCACCCACTCCCTTGCTTCATGAGGGTTTCTGCCCAAATGTCCTTTCCCGAGAAAAAGTCCTCCCTGGCCCCCTCTCCAAGCCCACTCAACACTCCATGCCTCCTCCTACCTCCTGCCCTGGATTGGCTTTCCTTCATAACATCGCTGGGGCTGTGTTCATGCACTCATTTTCTGTCTTTCTCATAAAAGTTTGTGAGCAACATGCAGGCAGGACTCCTGTTTGTCCCCTTCACAGCCATGTTCCCATGCCTAGACACTATCTAGCACCCAATAGGTACTCCAAAAATATGTGATTAGGGAGAGTGAGCATCATGGGCCTGCTGCAAGCATCCCCAGCCCAAGGAACAGAGCAGAGCTGAGAGGTGGGAGGAGGCCTCACTGTCACTAGCCTGCACTCCACCCTGCCACACCCCCCTCTGCTGTCTTCCACAGGCCTGGCCACCTCCCCCATGCAAGTCTTACAGCTGGGGCCACTGTGACAACAGGGGTGAGCATTCACCCAGTGCCACAGTGTGCCAGGCCTGGGGGATGATGCTTTTCACATGGGACTCTCCCACCCCAAGATGGGTTTAATTTTAATGCCTGTTTTACATGATCAAGAGGATTAGGATAATGTTGACATGCACATAGCCAGTGCCTGGTCCTTAGCAGATATTCAGTAATAGCAAACTATTAGCATTAGCAATATTCCCAACTAGCAAGTAACAAATAGAAGCAAACCAAGCTTGAGTTACATCCCAGGATTAGAGAGAACAGAGACAAACAGATTGGTATTCAGAGACTGCTCCACCAAGCAATTTAACTTTTATAAGCTTCAGTCTCCTCACCTGTAAAAATGGACAATACTACCTGCCTGGTAGAGTTCTATGGTGATTAGAGAAAATGACTTATAAAGACCTGACACAGTGTCTGGCACACAGCCCAAGCTCAGCCAAAGGGAGGCAGTAATGGTGAGAATAGTCATGATAATGGTGGTGGCAATGATGGAAATGGTGGTGGCATTGTGGTAATGCTGGTGATGGTGATGGTAATGCTGATGAAGGACGTGATGATGATGATGACAGAGATGATTATGATGATGATGGTGATGATAGTGATGATGATGGTGATGGCGATTATGATGGTGATGGTGATAAAAACAATGATGGTTGATGATGATGGTGGTGGTGATGACAGTGATGATGGTGATGTGATGATGATGGTGATGATGATAATGATGATGATGAAGGTGGTGATGGTGCTTATGATGGTGATGAAAGCAATGATGGTTGATGATGGTGATGATGATAGTGATGGTGAGGATGGTGATGATGATGGTGGTGGTGGTGATGGTGATTATGATGATGATGAAAGCAATGATGGCTGGCGATGATGGTGATGGTGATTATGATGGTGATAGTGATGATGGTGACGATGATGAAGGTGGTGATGGTGATCATGATGGTGATGGTGATGAAAGCAATGATGGTTGATGATGGTGATGATGATGTGGTGGTGATGATGATGGTGATGGTGAGGATAGTGATGATGATGATGATGGTGGTGGTGATGGTGATTATGATGATGATAAAGCAATGGTCGTTCATGGTGATGATGGTGGTGGTGGTGATAACAATGGTGATGGTGATGGTGGAGACAGTGATGATGATGATGATGGTGGTGGTGATGGTGATTATGATGATGATGAAAGCAATGATGGTTGATGACGATGATGATGGTGATGGTGATTATGATGGTGATGGTGATGATGGTGATGATGATGAAGGTGGTGATGGTGATGATGATGAAAGTGGTGATGGTGATCATGATGGTGATGGTGATGAAAGCAATGATGGTTGATGATGGTGGTGATGATGGTGATGGTGCAGATTGTGACGATGATGATGATGATGGTGGTGGTGGTGACAGTGATTATGATGATGAAAGCTATGATGGTTGATGATGGTAATGATGGTGGTGGTGGTGATAATGATGGTGGTGGTTGAGGTGACAATGGCAGTAGAGGAATAGGTGAGGATGGCAAAGACTAGATTCACACCCAGCTCTGACCCCAAAGCCCAACACCTCTTCAGCACACCATACTGGAATCCCTAGTCTGCCTTCCAGCATCCTCTGCATCCATGGTTTGCAAGCCTTTTGGTCTTAGGGTCCTTTGTAGTCTTGAAAAATTACTGAGAACCACAAAGAACATTTGTTTCTATAGGTTATGTCTATAAGTATTCACCAAATGTTTTAAAATCTGCATTTAATTATTCATTTAAAAAGTAACTATTATAAACCCATTGCATTGTTAATGTAAATAACACATTATTTATGAGAACCAACCATATTCTACAAAACAAAAATATTTTGTGAAAAGAGTGGCATTGTTGTACATTTTTGTGAGTCTCCTTAATGCCTGGCTTAACAGATGCTAGCTGAGTCTTTGCATCTGCTTCTGTATTCTCTCCATTGCAATATCACACATAGGCAGCCTCCAGAAAACGCCACTGTAAGTTGTAAGAGAATAAGGGTGGAAAGGGCAAATAGCATCCTAGTATTACAATGTAAATAACGTTGACCTCTTGGACTCCTGAAAGGGTCTCAAGGACCCCCAGAAGCTGTCTGTCCACGTGGGAGACTCCAGGCACGCACTCAGAATCACTGCTCCTCTTAAATGAGTAGTCATTAGCCGGGCGCGGTGGCTCACGTCTCTAATCCCAGCACTTTGGGAGGCCGAGGTGGGCAGATCACCTGAGGTCAGGAGTTTGAGACCAGCCTGGCCAACATGGTGAAACCCTGTCTCTACTAAAAATACAAAAATTAGCCGGGTGTGGTGGTGGGCGCCTGTAGTCCCAGGTACTCGGGAGGCTGAGGCAGGAGAATCGCTTGAACCCGGGAGGCGGAGGTTGCAGTGAGCCGAGATCACACCACTGCACTCCAGCCTGGGCGACAGAGAGAGACTCTGTCTCAAAAAAAATAAAATAAAATAAGTAGCCATCTCCAGCTGTGGGCTGTTTCGTTGTTCCTGCAGGGGTGACAGGAGAGCCCCAGGTTATGCATGCCCCAATACTGGCTTGTCCTGAGTCCTGGGTGACTCTGCCTCTGCGTCTTGGTCATCTTTAGGGCCTTTCCATCTGCCTCTCAGTATGCAAGTTACACCTGCCAATCAACCCCAGTTCCATAAGAAAGTGACTTCTCAGTGGTGGCCCTGTAAGTAGAAGCAGCGTCTGCAGCATCTGGGACTCCCCTCCCACCCCACAGACCTGGCCATGCGATTCTGCAGTCTTGGGTTTCTGTATCCTGAGAGGAAAAGGTGGCATGTCTCCTGGGCATCACAGGCTGGCCACTAAGCCTGCAGATTCCCTCAGTCAGATCCTGCCTTGGGACAGTCGTTTCCTTTCCGCACCCACTCACTGTGTGTTACCAGGAAGCAGCCCCAGGCCCTCCCCAACAGGTGGAAGACAGACGTGCCAGATTCCCCATGATCCTCCCAAGGGCAGTTTGAAGATCCCTGGAGGGAAGCCAGCCTTCCACCCCAATGTGCATTTGCCAAAATCCTGCCCCTCGGTGAATCCAGTTGTTCCTGGCTGGAAATCCCAAGCCAAAAGGGCAGCTTCTAGCAAAAGCGTAGACCCTCCACTGCTCCCGGGAGGTGCTGACCGCCCCATTCAACCCTCTCCATTAGTAGGGGCCAGGAACCGCCTCCAGCTTGACGCACAGAGCCAGGATCTGCTCCATCAAGGCTTCCAGGCCCTGAGGCTGTGCACTCAACAGAGACCCAGAACACAAGTATTTAGGACAGTTAAGAAGTTCCACCGGCTCACCAAAACCAATGGCATTCAACGGGAAAATCAGTACAACACTGCCAAGGGTTCCTTGTGGGAGGTCAAACCCCCAGTACCTGTGAATGTACACTATTGGAAATAGGGTCTTTGCAGATGTAATCAAATGCAAGATTTTCAGATGAAATTATCCTGGATTACCCTAGTGGGCCCTAAATCCTATGACTGGTGCCCTTATAAAATAAAGGAGATGGAGATTTGAGACACAGACACAGAAAGGGAAGAACGCCGTGGCTGAGGATGGAGGCAGAGATTGGAGGGACTCATCTCCAAGCCAAGGAGTGCCAAGGATTGCTGGCCACCAGAAACTGGGGAGAAGCAGGGAAGGACCCTCCCCCAGAGCCTCCAGAAGGAACCCAGCTGCTGAGACCTTGATTTCAGGCTTCCAGCCCCCAGAACTGTGGGGGAACCAATTCCTGTTGTTTCAAGCCCTCCGGCGTGTGGTAGCTTTTTGTTCTGGCGGTTCCGGGAAACGAGCACACCTGTTTACAGTTGGTCTGTTGGTTGAGGAGAAACAGCGGGGTTTCATGTGGTCATCACATCCTCCAGGGCCACTGCGTGTCTTCGAGCACCAGCATTCTGAAGTCAGGGATGGGGTCTTCCTCATGGGCTGTCAGCGACTTACTAGGAAGGCTCAAGGTCTCATTAACTTAGAGCCAGATCTGGATGAGGTGACCCTGTGTACTTCTGGCTTACAGCAGGTGCTGTTAGTTCTTCCTGAGGGGCACACGCACCCAGGATGCAGAGGGCAGGTCTCAGCTTTGCTTCAGCCCTCTCCACCTCGTCTGTGCCCCAGGAGGGCCCTGCTTTCCTGCAGCAAGTCCTCAGCCCCAAGCCAACGTGGAGGTTCAGGACCCAGCTCTGATCTCAGGAGTCACTGCCAGGGAGCATCGTCTGAGTGAGCAGGCTCCGGGAGGCTGCCCCTCCACCTGCGGGGTCTGCAGCCTCCCAAGTGGACACACCGGGCTTCCTGGGTGAGAACTCGGACACGATGTGCCTCCCTTTGAGATGTGTCTGTTCCGGGTGCCCCTTGATCTGCTCCTTCAGGTACCAGCACCGAGGAGACCCCACCCCCAGGTCCCTGCGGCCTTGCCCAGGGTTCTCTCCATACCCACAGCTGCCCAACATGCTGTGGCTCCTCCCTGGGCGGGGAGGATCACTGCCTCCCTCCTCAGAGCGGGGACAGGAGCTTCCCCCCGAGCCCCAAGCAGGAGCCTGGGCCGCTTGTGAACTGCCTCCTCCCAACCTCCCTCCTTGCCTCCAGCACCACCATGGGGCAGGCAGACGCCCAAGACTGTGGCAGATGCAGCCCATGGCCAAGGGTGACAGGTAAGGAGCTCTTAAACCCAGGTTCTGAGCTGGGCGTGCCCCTGACCCCTGAGAAGAGGCCCAGCTGGAGCCCAAGGCAGCGCCCCCAGCCAGCAGCTTCTCCGGAGCAGCTGCCTCCACTCAGCCTGGGCACCGGCCAGCTTTGGGGACCTCTGGGCATTTCTTTCTTTACCCCGTGAGATTTCTGGGGTGTATCACCAACCTCACTGCAGTGCCCATGAGGCCCTGCTCCTCCTCTTGGCCAGGTGTGGTGAAGGATGACATAGGGCTGGCTGCACATAGCAGGGCCGCAGGCAGAGCCCGCCACCCTGGGAGTCACCTCTGAGGACTGGCTCCACACTCGTGGGGACGTCTGAGCACGGGCTTATCCCATATATCCAATGCCGTTCAGCAGCACCCACAGCCCCCTGGAGCCACCTCAGCCTCCCGCCGAGTCCTGCGGAGGTTTTGACCCTATAAATAGCACCTTCTTGTCCTTTCAGGCAGGAGTCCAAACACTGTCACCAAGAGAGGTGGGAAACTCCATTTTTATTACGATCATATTACAATGCCTGAATCACGAGTTTAGATGTGGCTTTCTGGAAGACAGGGGTGTGTGTGGGTGTGCATGTGTGTGTGTGTGTGCATGCACACGTGTGCATGCACACGTGTGCATCAGAGAGAGAGACAGACAGAGACACAGAGTAAGAGAGTCAGAGAGAGACAGGCAGACAGAGCCAGAGAGCCGGAGCGAGCCTTCAGGCAGCAGGCCTGCTCAGGACACACTGTGGGCAGTGCGGGCCCAGAGCTGGGAAGGGAGTCCTGCAGGCTGCCCCAGGAAGAAACCAAAAGAACAGAAAACAGCCACTGCTCCGCCCCGCTCCCCACAGCTGGCTTTGTGACTCAGCCCGGGAGATGCGACCACAGTCTCCCTAGGAAGAGGAGGAGGAACGCATGTGGGGACCCAGTACGTCCCTGCTCCTCCTCAGGCCCCCAGCCCCTGCACCCCTGTGGGATCCAGGAGCGGAAAAGACTTGGCTCCCTCCCATGGCTGGTGGCCCAAAGTGGCAGCCGTGTCCAGCCCCGAAGGAGGGAACAGCGGGGAGAGCCTGCCTCCTGTAACCGGAACGCTAGCTTGGCTTCCAGTCCTGCCTGGGACGCTCCCCAGTGGCCAGCCTGGAGCTGGTGGCTTCACCTCCTTGACTTTCCACTTCGGCGTCTGTAAGCTGGGGATACTGATAACCACAGGCTTGCCGGCAGTGCGGGGGATGCAATCCGGTCACGTGAAGTTGAGGACGTAGTGCCAGGCGCATGGCAAACGGTCCATACATGCTGCGATGTTTTCATGATTAGCTTTGTGCTGTGGAGACTATCTGGACGCTTTGAGTTTCACTGACGCCCCACCGCCTACGGGAGATGGAATCTCCTCCCCCTGCCCGGAAAGGAAACAGAATGGGCTCCCACCAGAGACCACACCTGGCGGTGGATGTGCCTTCAGGGCAGCAGGGAGGGCAGCAGAGCCCAGGCTCACCCCTGGGTCTCCCCACTGCAGCCCAGGGAAACCGGGCAGGTGTCCCACTAGGAGTCGGAGACCCACCAAAGTCCAGGTGCACCCCTTACTACTGGGGCCTCGGTTTCCTCATCTGTCTAATGGAGAGAAGTGGTTATTGCTACCTCAGAAGACTGAAAAGGGCCGGGCGCGGTGGCTCATGCCCGTAATCCCAGCACTTTGGGAGTCCGAGGAGGGTCGATCACAAGGTCAGGAGTTCAAGACCAGCCTGGCCAAGATGGTGAAACCCCATCTCTACAAAAAATACAAAAAGTAGCCGGGTGTGGTGGCGGGCACCTGTAATCTCAGCTACTCAGGAGCCTGAGGCAGGAGAATCGCTTGAACTTGGAGAGCGGAGGTTGCAGTGAGCCGAGGTTGTGCCACTGCACTCCATCCTGAGCGACAGAGTGAGACTCCGTCTCAAAAAAAAAAAAAAAAAAAAAAAAAAAAAGGCTGTAAAGGACCAAAGGAGATAACCGATGACAGTTTGCCGGCCCTGACCTGCTTAAGGTCTCTCCCTAGGGGGCCACACCCAGCCCCACTGGCTCCTGTAGTGGCTGAAGCCCTGAGCAAGGCTTCCCCGGTTGGTGGCACCTTCTCTGGATTGGGCCCAGCGCTGTTCCCACATGTCCTGGCCACCCCAGCCCTTCCCAGGGAGGCAGCCAGATGTAGCAGAAGGGGCAGGGGCTTTTGCGGGGGGGTTTCCTCTGAGCCGGTGGGTCTTCATTATGAACCAGGTGGCAGAGCACGGCAGATCAGAGCACAGTTCTGGAGCCAGAGAGGTTGGTGACTGCCTCGCCTGCTGTGCCTCAGCTTCCCCATCTGTGAAATGGAGCCAATCACGACAGAACCAGCTCATAAAGTTGTGAGGCAGATTAAATGCACCAAGTGTCTAAAGCCCTCAGAAAAGGGTCTGACACGAGAAAGGTGCCCACAGCCATCTTATTCACCCCTCAGTCGGGGTCAGGAGAAGTAGATGAGATGCAAAGAACCTGGGACAGGGTAGGGGCTCCATCAGCAGGAGGCCTTGGGGGCTTAGACCAACCACCCGAAACCAAGGAGTGATGCCAGCAGGTGGACATGTATTCACTTCTGGGGCAGGGATTCTTGACCTCAGCATGACCAGCATTTGGGGCCGGGTCACCCTTTGTGGTGGAGGCTGTCCCGTGCATGACAACGTGTTTAGCAACATCCTCGGCCTCTACCCACTAGACACCAGTAGCAACCTCCAATGACGACGGCCAGAACTATCTCCAGGCAGTGGCAAATGCCACCTGGAAACTGGAGGCAAAACCGCCCCTAGCAGAGAACTGCCATTCTGGAGACTTGGATTGGAACTGCCCTGATTTTAAATTGCACTGTCCTTGCAAAGCATTTTTTAAGTTCTTACTTATCACAGACATATTTTTCTGAATTACCATAAATTCCAAACTAACCAGCTGGGCGCTGCAAGCCGTTCCTTCCCATAGTCCACTCATGGTCCCCAGTGCCCACCAACAGCCAGCGCTTGCAAAGTCTGTTGGCCCACTGGGGACTTATGGCAGCTCATGCAGCGGAAACTGCTCTGGTCATCGCCATTTATAGATGAGGAAACTGAGGCACGGCCAGTTGCACAAACCTGCTCAAGGGCTCCTGGATGGTGGGGCCTACTGGGCGTGCCCCCCTAAAGCTGGTGCCATTGGCACCTGGCTCTGCCCATCTCTGAGACCTCTGACGCCTTCATTTCCTGCGTTGGCCACCAGGCACAGATGCTGTGTCCATCTGACAGGAGAGGAAGCGGGGTCCCAGGAGGAACAAGCCACTGCCTGGTGACAGAGCTTCTTTCTGGCAGCAGCAGGATTCGGACCTACCTCTTGCTGGGGGCAACCTCTTCGGCTCACTGCCTCTCCAAAACCAGGCAAGAGGCTGGAAATGGGGCTTTCTGGAAAAATGCAGAGCCTGCTGGGAAGTGGGGCAGACAACTGACACCTGTCACTGAGCCTGGCAGGTGGCGTGTTCTTCATTTCTTGCATGGCCATCTGGCTGTCAGACACTACCCAGTGAGAGGCTCAACCCTCGTCCTGCTCCACCCCAGCCCCACCCTGCTGTCATCTATGGCCCCTTCCCCCACCCTCAGGTGCCTCTTTGACTTTTGACCTCTGCCCTCAGCAGTGTCATTTCATGAAACCCAGGCCCTGGACAGCCAGCATCAAGCAACTGGCAACCTTCCCTACTGCCGCCCCTGAGACCTCCGCCCTAGGGATAGGGGCTTTGTTTTCTTCCCTAATTCCCTTTGGATTGGCTCCAGCAACCAGCAAGTTACCAGGCAGCAGCACCTCAGCTTTGGGCGGAGTCTTCAAAGAGCAGACCCAGCAGTTGTATGTGGATCCCAGCTGCACAGACCCTCTCCTGCAGAGGCAGAGGCCGCCTGCCACAGGCCACGCGGAGCAGGGTCCCACCATGGCCCTGAGCATCTTGACTGAGCAGTTCTGCATCCCAAGGCCTCACAAGGTGACTATGGAATGGCAATGCTAGCCCTGGGGGTAAGCTTAGGGCAAGTCCGATCAGCCCACTCGCCTCCGTAAGCCGTGGGTTCCTGTGATCCGCACACAAGCGGCTGGTGCTGCTATCCCCAGGAGGATACCCACCAACTTGTCTAACGGGGTGGGCAAGGCCAGGGCTGAGACGGGAAGGGGTCTGGCTTGTTGTGGGCAGAGCACCTGCATGCTGTGCCGTTCCCCCTTCAGGTGCTGGAAGGAGCCTTCCTGGGCCGCTCGCCCTCCGCAGCCCTGCTGGGAGGTCTTGCAGACGCCCATGATAGCCAGGCTTGCGGCCTCCCGAATGCAACTGCAGCGTGAAACCGTAGAAACACACGTGTCAGTGGCAGTTCTGCCTGGGGAGGAGCCCAGGGCTCTCTGCGGAGGGTCAGTTCTGTCCCTGTTAAGGTTCTGTGTGGAAAAGACTCCACGCCCTCTTGGGGTCTACCTACATCTGGGGATGCCCGAGCCCAGCTCCCAGTTTTTCTGGTCATTTGGGGACATACCATAGGAAGGACCTGCAGTGCACCTCAGGCTTGGACACTAGGGATGCAAACGCCCTGGGGCCAGCCCTGGGCCCACACCCAATTTAGGGTCTACAGGCAGGGAGCCAGGGGCCAGGGGAGGACTTCTCAGCTCCCAAGGGGATGCTGTTTAGGGGAATTAGAATGTCTTTTATATACAAGAGAACTGAGGGGTCTAAAAAGGTCTCTGGGGGGTAGAAGAAGGTGAGGAGAAAACACAGGAAGAAATGCACATGAGGGGAGGTTCTTGTCAAAAGGGTCCTGAGAAAGACGTACAGTTAGAGTGTGACTGAGGGTCCTTCTTAGCACATAAGGGGCAGGGACAACGGGCTCAGATGTCTGGGGCTCCTCTTGTGTTCTGATGGCTCCTGAGACGGGGAGAAACGGCGACAGTTTCCTGGGTTCAGGAAGGGAGAGGAGGCGCCTCGCACCCTGGCTAGGGTGGGCTGGGGGCCTGCACCCCTAAGTTGGAGAACCCCACGAAGCTGACCCCACTCACCGCTGCCCACCCCGCCAAGCCTCCTGGCCATTTTCAGCGGAGTGTCCCGACCTCTGGCCGCCCGGGTGGGTGTGAGCCCCGGAGCGCGCGCGGGGGGTTGGGGGATGAGGAGAAGCGGCAGCCGGTGGGGGGCAGCCCCTGGGCGCCCGCTCCGCGCGGCGATTCGGCCCGGGTTTTGCGGCCGCCGCGCCTCCTCCTCCCGCCTCCGGGCTCCCTGGGCCTCCTCCCTCCGCCGCGCCCTCGCTCCGCCTCGCGCGGGGGGACCATCTGCTGGCATTTCCTGCAGCCAGGCCCGCGCCGCCAGTGGAGCCCCCGCGCGCCCGGCCGGCCCGGAGCACCGAGCTCGCGGCACGGTAGGAGGTAGGAGCGCGGCGGCCCGGGGGGCGGCAGGGCGGCGGGGGGATGGCGGGCTGGGAAGGATCCGGAGGGCCCCGCCGGGCAGGGCCGGAGCGAACCGAGGGCCGCGGGGGGCCGGCCGAAGGGATCCAGGAGCTCGCGCCGCAGCCCCGCGGACCCTGGCAGTAGCCAGTGCGGGGAACCACGCCGCGGGGCCGGTCGCGCGCTGGGGAGCTGGGGAGCGCGGGAGCCTGGGGGCGCCCCGGGCCAGGACGGGTCGGCGCCTGGCGGGTTGGGGCGGGTGGGGCCCGCGAGTGGGAAGCGGCGCGCCCAGCTCGGCTCCCCACTTGGTGGGGCTTAAAGGAGCCGGGACCGCCAGGGAAGGTGGCTGGGTCTGACCACCACAAACCCTGGCCAATCAGGGGGTCTGTCCCCCCAGCTCGGCCGACGCGGGCTCCAAGGAGCCAGGTCTTGATGGGTCTGCAGGGGGTCTGGGATCTGAGTCTGGCGTCCCAGCTGCGGGCTTGGGAGGACTGCTGTGTCTGAGTCCGCAGAGTCAGGGGGCTGCCTGGATTACAGGCTAGGGAAGGACCTTGCCCACAGCCCCCATCTCTGGGGCACTGACCCCCTGAAGATGTGGAGCCTTAGGGATTGTTGAGGTGCCTGAGTCCTCAAGAGGGTCTTGTGCACTTGAAGATTCCTCCCGGGGAGCGGGGTGCAGGAGGGTGGGGCAGGCAGGAAGGAGGCTGGAGTCTGCAGCCCCCCGGGCAACAGGCCCGTCCTGGGCTTCCCAGGCACCGCCCCCAACCCCCACCCAGACCGCTGGGCTGCCTCCTGTCAGAAGCCAACTGGAGTTAGGGTTTGGGGTGACTCCTGGGGGTATGGAGGGGTCACAGGGTGGGCTTACCTGCCCCTCCCTCGTCCCTGGGCTGAGCCCAGCCCCTCCCTCATCCTTGGGCTGAGCGGGTCTGCCCCGCCGAAGCGGCTGGGTGGATTTCCTCTCTTGCCGTTTCGCAACTTGCTCCCCTCTGTGTGTCTGCCCCAGTCTCTTCAAGGTGCCTTTTACAGGAAGACTTCTGTAAGGGTCCCACCCCACCTGATACAGCCTCCCAAAGCCTGGAGAAGTGGGCCAGCCTTTGGGATCCTAGATAGATGCTCTTGGGTCTGCCTGCACCAGGGCTGATCCAGATCCCAGACTGAACAGAAACTCTGCTCCCCAACCCCAGGAGTAAGGCCCCTCTGCACGTTTTTATCCCACCTCCTTGGTACACAGGGCCTTGCTGTTCCTTGAACCTGCCAGGTGAGTGGGGGCTTTGCAGGCATCGGGCAGGTTTGTGGCAACCTGGGGTGGCATCATGTGCCCAGCTGCTCCCTTCTGGTCTCAGGCTCCAGAACTGCAGATCCTATTGTCTGCCTGCACGCGTGTGGGGCTGGCCTGGGGTGCCAGGAGGCAGGCACCGCGTGTGTCTGTCTTGCCAGGCTGTGTTTAAGAAAGGTGACACAGCAGATAGGCCGGATGAGGAGCCTCTGACCTGCAGTCCTGGGCCTGGTCTCAGAGAGGCTGCCCTGCAGATGTCGAACCCCGGGCAGCCATCCTGCATGTCCAGTGGAGGCTCCTTTCTGGGTCCAGATTGGGCCATGAATAGGCCATGTTCTTCAAAGGACTGCTTTCAGCTCTTTACAGAATACCAACGCAAGACCGCCCCCCCCACCCAACCCCTACCCAGGATTGTATTTACTATGCTGAGAATGCCTGGTATCAGTTTCTCTCCTGAGATCCTGGCCTCACTCTGAGCGCTGATAGTAATCTGACATGTAACGCTTGGGGGAGGGAGAAACACTCTGTGACAAGCCGGCGGGTGGAAGGGCTGTGTGTGTCTCTGCCAGCTGTGTTTTGGGGACTGGTGCTCTCTGCTGATTCTGTGGTTAAGCCTGCACACGTTTGCACACATACAGGCACAGTGTGCAGGTGGAAAACTTACCCAAGATGACAGAAGGTGCCCCCCGCCCCCATTCCCATTTATTGTTCAAGGGACAGGTGAATCTGAGCCTGTGACCGCAGCTGAGAAATGTTGTGGACCCAGCTCAGGGTTCTCCCGGAGAGGCCTGGGGAGCTGGAAGCTCTGACCTCCGGGACAGGGGGTTGTAGAGGGGCCGAGGCCCAGGGTTGCACAGTGCCAAAAGGATCCCGGTCATTTTGACAGGAAGGGAGCTGTCGGGGAGGGAGCCGTTAGGTGCAGCTCCCCTTGTGGAGTCCAAGGGCCAGGTGGGTAGAAGTGCCCACCACTTGCAGGGTTGGCAGGGGAGCCCAGGGAGTGCACCAGTGTGCTGGGGGGTAGATGTTGGGGGGTACAAGTGAGGGCCACTGGCCTCCCGACAGGGACAGGCATGCTGCCCTGGATGTCCTCATGCTGCTTGTGACCGGCACAAAGGAAAAGAATATTGTTCTCGATGCCAGCTTTGCTTGATGACTTACCGAGCCTGCAGCTTGAGGAGGCAACTGACAGCCTGAGGATGGGGCTCCTGGGCTGGTCAAGATTTTTAAAGGTTTTGGGGCCTTGGTGGCTGGGTCTTGGCCACGGCTGGGTAACCTTTCCCGTGGAGATGTATGGGCAGATAGTGAAGCTGCTCCGGAGAGTGGTAGGGTTGGCGGTCGAGTACAAAGGACTTGGACTAAGGACCGCGTTGTTCTCTTAGCATCACAGTTGTTCTGAGCCAGGGCCTCTGGGATCATGTCCACGAGGATGTGAGATTGCCTTGTGCTGGCATCTACACTAAGCGGAGTGGGCACCAGCTGTGTCCTCAGGACCAGGGCTTGAGGTGGGAGATGGGGAGGGGGTGGGACATGAGCCTTCTTGGCTGGCTTAGAGGGATCCAGAATTCCTAGAGGGCCTTTGTTGCAAATCTCAGAGCCACCCAGGCTGAGAGCAAATGCTTTGCTCGGCCTCCCAGCCCACCTCACATCCGGCTACTCCCTCCAGGGCTGGCCTCCACTCCCCTCCTGGCCCTACCAGCTCTTGCCTGGAGCTCCACATCAGCTACCTAGTAGGCTCCCCTTTCGTGGCCTTCCTAGCCCTTCTCCAGCCAGCAGCCAGCATGGTGTTTAAAAAGATAAACCACTTCATGTAATTTGACCACTTAGAGCCCTTTGAGATTTGCCATGGGTCTCAGTAAGTCCTGACCCCTTTCCAGACCCCACAGGCCCTAGATGCCCCTCCACTCTGTCTCCCTTCCCTTGTTCTCCTCTCCCCCTCCCCTCCCCTCCCTCTCCCCTCCTTGCTCACAGGGGTCTGGCGTCAGCCCCGGCTTCTTACTCCAGGGCCTTTGCACTGCCTGTGCCTCTGCTTTCGGCCCCTCCTTGGATCTGCATTTGGTGGGCTCCATCTAATTCAGGTCCCAGCTCAGATGCTGCCTCTCTGAGAGAGTCTCTGTTCCTGGCCCGTTACCCATTCCAAAGCAGCTCTCAGCTCTGTGTTTTGTTTTCTCTTTATTTATACTGAAATGGTCATGTTTGTTTAATTGAATGGCTTCCTATGGAGAAAGCGATTGGGCCAAGCCAGGTTCATGGTGGGCGCCGCTGGTGCGTGGCATCTGTCCCTGGTGGGTGCCGCTGGTGCGCGGTGTCTGTCCCCATGCACGGTTGCCTGCAAGTCTGCTCCGGGCTCTCTTCCCAGGGGCTGGCACACAGTAGGTGTTCTACGGTTAAGTGAGGCACATGTGGAAAGCCGTCATACTGTCTCATCCCAGGGAGGTCAGTAGATTGAGACTGGCTGCCCCCATCTAGCAAGTCCCACCCACCATGTCCTGGTTTCACCAGCATCGGCTGGTGTGGGACGTGACCAGCTCATTTCCTCCATGCTCTAGGATGGGAAGGACAAGAGGGCGTGACTCTTCCCAGAGTCCCATCATCTCTGATTTAGGAATGGAGCCCTTAGGGTGTCTCACCTCCTCGGGATGCCTAATAGTGTGTTTGGTGAATGCAGATGGACTTAACTGGTCCATAGATCCCCTCTCACCCTGCTGACACGAAGACAAGGATGAAGGGGAAAGTTGAGGCTCAACAACTGAACAGTATTCCTTCTAAATATGTACATTCTTAGGGATTTTAAGTGGAAAACAGGGAGGAGATTTGAGGGATACCCCACCTCGGCAGGCAGCTGGTCAGGCTGCCTGTTGTGACCAGCCTGGGGTCGCCTTCCCTTCATCCAAGGCCAGGGGAGATGGCAAACCTTCAGTAAGCGCTGCCGTACCTGGCAGAGCAGAAGCACCACCCCAGCTTGGAGACAGCATGCCCCTGACTGCTGGTCACGGATGGCCCCTTGGTAAGTGCCCTGTGCTTCTGAGCAAGGCGGGAACGGGCCTCCAGACGCTGGGGGACAGCACAGAGGGAGCTCTGTCGCCCGTGCCTTTGTCCCTTCTCTCGCTGGCCCATTCTCAGCTGCTTCCTCGCGGGGAAGGGCCTTCCTCGGCCAGGGGAGGGAGAGCTCAGTATCCCGGCGTTGCGGAGGGATTGATGTGCTATTGGGGTGAATACGGCGCTCGGTGTGGGGGCGGGGTGGGGGGGGGGAGGGTTGTCATTTAAAGGGGACTTTGGGGATGGTCAGCAGAGGAAGGCGTGGTGTTGGGGCGGAGCATCCGCATCTCCGCGCCCCTTTCCTGGCAGCCAGCGGGATTTCTCCTGATCAGCTATTGCGGCGAATAAGACAGAGTCAACTAAAGGGCGCGCCGCTGTGGGTCCCATTCGCTGGGCTGCGGCTCCAGGCAACGGCATTTGTATGCCCGCCTATTAGGGTGAATGCGACGCGGGGAGTGTGGGTCGCTTAAAGGGCCGGGACTCTGGAAGCAGTGCGTCCCGCTCCTGCCCGCCTATTGCGGTGAATACGGCGCAGCAGTCGGGTTGTTTAAAGGGTCCAGGCGTCCTGCTTGCTGGACTGTGCTGCTTTGGGGCAGCTCCTGGTCCTGGGCGGGAGGGGAGCACTTTAGGGAGGCTCCCCACATTGGCCAGAGGGAGAGGAGCCCCGACGCTGGCCCGTGGGGCAGGAACGCTAGATGCCCTCCTTACAGGATGAACCTCACCCCCACCCCACCCCCTGCTGCCTTAGGAAGTCACCCAAATTTAGCAAAATTCAAGCCAGAGCCAGCAGGCACCAGGGTGGGGCATGTGACCCTGTTCTGGAGGGCTGGTGGGGCCAGGGCAGGGAGGGGGCTGGGCCTAAGAGATTGATGGTGGTGATGGTGGCAGGCACCGCCTCGGATCTGATCAGAAGGCCTAGCCGAGGAAGACGCAGCCGGAATTCTTCACCCCAGGTGCCAGGGTCAGCAGAGTTTATTTGCCTCCTAAACCTTGGTTACCCCGTCTGTAAAGTGAGGCTCATGGCTGGCCCTAGATGGTCTTTGTACACAAGCGCTGGGTGAGCATCAGCCATTGTGTGGGTGACTGGCATGACCCCCTACCCCACCCCTATGGGCTGCCAGTCAAAGGTTTCCACCCTCCAGCCACCATCTCCCTGACTCAGATAGTCCTGGGCCACCCCACCCAGCCGTGGCCCTGGCCCTCCCCAGGTGCACCCTGTCTCTGCCGGCAGACCCTCCACCTCTCTAGCCCTCTCCTCTGCTCCTGAACTTGGCATTGGTCCCAGGCTGCCCTGAGCTGTCTCAGGGGACTCCTGACCTGTGAAGGGGCAGCGAGTCCATGGGAAGCAGTTGGCCTGGGCTCTTTGAGGCTGCTGTCCTCACCTGTAGAGCAGGGACCATAGTACATGGTGTCCCTGAGTGCAGCGGATCCAGTTAGTGGCCTGGCACAGGGCCAGGGAGAACTGGAATGCCTTAGTGTCTGGCCTGCACACTCCCTACCAGCGAGCACTTTGTGGGTTAGGTACCAGGCCTCGTTACCCTGAGGCTGGGGTGCTGTGGACGGGGTGCTGGGACTTAGCATTAATGCTCAAAGACGAGCTACAGAGGTAGTGAGATCCCCCAGCCCCAGGGACACCTGAGAGTTCTACCTCTTCCCCGCGCCCGCCTCAAGAACATACCTGTCTCCTGGGCAGAAACCGACCCTCATGTTTCATTCTCTGTGGCCTCAGGGTGCGTGCACACTCTCGCCTGTGCCCTCAACCTGCTGTCCCTTGTGTTCAGAGGGTGGCTGGCCCGAGGGCTCACAGCATCTGACAGGCTCCCCTCTGAGACGGAGGAAATGGGGCCCCAAGAATGGCAGGGTCGTGGTGCTGCTCCTCGCTGGGCTTCAGTTTCTCCATCTTTAAGGCACCCCCATCCCTGACATTTGCCCGCAACCCCCACACCTGCGGGGCTAAGGCTCCTGCACACGGGCAACACCCCGGCAGGAACCGAGAAGGGAACTTGGACATCCAGAGCTCCCTCTTCACTCCCGAGGCCCTGGCTTCTCCAAGGGCTTCTGTCCATCTGCTCCTGCTCCTTGAGCTGTTTTATATCTTGAGGATGCACCCCAGGTTTTATGCAGAAAGAAGCATCCACTAGTTTTCAAAGGTTTGAGACTGAGTGATTGGAAATCTTTCTCGTCCTTCCTCCCTCCCTCTCTCCTGCACCACTGTGTGCAGCCCAGAAGAGGCCTCATGTGTCACTGACCATGCACCAGTGTGCAGCCCAGAAGAGGTCTCATGTGTCACTGATGCTCCGTGAGTCTAGCTTCTGCACGTGGGGTGTCCCCATGGCTGGTCCTGGGGCGGTGGACTGGCCTGATGCTGCCGAGGACGCCCCACTTTCCCACAAATCTCCACCCTGCTGTCTTGCACATCCTGGGGCCAGGACAGGAAGAGCTCTCTGCAGGTCGGAAAAGCAGGTGCCAGTGTGGGCACCAAGAGCCGTTTGTGCTTTGTAGGAGCGCGTGCTCCCACGTGGCACCCTCTGATCTCCTTGGGGCAGAGGAAAAGAGCAGCCAGCTTTGAAGGGAACCCTCGCCCACTCCAGCGCCCATGCTGGGTTTCCACTTTGGGCCCAGCTCCTGCAGAAGAGCACAGATTTCTCTCGCTCCGAGACCTAGATTCTGCCTCGGAACGGCACAGCTGTCCCCAAAGGGCAGGCCGGGGCAGGCCGCTTGGCCACAGGAGGCTGGGAGAGTTTGGAGCATGAAGAACACCTAGAAACGTCAGGATGTGGGCCCCGTCTGGAAACCTGAGGCTGAGGCCGCTTCGGGACAGGGCCTGGTTGTTTGTCCCATTACAGTGCCAGAGTGGGTCATTCTCCCCAGCCCGGCAGCCAGGCTCCCACGAAGGCTCACAGAGAGAGGGGGACAGAGGTGCTCTCTGTTGGTGACTGGCACCCAAGGGTGCTTGGCCCCAGTGTGCTGCTGAACACACACGGCTGCCGTGGTCGAGGATGTCAGGAATCCCCACCCTCGTCCCTGCACCAAGTGCAGCTATGTGGCTCTTTCCTGCCCAGACCCTCCCTGCTGGCAGGTGCCCACCAACGGCCAGAAGAACCTTCCGGCTGCTGCAAGCCCAGCAGGCTGGGCCAGTTTCTCGCTCATCTGATTGTTGTGAGCAGAGGAGAACGAGTTACTCAGTCCCCAGCCGGCCGAGGGCGGGGCCGCCTTCATCTCTGCTCCATGGGCTGCTGGGTGCTCACACTCTAAAGTGATGTGGGTGGCAGGAAGTGGCCTTGTGGCGCCCACCTGCTGAGCACAGGGCTGGCCTGTGGAGCCACCCCAGTCAAGCTGGCTGGGGCTCTCCTGCCCCTCTCTGTCTTGGCACAGGCCCTTCCCAGGCCTGCAAAGCCTGCCTCCATCGGGGTGCTGCCTCAGTACCAGTGGGACACCAGACATCTAGGCTAGCTAGCTTGGTGCCCAGGCCCCCTCTTGGCCTCCCCGGGTCTCCTGGGGACGTCACCTTCTCCTGGAACCCTGTCTCATCAGGGTGACCTCTCGTAAGTCCAGGCTCCTTCCTTATCTGCCCCTTCCCATCCTTTTACGGGTCAGGGTCTCTCTGCTGCCGGCCCTGACTCCCTTAGATCTGGGCCCCGCAAGGCCCACTTTTTCCCACGTGCTCGGGAAGCACCGCTTGCTTTCCTCCCTCGTGGGCCGTGAGTCTGCTCCCATGTGTTTGGCCTGGGTGTTTTGCACGGAGGCACGCGGCTCTCTGATCATTAGTGCGTGAAGCCAGGTGCCCTGGGCCGTAAGCACCGCCCTGCAAAGGCATCCTTCACGTTCTGACCTGTGCGAACTGGGAGCTTGCTGCCCTTGGGGGCCCCGAGGAGTGGCCCGTCTGACCTTGTGGACGGGGTGCAGTGCTTGGAGCATGGGCTTAGCGGTTGGCAAAGCAGGTGGGAATCCCCACCCTGTGTGGGGCCATGGGCAAGTCTTAAAGCCCCAGGCCTTAGTTTCCTCGTCTGTGAAATGGGCCATTGCAGGGCCAGTCTCCTGGAGGTGCCTCGGGACGTGGTGGGAGCATGAGCCAGCTCACCGTGGGTGCCGGCCCTCGGCCTGTGTGGAAGTGGCATGGGCTCTCAGAGCAGGGAGGGGCCGCCTCCTATCACGCCTATATCGTTAATGAAAACGCTTATGCATAATGAATGATTGTGAAAGATCTAAACACGGGAACCATGCAGAATAACAGAACCAACCCCAGCGTCGTCAAGGTCCTGGCACCTGGCTTGTATTTGCTTTAGGCGTCTTTCAGCAGCTACAAGTTGCGTGTAGGGAGGGCCCCAGAGCTCGATTCTTTCCCCAGAGCCGCCATCCTGGGTTTCCAGGCTCACACTCCCAGGCGGGCTTTGGGCTTTACTATATATGGATGGATCCATAAACACATGCAGACAGATGTCACGTGACCACTGACTTCCGCTCACATCCTTCTTTCTGATCGTGTTAGAGTCGCAGAGAAGTCGCAAAAACAGTAGTTGACCGCCCTCTGCAACCTCTTCTTGTCTGTGTGGTTCTGTATTCCTTGTACATTTTCCTTGCTTTATGTACATAAATCACACGGATTTCCATCCTTCGGAAGGACATTCTGGTAGTTCCATTCCATCCCTGGAGCAAGCGTTCCGGTTTCCTTGGGCACGGCCGAGGGCACTCTCCCGGGGGACTGACCTGGGGTGGGGTCAGCAGCCCAGCGAGATGGGGCCTGGTCCCTCCTGTGCTCAGTGCTGACTTCCCTTCCCTTCCCCCTTGTCCCAGAGGGAATCATCCCTACCCCCACCCTTACTCTGCCTCAGCATAGGGCTGTGGGAGGAATCCTGGCCCCCAGGGGACACACCATACATAGATGTTTGCCAGGGCCTCTCAGTGACCAACACATTTTGTTAATTAAAACCAGAAACACAGGCTTGAGCCTGAGACTGAGGGCCTGGGAAGGGTGGGGTCCGGCTGAGGTTCTGCAGGTCTGCTCACAGCCGGTTCCAGCACAGCAACCCCTTGCTGAAACCACACGTGTGTGGCCTTGCCAAAGACGGGGAGACGGGGCTTGGGAATACCAGCCAAGCCCCAGACCCGCGGCATCTCCACAAAGCTGGGTTAAATGGAAGTGAACTGTCGGCGTAGTGGCTGCTGCCCTGGCCATCCGGCCACTTCAGACATGAGTGGCAAAGCTGGGGTGAGTGGCAGAGCTGGGGTGAGTGAGTGGCAGAGCTGGGGTGAGTGAGTGGCAGACCTGGGGTGAGTGGCAAAGCTGGGGGGAGTGAGTGGCAGAGCTGGGGTGAGTGGCAGAGCTGGGGTGAGTGAGTGGCAGAGCTGGGGTGAGTGAGTGGCAGACCTGGGGTGAGTGGCAGAGCTGGGGGGAGTGGCAAAGCTGGGGGGAGTGAGTGGCAGAGCTAGGGTGAGTGGCAGAGCTGGGGTGAGTGGCAGAGCTGGGGCACCCATCCCCCCTCGGTGCTTGGGATCACCCCAGGTCACCAGCTGGGAAGTGGCCCAGGCAGATTTGAGCCGAAGTCTGCCAGGCTGTGCCGGACATTATTCCTGGAGAGGGTCCCTGTAGCACCTCCAGATGTGTCAAGGGAGAAATCCCTTTTTCCCAAGGAAGCTGGTGCTGTAGCCCAACTGTCCTAGGAAGGCCCTCCTGGGCCGGTGTGTGAGCTTGCTGGGGTTTCCACCACTAAGCAGCCCAGACGTTGATTCTCTCTCAGTTCTGGAGGCTGGAGTCCAAGATCGAGGCCTTTCAGGGCTGGTTTCTCCTGAGGCCTCGCTCCTTGTCATGCAGATAACCACCTTCTTTCTCCCTGTGTCCTTGCAGGGTCATCCCTCTGTGTGCCTGTGTCCTCATCTCCTCTTTTTATAAGGACACCAGTGAGATTGGACTAGGGCCCACCCTAATGACCTGTTTTAATTTAATGGGCTCTTTTTATTATTATTATTATTATTATACTTTAAGTTCTAGGGTACATGTGCACAACGTGCAGGTTTGTTACATATGTATACATGTGCCATGTTGGTGTGCCGCACCCATTAACTCGTCATTTACATTAGGTATATAGGGGGCTCTTTAAAGACCCCATCTCCAAGTACAGCCGCTTTCTCAGGTCCTAGGGGCTGAGACATCAACACATGGATTGAGGGGACACATTTAGCCCATAACCATGGGTAGTGGAGCAGTCAGACTAACCCTGGGGCCCCCGCACTGCCAGGCGTCTCGTCAGTGGGTTCTGTTTTTATCCCCTGTGAGGGCCCAGCATTTGCCCGGAGTAAGATTTTGATGTGATCAGAGCCTTCCGCACCCATGAGTGTGTGCAGTGTTCTCAGATTTCACCTGCTTGAATCTTGACTGTTTTACGCCTTCCCAAGAGGCCTGGCTCAGCTGGAACCTGGGCGAGCTGTAGAGGCCCCCCGCTTGGTGAACGAAGCGTCAGCAGGCGCATGCTCACCCTTCCGGGCTCACCCCGCCTGTGCCACACGCCGTCAGCCACTCTGTCCCACCGGCAAAGTGGGCGGGGAGGCCAGGATGTGGGTGACTCGGCATGTTTGGGGTCAGCAAGCCCTCTACGACACATCCTGCTACCTACTGGCAGGTGCTGCACGCAGGGCCGTGCTCTCCAGGTCCCAGCATCCTGGGCCAGGATCTGTGGGCTGGAGTGTGTCAGCCGCCCCTTCACCTTTGCCCTCTGGCCCAGTCTAGCAAACACCTCCTACAGCAGCTCTCTGGACACCACACGGGGCCTTTCCTCCCAGGGAGAGTGGATAAGGGGCCACACACCAGCGGCGGTTTGAATGCCATGTGTTTCCCGGGCACAGACCTTCCTTGGGGGCTGCGGGCCTGCCCTGGGGCTCCCTGCTGTGTGTGCGGGGCTGACGGCGCTGTTGGGGAGCCGGTAACCCCGGGGCTCCCAGCTGCAGCCACCTTATCTGGGCTGCATTCATATGGAGCCTCTGCTATCCAGGGCTCTGAGAAGAACTTCAAATGTAGCAAAAAAGAAAATGAAAACAAAAGGCTTCTCCTGAGCAGCCATAGTGGACACCCACCCGTCACCCGCAGCCGGGCCTGGTGGGCCACTCGGGAGTCGTGCCAACTTGGGGCTGTGCTTCCCGGCAGCTTGAGCCTGTGGTCAGTTTTGAAATTGAGGTTTAACGAATGACCTCAGGAATAACTGTCCTCCCGCCCTGTTCATTATTTTTAAACTGTGTCTGCTTTGAATGTGCAAGGAACATGCTGTTTGTCTCTGGTGGGCGCCTGTTCCTGGCTGTGGCCATTCATTATTCCTGGGCCTCAGCCCTAGCGACGGTGCTGGCGTCATCAGCCCCCGCAGCTTGCCAGAGCAGGAATAGCCCCAGGAATTTGTGACCTCAGGCAGCCACATCTTCAGGCTAGAGGGGGCTTTCCCACACAAGAGCAGCTTATTCCCATGGAGGCTCAGATCTTTAAACACATTTGCCCTGTTCCGTGCATATCCCAAAATGCATTACATGCAACCTTGAGGTCTACATGAGAAACACTGGAACCCTCTTCCTGCTGACTTGTGTCATTATAACAGCTAATTTTGATAATGATTAACATGTATTTTATGGAGGCTTTTGGAATGACTTATCTCCTTTAACCCTTGAAACAACCCTATGCCATAAGTTCTATTATTGTCCCCATTTTACAGGTGGGGACACTGGGGCTCGGAGAGGTGAGGAAACCTGCCCAGAGTCACCCACCGCTACATGACAGGACTGGGATTGGAAGCAGCTCACCTCGTAGCCGGGACCCCCTGGCGCCTGGGGGATGTTGCACTCTGTGGGCTGTTTCTCCCTGTACTCAATGGCCCCAGACTCCTCCTCTTCTCCTTGTTGGAGGGGCTGTCAATGCTCATTCCCGCCCACTGCTGTCTAGGAAACCAGATGAGTAAGATTGTTAGAAAAGTGAGCAAACCGGGAGCGGACGGACGCGGCAGGAGGACCCGGGAAGTACCAGCGAGGCATGAATGAGACCTGGCACGTGGTATTCCATGATGCTTGATTGGGCTGTTTAGAGGGCTCTTTACTTTTCTGTGTTCTTCATTCTTCTGTTTCTCGCTCAACATCCAGTGTGGATCACACGGTATTGACAGCCAGCAGCGTGTATCAAACGCCCACTCGCACCCAGCTCTTCCTGGAGGTTTTGCAGGCACCGGCTCTGTTCACGCTTAGGTGCCCTTTCAGGATAGAGCCAGGCTTAGGGGCGCTGCGTGCCTCGCCTGAGCCCGAGCCCATCGCGCCTCGCAGGCCGCTCCCGATAATCCTGCAGGCCCCCGCTGCTGTTCCACATGGGATCCCTGGAAGGGGACCTGGTGAAAACCAAGGCCTGGTCCCTGCCCACAGGAGAAGGGAACACAGGAGCCTTCTCCTGTGGGCCCCACATTTTGAGCAGCTTCTGGCATGTTTAGAACAGCTTTCAGTGTGCGCAGACCACCTTGGCAATCCAGTGTCACCTATACTGTTATTTAAGACCTAGATCTTTAATAAATCAACTCACTTCTTTTTGAAGTACCTTTATACCTAGAAGACGTGTTAATCATTGCTGCGGTTAAAAAATCAACGTCACCTGTGATAAACTGCAGGTAACTATGAAAACACGCACCATGAACACGAACCACTGACTACATGTTAGCTTTTGTGTGCCCTGGCCACATGGACTCACATTGTTTGCTGTGAGCTTTGCCCCCAGGGCCACCCTGCCTCCCTTAAATAGAGAGATGAGCAGGGGCAGAGCCACCATAAAGACCCATACTCTTGTCCCTTGATGTAATCGGGAGGCTGGGAAGAGAATGCAGAAGGCCTCGCTTTCTCACTGTGACCTAATGGTGAAGGCCACCTGTACTGCTGGTGTCACCAGAAGCCTCGGTGACGTGCACACTTCCGAGCTGGCTCGAGAGGCAGAGGGGGGCCTTCAGTGGCCAATTCCAGGAGATTTGAGAACGGGCCCCTCTCCAGGAGCAGCCGGAGGAACAGGCAGCTGTCGGGGCTGCAAAGCCCGCCCCAGGGAGGCAGGAGAAGGTGACCCCAGTGACGGGGCCCATCCAGGTTCCCAGCACAGCGTGGCTGTGTTGCCTGGAGACCCCTTCCCACGGGGCAGACTGGCATCTGCCGAGTCATGGACCATTCTCCGAGGAGTCACCGGTTTTCTTTTTGGATTAACGCCAGGACAGTGTGTTCAGCGGGGATCCCAGAGGGGTGTAAGAACCGTTTTTTTGTGCCGTGGGGGAAATAAAGGTACATGAGGCTTCATCTTCAACCCCTTGGCTTTTCATGGGAAAAAGGGCAGGGGTCGGTTTGGATGCACCCCCAGCACATGGGGAGTGGGGAAGACAGCTGTGCTGGCAGGAAGCGGCCAGGTCAGGCTGATGCCGGGTCTGTCTGGTCACCTGCTGTGTGAAGTGGGGACTTTTCTGCAGTTTCTTCATGCTGGTGGCAGAGGGGCTGAGGAAGAGGCGTTCACACCTTTGGCCAGGCCCTTCCCTGCTCCCAGCTCTGTACCCAGGGCATGAGTGCTCTGGGGCTGCCATAACAAATGACCACAAACTAGGTAGCTTAGAACAACACAGAGTCATTCACAGTGATGGAGCCCAGAAGTCTGAAATCCCAGTGCCGGCAGGGCTGCGCTCCCTCCGAAGGCTCTGGGGGAGGATTCTTCCTGCCTCTTCCAGCTCCCAGGGGCTCCAGGTGTTCCTTGGCTCGTGGCGGCATCACTCCGATCTCCGCCTCTGTCTTCACGGCACGTTCTCCCCTGTCTGTGTCTCCTCCCCTGTCTTTTCACACGTGGACCCCAGGCATTGGATGAGGACCCCATACAGTGACCCTCTTTCCAAGGTCAGGGTCACAGGTACTGAGGTTAGGACTTGGACACACCTTTCATGAAGACACAATTCAACCCTCCACCGCCGGGAGAGGGTGGCCACAGCGGGCAGCCCGCCGTGACTCCTGGGAAGACGGACTAGGATCGGAACCTGTAGAAAGACCAGGGGTGGCATTCTGGGGCATGGGGATGACATCACAGATGCAGGCGTGCGTGATCACAGTCGTGTTTAGTTCTAGGGAGCAGGGGGTTTTTCATTTCACAGATGAGAATAGTGAGGCTTTCCAAGAAACCAGGAGCTGCCTGGGACACCCAGGCTGTCAGCAGTGAGCTGGGAATGAAAGTTGGGTGTGGCCACGGGGGAGACCCCGGGGAAGGGAAGAGTTCTGCTCCCCCCAGAGGCATGTTTCTCCAGTGAGCTCTCACGACACCACAGGCCGCTGGCCTCTGTGTCTGTGGGGCAGGACACCTTGATTCCCTGGCCTCCTGACCCCTGTCTTGCCCCTGAGATGGTGTCTGCACGCTGCTGACATGGCAGCCCAGCTTGGACGGGTGGGACGTGCCCACCTAGGGGCTGCTGGGCTCCTCCCTAAGGAGGAGGAGCTGCTGGGTTCCTCCCCAAGGCTGCATCCTGGTCCCAGGTGCCCGGAAGACAACCTGGGACAGGCCTGTGGTTGCATCAGACATGTTTACCTGGGAACCAAAAAACTTTTTTTTTAAAAAAAGCTGTCTTTAAAAAGTGAGGGGGAGAAAAGCACCGTCTGCTCCCCCCGGGGACTTGGGACCCTGGCTCCCGAGGGCAACTTGCCTTTTTGTACTGGCTCAGACTCAGGCATGCAGTCCTTAGCCTGGAGCCTCCTGCCTGGGGCAGGAGGGCAACAGTGCCCTCTTGGGAAGCGGCAGCCATGCCAACAGGGGAAACAGCTGCTGGTTGGCTTCAGCATCCTGATTTGCTGTGTGTGTGTACGTGTGTGTCTGTGTGTGTGTGCATGCACATCTGTCTGCTTATGCATGTGTGTGCATGCATGCATCTGTGCACATGTGTATGTGTGTGTGCCATGCATGTGGTTGTGTGTGTCCATGCATCCGTGTGTGTGTGCCTGGGAAGGGGGTGGTGAGCAGTCAGGATGAAAGAGGAATGCAAGGCCACCATCACACTCGTGCATGTCAGCACCTGGCACACAGGGAACACTCACCAGCAGCCACAGCTGGCCCTTGTGCCCCGGGCTACGTGGTGCCTGCCAGGGCGGTGACCACCCGTTGACTGGTCAGTGACGGGGGGGTCGTTTGATGATCAAAGAGGAAGAAGGGACAGGGCGCAGGGGCCTCGGGGAGCACCGCTGTGTGCTGGAAACCACATGTCCTGATAGGACCTGCCTCCCAGGACGACCGTGAGGACCAAATCAGATCAAAAGAGCCTGGGCAAGGCTGCAGCGGGCACCTGCTGCTGCTGCTGCCTGACGCATAAACTGTCCCCACGGCCTGCGCGGGCGGCACCCCTGCCACAGGCACACATGGGCAGGGGAAGCTCATGGAGCGGCAAGCACTCTGGTCATGTTGATGGGGACAGGGAGGATGCTGGCAAGAGGGTCAGCCACAGTCACAGCACTCACTGCCTCCCTCACCAGAGGCCAGTACACTGCAAGATCTTGCCCCTTTCCTGGCCACCAGATAGGGTAGGGGTGCTGGGAGGTCTCCCAAAGGGCGACTGCCCCCCCAGCCCATGCCTGTAGGAACAGAAGACAGCTCTGGGGGGCCTGACCCGGGCCTCTGCTGCATTCCGGCCTTGGGGACTTCCAGCGTGGTGGTGTGGACGCTCGGGGGGCCCTGGACAGTGGGAGAGCCATTCTGATAAGGCTGGAAGCTGATAAGGCTGGAAGCCTCTGGAAAGGGCTATTGCTAAGACACAGGGCTGGAGTGGCCTGGAGGTGGCTTTGGCAGCTGATATATAAAGGTGGCTCTGTGGTGGGCCCAGTGGGGAGGTCAGGGCTGGGGCAGGTTCTGAGCCTCTGGGGGTCCATGCTCTCTGGAGGCTGCAGCCCACGGAGGAGACCTGGCCGGCCCCTGCCAACCCACAGCAGAGGCTACTCAGCTCCTCTGCGAATTCTCCAGCTCATCCTGAGTCTTAATCCCCTTATCTTAATAACCTCTTTTATCTTGTGCCGGTTACTTGATTTTTCACCTGTTTGAGCCTCTTATCTAGCTGGTTGTCACCTTTGCCTTCTTAAAAACCCTTAGCCTCCCTCTGGGAGATGCAATGCTGCTATCATGCCAATTTCCTCTCCTGCTTTAAGGCTCTTCCAAAATTCTCCTCTTAAAACTCCATCTGGGTAGTGGATTTCCCTTCAGTTTGTGCCTTCAAGAGAAATCTGTGTCCTCTCCCGTTTGGCTTCGTATGATAGAAAATGTCAAAGATGTACAAAAGTGCAGAGGACGGTGCCCCCGCCCTGCCGTCATGGAAGCCGGTTCCAGACAGCGCCCCGTCTCCTCCACCTGGACAGCCGCTGGAAAGAGACTCCGCACTCACCTCCGTTCCTCTCTCTTCTGTGACCTCTGTTCTTCCATCTTGTTACCCGCCTTCAGGGCTGCCAGCAGGAAGGTGTGGGGGGCAAAGTACGTGTCATGGGAGGGGCACTTCCTCTCCACCCTCCCTGACTCCTCGGCCCTTGCCTCCCCAGGTCAGGGGTGGGGGCCCACATGTCAGTGTTGGATAGTAGAAGGAATGGGGAAGGTTCTGGAAGATCCCACCCCGATGCCCCTCATGACCTTGGGGAGTATGTAGTGGGGTCCAGCCCACCTTCCCAAAAGACAACTAAGAAAGTCAGCAGGTGCGGTTTCCGACCTGCTCCCCGGGGAGTCCCGGCTGTACTGTATACACATCGTGGTCAGACTCCCCCAGGAGGCATTCACTGGCACCTACTCCATGTTCGGGCACTGGGGGTGCAGGGAGAGCTGTCTGCACCATGCAATGGGAGCCTCTGCAGCCAGTGTGCCAAGTCTGGGTGCCGGGGGCGTGCGGAGGATGAGGAACAGGAGAGTGACCAGGCAGGAGCCCAGCTAGTGGCCCCAGAGGTCCTGGGAACCGAGGGCAGCTCGGTGAGGCCAGGGCCATGGTGGGCGTTCAGTCGCAAGAACAGGCTCTTGGTGGTGGAGACCCAGACGAGACAGAAGGGCCCGGGTCACTCGCATCAACTCCCACTTGCCGAGGCTGGTCCTGTTCCTCCCCAGCGCCTTTCATGCCCCTGTGCCCTGTCTAGGGCCACGCCCGGCCTTCCCTGCCCCGACGCACCCACGCGTCCCTGGACACGCTCACTCCCATAAATGCCTCTGCCAGCCGTCCGCCTCTCTTCCAGCAGATATTGATTACAGGGGGTTTTAGTCCCAAGGGTAAATTTCTGGAAGTCCATCCCTGGCTTAAAGGACACGTGAGCACTTGGCGCCTCGATTCGAGTTCACAAACGGCACTCCGGAGAGGTCAGTGCAGCTCTGCCTGCGTTGCTCCGTCCCAGCTGGGCCTGCACGGGGCTATGTGCCCATAGCAGGGCTGACTGGGCTGACCCACAGCCTGGGGCACGAGGGAGAGGCTGGAAGCAGGCCTTGTCACCATGGGCTGGCCTCGGCTGCGGCTGTCCCGACCCAGGCCGCTTGAGGTCAAGCCAGGTCGGCCAGCAGAGGCAGGAGCCGTGCCCAGGCCCATGGCAAGCCCTGTGGGACACAGGCTGTCAGACACATCCAGTCCTGGAGCTGGCGCCCACTCCCCCTCCTCCCAGGGCCTCTGCCAGCATCCTCCTGGGTGGGCCCGGCCCAGCCCTAGCCCCTGACTCTGGAGCAGGAGTCCCAAGTCCAGCACTCAGGCCTCACAGAGGCCTTGCAGCCCTCCCACCCGCCCGGTCCTCTTGAGACGGGGTGAGTCACACGGCTGTGGTTCTGCCTTGGGGAAAAGTGAAGCCCAGGACGTGAGGGTGACTGGGAAGGATCCCAGGACAGAGCTGGGGCCTCGGCCCACCCAGAGCTAACAAGGTGCGGGCTGTGCGTTTAGCTCAGGAGGGTCGTGACAGCTGCCAAGGCCCCCGTGCCCTCAGCTGAGCCACCTCTAAAATCCCAGCCCCTCGTGAAGACCAGAGCTGGGTGTGCTGGGAAGGGGCGTGAGAGGCGAATCATAAATAGAAACGCCAGCTCCAGCCACGGCGAAGGGGATCTGGCTGCCAGGGACCCTGCAGTCTGCTGCCCTGTGCCAGGCCGCTTCGGGACAGGCTGTACAAAGGCCAACTCAGTCATCTCCCAAACCCCAGAGGGGCCCCAGGATTGTCCCCCTCCCCAGAGAGAAGCCTGCAGCCTGGAGCTGGCCTCTCCCCCTGCACTCAGGCACAGCTGTGTGCCCAGCGGCTTAGCAGCTCTGCAGAAGGCAAGCGACGGAGTGCCCGAAACCGGGTGCGATGGAAACCGGGTGCCAGAAAGACACCGGGTGCCTCGTCCCAGCCATGCCGTGACAGGGTCCAACAGCCGTGCCCACAGGCAGGGGGCTTCTGACCACCACGTCCCACCCAGCCTCTCCTCAGGCCAGAATCTCCACCTGCATTCTCTCCGTCCCCCACTCTCAGAGGTACCCCCAAATCCTGTAGAGGAATCCACAAACGAGACCCCTTTCCTACCTTCCCGTGAGTTCCCCTCCTCGTCTGCCCTCACCTCCCCCGGAGTGAGCTCTGTCTCCTCAAAGAGTCCCACACGCCCTGGGGGTTTCCCGCAGGAAAGAACAGACTTCCCCAGAGGTGGGTTTGGGGGTGGGGGCGCAGCTCATAAGGGCAGTGTGTCTGTCTCGCTGGTCTGCCCGCCCTGGTCTGAGAGCTCCGACGGGGCCGCGGGACCCTGGCTTATTTTTCTTTTGTACCCCTAGCATCTGGTGAGATGGAAGGGCCTGGAATAGAAATGACACTCGGCTTCTGTGGGCTCCTGGGGCCAAGGCCCCTGGGTCTGGCTTGCTCCCGGCAGGGCGGAGGGGCCCCCAGGTGAATCCTCCCATCCGCAAGTGGAACGGCAGCTGAGGGTGGTGTTCAGAGCACATTTGCCGATTGTGACCCCGGGAGGATGTACCAGTGTCCCTGTAACCCTCAGCCCACCCAGAGTCATCTAGGAGTGTCGTGGAGTTGTGACTTTCCTCCAGGTAACAAAGTTAAGTGAACGCAGGCTGGGCTACCAGGTGCCCATTGCCAACCACTGAGGGCGACAGGCCGGGGTTCTGGTCCGGTCTTGTTCGGCCAGGCCCCACTTCCCACCAGGGCCTCCCTCTTCTCATCTGTAAACTGCACAGGGGCTGTAAATGCCTCGCTGGCCCTGCTGGTCTGGGGTCTGAGGGTGCGAGTCTGTGAATGTCCTCCAGGAAGCAGCCCCCAGCGCAGACCCCTGCTCTTGTGTGTGGGTCTCAGCCGGCACTGGGACTGCAGCCGGGTCCGATGTCTCCCAGCCCTCAAGAGGCCAAACCCCCACCCCAAGAACATCATGGCCAGGACAGCAGGCAAGTGAGTGCCAACTCGCTGGGCAGGGGTGGCTTCCAGAAGGTTCAGTGGAGGCTGTGGGGCAGTGGGAGACAGTGCTGGCCCGGGAGGAGGGGATGTGACCAAGGGAATGGGGCTCGTGAAGTGGCCTGGCCTGTGGGACTGGTTGCAGGGGCTGCCAGTGTGACAGAATTGTGGGCCCTGCTGAGGTGGCACAGCTGGTGGTGGAGGGAGGGGCAGGGCCCCAGGCTTCATCCGGAGGCTGGAGCCCTGGGGGAGGTTCATCAAGGGGCTGACGGGGTTGAAAAGGTGGCTCTGCCACAGGCGATGGGAGGCAGTGGGGCAAGTTGATGGGCTTCGTCAAATCCAGGCGGGCACGGGGCCAGCCCAGGTGCACGCAGAGAGCGTGAGGGCCAGGCAGAGCGGGAGGGATGGGCTCCTGTGGCTGAGGGGAGCGCAGTGCCCCTTCCGTGGGGAGTCGCAAAGAGCCAGGCTGCCCCCCAAAGGCCTCCGCTGGGCTAGATGCTACAGAAGCTGCCTGTAATGGGCTGAACAGCGTCCCCCAAAAATGTGTCCAGGTCCTAACCCCAGGTACTTGTGGATGTGGCCTTGCTTGGAATCCGGGTCTGTACAGATGTTACTGAAGATCTTGGTATGAGACCATCCTGGAGGATCCGGGTGCCGGGGGGTGGCTCTCGCAGGTCCTGGGGAATGAGCTGCCCTGGCCCCAGGCCTGACCTCCCGCCAGGGTGGCTGCCTGAGCGTGGGGACGCCTTGGGGGACTGGGGGTTGGCTCCAGCAGACCCCGGGCTTGCAGGATTTGTAAGGGGGACATGTTTTTCCCATTATAAAAATGTTCCCCAAGAGGCAGCATAACATGGGGTGTCCCCAAAGTCAGACCACCCACGTGTGTGGCTGCTCAGCCAGTCACAGGTGGTGGAATTTGGGGCCGGTGTCTGCTGTCTCAGTGTCGGTGGAACGGGGTCAGGCCAGGCCCAGCCCGCACTCCCCTGCAGAGGTCAGCTGGTCCCGGCCACGGAGCCTGGCGGGTTTGCTGCTGGCTGTGATCATGATCAATGCATTGATGGGAATGTGAAGAGTTATGGAAATTCCACTTTGTTTTTTAAAGAAACAGCATCGGTCACCCATAGTCCACCGCTGCCAGCGTTTCTGCACACTCCAGCTCCCCGTCATGGGGCTTTACCATGTCGAGGGCACCTCACACTGCTCCTTGGCACCATGGCACCCCACTTCCCTGGGGCTCTCATTGTCAGCGGTTTCATTGTATCCCCCAGAGTGTGAGCTGCAGAGGAGGGGGCATGTTCTGTCCCCACCTGCCTGTCACTTCCACCCGCGTTGGGTTTTTTGTGTGTTTCTGTCCTGATGCAGCCTGCTTGAACCACCTCACAAACAATAAACCCGTGTTTGGTCTCAGGGCTGTGGGACCCCCTGAGGATGGGAGGAGCCATCGAGGTTTGCCGGGCTCAGTGGGTGCTGGAGCAGCTGGCCCCCGCCAGGCCTGACTCAGTGTGACTTGAGGCCATCGACCCTCTGTCCTGCTACCCAAACCCAGTGTCCACCCCATAGCTCCCACCACACAGGATGATCCCAAGAGCTGTCGATTCCACAGCATCTGCTGTGCACTGCAGCCCGGGTGCCTTCCTCGGGCCCTGCTCAGCTATGACCACGGCCAGGAGCTAGGAGGATCCCCCTGGGCTGCAGTAAAGCAAACCAAGGGCCCAGGGCTCCAGGATCATCTGGTCAGCCTCCAGTCATAGTGGACTCCAAAGCCCATGCTCTTTCCCCAAAGAGCCCCAGGAAACCGGGACAGAACCGGGCCGGGCCCTGGCAAGCACCAGTCTGCGTTCCGTGTCCAGACCTGCCCGTCCTGGACACTGCGTGGGCGTGGAAGCGGACAAGATGTGGCCTTTGGTATCTGGCTTCTTTGACTTGGTGCATCTCTGCGGCTCATCCGTGTCGTCGCATGTGTGAGTGCCGTGCTTCCTGCCTCCTGAAGGCCGAATGTTCTTCCATCCGTTGCACAGATGTGATCCATGTTTATCCGTTCACCCATGTGGATGTCTGGCTGTGTCCGCTCTCTGATGGCCCTGAGCCATGCTGCTGGGAGCGTGCGTGCGCGGACCACCTGGGGGCGTGTGCTTGTTTCTCTTGGGTGTGTCGCGTCCGTGCGTTTTCGCCCACAGTGCAGCCCCCCATGGGCCCCTGGAGCCGGTCGCTGGTCCACGCACTGGGCTGTACCTGCCTCCTCTGCCCCGCTCCGCACCTGCCTCCTCTGCCCCCCCCGCACCTGCCTCCTCTGCCCCCCTCTGCACCTGCCTCCTCTGCCCGGCTCTGCACCTGCCTCCTCTGCCCGGCTCTGCACCTGCCTCCTCTGCCCCCCTCTGCACCTGCCTCCTCTGCCCGGCTCTGCACCTGCCTCCTCTGCCCCCCTCTGCACCTGCCTCCTCTGCCCCGCTCCGCACCTGCCTCCTCTGCCCCCCCCCGCACCTGCCTCCTCTGCCCCCCTCTGCACCTGCCTCCTCTGCCCTGCTCTGCAGGCTCCAGGACCGTCCAGACCCAGATGCTGGGTCCCAAGGGTCTCTGCTCACACACCCCCACCCCGTGTGCCGTCCGCTGTCCTGGGTGACTGGTTTTGTCCTTTTCCTCTGGTCTCACTGTTTCCTTGTGTGCAAGGAGTGGGCAGTCACTGCCCTTCTACCCGCAAGGCTGCATGGGGCTCGGGGATCCCCAGGTGAAGGGAGACCTGCTGGTCTTCCAGCCTCCACCCCTGCACACGACTTCCTGCCGGGCCCCGCGGACACGGAGACAGAGGGACAGGTCTCCACCTGAGTGGGTCTATGAGGAGAGACAGAGACATGAAACCAGCGGTCCTGTTGATAAACGCACCACCCAGGCTCTCCACCCGCGAGACGGTGACTCTCAGACCTGTAGGATGGAGTCATTCATTTCATTTTCCTGTTTCATTCTCAGTTTCCTCATCTGTAAAAAGGGAGGGGAGCTAAGCATCCGGGTGAAATCTGACCTCCTGGGACACGGAGCAGCGAGTGGGGAGGGATCCTGGGCCCTTGTGGCAGCAGGGCATGGAGGGGTCGTGGTGGAGAGGTAGGGGCTTCCCAGTTGTACAGACCAGCAGCCCAGAAAGTGTTCTCTTGGACCATCTGGGCATTGCACTCCCCCAGCTGTGGGCAGCCCCGTGGACTTTGGGGTGGCACCAGGGCCCAGCACCTCCTGCACCAACCTGCCGTGTGGCCCTGGGCGAGTCAGCTTCTTCTCTTGGCCTCAGAAACCAGCTGTCGGCCGGGCACGGTGGCTCACGCCTGTAATCCCAGCACTTTGGGACGCCGAGGAGGGCAGATCACTTGAGGTCGGGAGTTGGAGACCAGCCTGGCCAACATGGTGAAACCATGTCTCTACTGAAAAAATACAAAAAAATTTTAGCCGGTCATCGTGGCAGGTGCCTGTAGTCCCAGCAACGCGGGAGGCTGAGGCAGGATAATTGCTTGAACCCGGGAGACAGAGGTTGCAGTGAGCCAAGATCGTGCCATTGTACTCCAGTCTGGGCAACAGAGCGAGACTCCGTCTCAAAAAAAATAAAAAGAAAGAAAAGAAACTGCAACTGTAACATGGAGAGAAAGTGGGAAAATGGCGCATTTGTACTCTTGCAGTCTTTTTTCCTTCCAGGGCGTAGAGTCCTCCCAGTCCCTGCACTGGGTGGGAGGCGGGTGGGGGGTGGGTGTTCCTACTGTCACCCCATTTAGCATCCTGTGCCCAGGGGAGGACACACATGCAAGGGTGGCGTAGGCACCTCGGCAAAGCACTGGGATGCATGAGAATCGCAACTTGGCAATGCATTGAGCGAGGTGCGAGCTTTCCGTTCATAGAAGGGTTCCCCTTGGAGGTCAGCAAAATCCAGCCCCTCCCTGTCCTCTCTGCGCAACTCGGGCCATAATGGACCCCATTAATGCCATTTCCTGAACACTTTGGCAAGCTCTCCACCACAGCGGAAGACAGATTGGGGGTCCTTCTGTTTGAGACCCCCCCCATTTCCTGAGAGACAGATTGGGGGCCCTTCTGGAAGCTCTGTTCTGAGGGGAACCAAGGAGGCCTCGGGGCTGGACCTGCCTGCTGGGGCAGGAGGGGTTTCTAGAATCCACGTCCTTCCCACTATGCAGAGTCACAGGGAGGATGCTGGACCCGAGGGTGTGTTCCCGGGTGAGCAGGAGGCGCTTGGTCAAAGGACGCTGTGCATTGTCCAGGAGCAATCACGACTCGGTGGCATCTCCTGTGCCCTCCCTGCATCACACATGATGACGATACTGTCTGCTGGGCGGGGGGAAGCCTGGGTGGCTGTCAGCATCAGAGCACTCGAAACTGCCTGGAATGAGGCTTTATGGGTTGACGTTGTTTCTGTTGTTAGGTGGTTTTTATTCCTGTTTTGGGGGCCTCTTCGTACAAGGCATTGGGCTGACCCCCACCCAAGTTGGTGCCCCCAGGGTCCTACCTGCCAGGCTTTGTGTCTTCTTCTCTGCAGTGTGTGACCCCTGACCCTTGACAGATGGCATCGGGGAAGGAGTGGCTCTGAGGTGGTCACCTGGCCCCAGGGCCCCCTGGGCTGTCACACCCATGGGCTGACCAGAGCACCAGCTGCAGCTCTGCATGGGCGGGTAGGGGTGGGGTAGGCACCTCACCTTGATACACCCAGGGGCAGCCTCAGCTCCTGGACATGAGGGGCCGCCCCAGGTACCCACATACCCCAAGGAGGACTAGGATGGGACGTGTGGGCAGCAGGTGACCTTATGACCTCTCTGGTCTTGGAAACAAGGCTCCTACAGCCAGTCCTGGGTAATGTGAGCTGGGGGACAGAGGGGAGCCGGGACGACGATGCCTGTCCACTGGTGGGGCAGCATGTACTTGGGTGGACAGAGGGCACTGCCTGGGGTCCTGGCTTCCCTCGGTGCCCCTCTCTGCTGGGGGAGGCCCTGCGTGCTCACGGAGTGTTGAAAGTGGGCTACCAGGTCAAGGCCTTGTGTTCCCCCTCAGACTGGGACCCCTGAGTGTCCACACAGGCCTCTCAGGAGGACACGCTGTGCTGGCTTTTCCTGGGCTGCCTTGGCCCTGGGAAGGGTGTCCTAGCTTGGCTGTGAGCCCTACCCTGCCTGTCCAGCACCTGAGGGATACAGGGGAGAGCTTGGCTGTGTGTGTCACTCCTGGGTGGCACCATGCTGGCCCTTCACAGAGAGCATTGCTGTGGGCTGCCCCTTCCAGAGCTGAACTCAGCAGCCTGGCCAGGGAGACACCACTGCAATTATCCCCTCCCTCCTTCTGAGGACTCAACCTCTGTTAATACAGCCCGAGATGGTGGCTGCAATTTGGGGGACCTTGGCCGGGTTCTCCTCTGCAGAGGGAGCTCCTTGGCAGAGGTGCTGCTTGGCGGACCACTGCACACCCCCCTCCCAGGCTGCACAGCCGAGCAGTGGGCCCAGAGCTTGCGATGAATGATCTTGTGAGGCTGGCTTCTCAGAGCAGGGGGGGCACCTCTGCAGGCCTGCCAGGAGCTGCAGGGAAGAGCTCCTGTTGGTGTCCTTGGCCAACCACAGGCCAGGCTGTGAGCGCCCCACCCCACCACCAGCTTCAGCCTCTGCGAGTAAACGCACCCTAGGAGCTTGTGCTCCTTCAGGGCGCGTGGCTGGGCCTCGGGGACTCCAGCAGGGAAGGCTGGCTGCCTGAAGGAAGAGAGGCCGGGGGAAGCAGCACTTGGACCCAGGGTCCAGGAGCCCAGAGAGGGAAGCCGAGAGACAGAGAGAGAGGAGGGGAGGCTGGATGTGCCCTCTGGAAGTGACTCCTCCCCATAGAGCAAGGCAGCAAGGCCTCCCTGGGGCGGGGGCTTGTCCAGAGGCCAGGGGAAGGCCTGCCACCCCCATCCTGCCCCCAAACTCCTGCGGGCAGGGCTGGGTGCCTGGGCTGGTGATTAAAGCCCCCTGCTCACTGGCTTTCCCCAGCTCACTGGAGGCCACTCCTCCCTGCCTTTCCCAGAATGGGCTCAACTCCATCACTGGGGTCTGTCTCCACCTCTGCCCCAGCCTGGTGGCTCTTCCTTCCCCCATCATCCTGGCAGGTTGCTCGTGGCCCCACAGAGCACTGGCAACAGCACAGCCAGCACCTTCAGAGCTGATGCCCCTGGCAGACCCCAGCAGGCTTGGCCACGGCCCCAGCCCCGGGGCCACCCGTCCCGCACAGCCTCCTGGTCTCCGCTCACTCAGCTGGCCGGTGGCCACCTGCTCCTCCAGGGCTGGAAGCTTCCACCTCCCTGGCTCTCAGGCCCACTGCCTCATGGTCACCCCAGGGTCCCCTGAACGGGAACAGCTGTGGTGGTGTGTGGGTGGGCAGTGGGGGAGACTGAGGCTGGAGGGTTTTGGGGGAGAGTGTGGGCCTGCTCGCACCCCAGGATCCCCACTCGGTGTCAGCGAAGACCCATCACCCGGTCCCTGCCCTTGGAGCTCAGGTGCCCCTGGAGGGCGGAGACGGACCTCAGTCTTGGCCCACAGCAGCCGCGTCCTCTTTGTTTTGCTCTGGTCTTCTTGTTGGAGTTTTTGCCCACACGCCTGGCTCCAGGCTGCCCTGGAATTAGGAGGATGAGCAGGCTGGGGCCAGATGAGGAGACACAGCCACGTGCTCAGCTTCTCAGCCGCGTGTCCCTAGGCGGCCACAGCCCAGCTGCTTCTCCCTTGGTCCCCCACCTGGGTAGGCAGCGGCCTGCAGGGCCGTCCACTGGGGGTGGCACACCAAGCCCAGGAGCCTCACCAGGAGGGCCAGGCAAGGGGGCACTGGCACCACCCAGAAGAGGCCCCAGGTGTGCCTGAGGGCATTCAGGACAGAGGCCAGCCCCACAGCACGGCAGGCGAGCGTCTTTTCTGGAAGTGAGTGTCCAGGCTCCACTGGGGGCCCAGGTTCATGTCTTATTTCCAGTGTGAATGCTGAGGCTCAGCGTGGCGGGTTTGAGATTGCGTCCACAATCCCAGCAGGCCCCTGCCTCCAGCTGCACTGCCTCCAAGTGACGGCCCCCACTCCCTTACCCCTCCCTCCCCGGCTGACCCCTGCTGCCACCTGGCTGCAGCTAGCATCTGAAAATCGGAGTCTCCTTTCAGTTGGGACAGGTGGGGTGGGTCTAGCTGGGAGGTGGTGGGTCTAGCTGGGAGGTGGTGGGGCCAGGCCTGCCTCAGGGACCACGCCCAGCCCGCCCCCATGCCAGGGCTTCTTAGGGCTGGTGGAGTGATCGACTACAGGGGTGTGGGGTCGGGGTACCAAGGCCAGCTGACCCAGTAGCTGCTCTGAGCCTTCAGTGGGCCTGGTGTCCATCAGGAGGACAGGTGGACAGGGCCGGGGACGGGCTGGCCTGGCCGGGCCCACAGGCACAGGACTTGGCTGAGGCAGCCCGGAGAACACGCAGGCATGGCTCGATGCTGCGTCCTCAGCAGTGCAGGCCACTTCCTGTGCCCCTCTTGAGGTTCAACCACTCCACAGCTGCCTCTGATAAATGTCTCCCCAGAGGGAGGCCTGGCCTCCCCCTCAGCTCCACAGCTATCTCCAAAGTGCAAAGGGGATTTGGGGCTTCAGCTGTGCTCCTTTGAGGGGATCCCAGGCGCAGCCTGGCCCACGAGACCTTAGATGGGCCGTTTCCCCTCTTGGGGTCCCAGTGTGTTTGTGTGTGATGAGGGTGTCACTTTGTCACCCAGGCTGAGTGCAGTGGCATGACCATGGCTCATAGCAGCCTCGACCTCCCAGGCTCAAGCAATCCTCCCACCTCAGCCTCCTGAGTAACTGGGACCACAGGCATGTGCCACCACAACCGGCTGTTTTTATGTTTGTAGAGACAGGGTCTCGCTATGTTGCCCAGGCTGATCTCGATCTCCTAGGCTCAAGCGATCCACCCGCCTCAGGCTCCCAAAGTGTTGGGATTACAGGCTTGTAATCCCAGGTGCAGTACACCCGGCCCACTGCATCTTTAAAATGTGATGATGACCCCTGCTCCCCTGCTCCCCGCACCTTGCGAGCATTCCGAGAATCATATCAGATGGGACAGAACATCCAGGAGGACCTGGGGGCTTTAAGGTCCATCAGTGCAGCAGATGTCCTGGGAAAGCGCATGTCCCAAGCCCCCCAGGGCCCAGCTGCCACAGCTGAAGTGCATGCCACGGCTCTCTGAAGAGGCTGCTGCTCCTGCAGGGGTGGTCAGGCTGCCCACATTAGCACTAGGCATTCGGTCCACCCAGACACAGCAGCCTGGTCTCTTATGCTGCTGTCTGCTCTCAGGGAGTGCATCTGTTGCTGTGGTGGTCTCCCTGGGGTGACTCAGGAGGCCTGCGTGGTTTCCTCACAGCAGGATCTTCATGGTCACTTGCATTGACCTTAGCAAGTTTCTGGAATGCAAACGTATGGTGTTGACATGATGGCTGCTGTCCTTTAACTGATGGCTGCTGTCCTTCCTTGGGACCCACTGACCTCTCCATCCCATGTGCGAAGAGCCAAGCATTTGGGCTTATGTTCCTTTATCCTTGTGATTTTAGAGCATTTCCCCTCCACAGTCTTGAACGAGAATCTATCTGGTTTAGGCAGAAGCATCTGTGCCGGATGTTACTGCTGAAGGCTGGCTGCGGAGTTCCTGCTTTTCTGGCCCCTGCCAATTGATGGAGCACCCCAGTGGCCAGAGCCTCCTCTCTGCCCCCATGCAGCGCGGCCCAGCCCTGTCACTCTGGGCTGTGGGTGAGGAAGCCACATAGGCGTGGAGGGGGCTGGGTCTGGGCTCACACTCACCTCTGCAGGCGCCTTCCCCAGGGCCTCCTGTGGGCCTGGGACATCATCTCCCTGACTCAGAGCAAGTCCTGATTTACAAACAGGGCCTGAGAGATGAAGGTGGCCAGCTGAGGCCACACAACCACTGGAGTCATGGCTGGGCCCTTTTCCCCAGCTCTGCGGTCCCCAGGCCTCTGCAGGAGGACAGAGGAGGAATTGGGCACAGGAAGGATGCGGAATGAGTCCAGGACTCAGCTGGATTCCTTCTCAGAGCTTCAGCCTTTCCCAGAGCTGAGGCAGTGTCTGCCCCTGGCCAAGGTTCAGCTAAGTGTGGCCCCAGCTGATGGCTCTATGTGGCCTGAGGAGGCGCCAGTGACCTTTCTTTACAAGAATCCCTTTATCCTAGCCTGAAGGCGAGCGTCTGGGAGGCAGGGGGTAAGGAGCACTTTGGAGGCTGGATTACTGCTGGGAAGGCAGCTGGCGGAGGCAGGGGGGCCATGTGCACTGGCTCTGGGTGGGGCCCCCATTGGGCCTGGGCCCCATGCTGCCAAACAGCTGGCCTTGGCGTGGGGTCAGAGAGCATGGCCCCTCCCCAGGTGTCCAGAGGCAAGCATCCTCAGGGACACAGGGCTGGCCAGGCAGAGGCAGAACCTGACCTGTCCCTCCCCATCTGCTCTGGGCTGGCACCACATGGGACCTCTTGTCTCCCAGTGGTGGAAGGGGTCTTTCATGCCCCACATGAGAAATGGAAGGAAGAGCCTGCTCCAGCCTATGCAGTGGGGGTTGGGGAGGGGTGGTCAGCCCAGAGTCAGAGCTCACTCCCTTCCTGTGCCCTCGCCTCTGTCCCCTCCGCAACTCCTAGGTGGCCCAGGAAACTCAGCAGGGCAGGAGGAAGTGGGAGCCATGAGGAGGGGACCAGGAGGTGCCTGTGGTTAACAGGAAGGGGGGTCAAGCAGTGGCTCTGGGTGTGGGTGGGACCCTGCCGCAGGCAAGGCGGCCCCCAGGCGCTGCCACCACGGGGCGGTGTCTTAGCTGTGGTCTCAGGAGTGCAGCAGCTGCACGACACCATCACGGCCACCTGCAGTCCCCGAGAGCCCCACATGTCCATCTGGCCTGGGCATTCTGCAGCTTTGGGCACAGGCAGGGGTGGGAGTCTGGGGCTAGCCTGGAGGAGGGTGCTGGGGTCTCAGGAGAGGACCTGGAAGGGGCACCCATCCCTGCCTGCCTGGGCATCCACCTCCTTGCCCAGAGGAGGGCCTCAGGAGTGGCCTCTGCCTGGCTGCCACGGTTCTGGCTCTCTGTCCCCCTTACTCTCTGGCCCTCCAGAACGTTCCCCGGCCCTTAGCAGCTCCAGCGTCTCTCAAGCCCCCTTCCAGCCATGAGCGAATTCATTCTAGAGATGCAGAGTTGGCCCCTGTGTGTGCCCCGCCCAACTGGGTCCAGAGGTGCTTGAGTAGTCAAGGAAGTCAGCTGGGCCAGTGTCCCCTTGGCGGAAGCACGGCCCTGCCCAGCCCAGCACAGCTCAGTTCAGGGGAACCCACCCAGGCCAAAGCGAAGCACCGCCAGGGCGCACTTCAGGTCCAAAGAGACGCACGGGGGCGGTCAGCTGCTCCTGAGGACTGACAGCTGGGGAAACGTTCTTGGACAAAGGGGCTGGGTCTCCGAGGAAGAAGGAGGAGCCCCCTGCAGAGGGCCAGGCAGAAGCAAAGGCCCAGCTCGGGGGCTGGGGTGCAGAGAAAGGGGGGCCTTCCATGGGCCGAGCTTCTCCCGCGTCCCCTCTCCAGCCTAGTGGGACCACAAGTGGGATTGTCAGCTCTCCCAGGCTGGTGGTTGGCCCTGCCCACGGGCCTGCACCCGGCACCCACACTTGCCCCTCCCCCACCCTCAGCCCCTCTCTGGGTCACAGGATCACCCCCACCCCACCCCCAAGTCCCAGCAGACCTCTGAGGAGACCCACTCACGCAGCTGAAGCCCAGCCCCTGTGGGCTCCCCGGCCCATCCCGCCACATGGCAGAGGAGGCTCTGCTCAGAGCACATTCTTTCGGTGGACAGCGGGTCTCCACCCCAACCCAAGTCCAAAGTGTTCCCTTTTGGTGCCTCCCTCCCTCCTTTCCAAAAGGCCCAAAGAGGCACAAAGTCATGACTGAGAAGAGCGGCTGGGCAGGGCACCCACCTGGGATGGGCTAGGGACCAGCAGCAGGAGGAGGGGCTGGGGGGCCAGCCCTGCTCACCTTGAGCCTTCACAGGCTGGGGAGTGGGCCTGGCTCACTCTGGACTAGGAAGAGTGGCCCCCACCCTAGTCACTAGGTCTGCCCAACAGCTGAACAAAACCTGGCGCTCCCCCAGGCAAGGGGCACTTGGAGAATTGGTTCCTGGGGACACAGGCAACCCCCAACAATGGAAGTCGTGCCTGCTGGGTGGCCAGCGGATGGCTACAGTGGCAAACACAGGGCCCCTGGAGGAGAGCAGGAGGCCCTTCCTGTCCTGTCTGGTGACAGCAGGAGGCCCACGAGGCGACCCAGCATCTGATGTGACATTGGAAGAGGACATTTCCTTAGGCCCCCCAGGAATGGAAGCTGCAGAAGAGGGTTGTGGCTGACTTGGACTTGGGGTCAGGTGGTGGCTTCCGGGCCCACCTGTCGCCTGCCTGTTTCTGAGCTCCAGGCCTGCACCCTTCCCTCCTCCGAGGCTTGGGCAGAGCTGGGCACTGGGGACCACATACATCTAGTGACCCCCCCCCCACCAAGCCCCGCCTTCTTCCCCAGCCACTCCCTCTTCCCTGGCCTCCTGGCCTGGCCTCCAGAATGAGCCTCCTTAGGGGACCTTGGGGTCTCGGGGCTGGGGCCCCACCAGGCAGAAACGTGACCTTTCAGACTGGAATTGCCCACACTTCCTCTTTGGCCCCAGGGACAGTCTCACCGTGGGAGGGGCACTCTGGGGCTCCTTCCTCCCAAGCCCCACAGCGTCCCCTCCTGCACTTGGACTTCAGGACTGTGGGGGCAGGATGAGATCACAGCTGGAGATGGACGCAGCACCATGCACAGTGGCGGAAAAGGGTTTGGCAACTGCAGGCTGAGGCCCAGCTGTGTACAGATGAGCAGAGAGTCATTGGGGGCTCTGGGGTGAAGGTGCTGCTGGTGTCAGGGACAGGCCAGCCCCCCAGGGCATGGAGGCCGCTGAGAGCGACCGCCACATCAACCTTGGGTGGCCTCAGGCAGGCAGAATCCTGAGGGCTGGGCCTAAAGGGTCCACCTGAAGTCCTTGGTGGCCGGAGCGTGGCCCGGGGCTTCCCCGCAGGCAGTGCAGGGCAGTGGCGATAACAGGCCTTTTGCATTTCCCAGTTTGAGTGGGATCCCAGGTCGCTGCTGCCTCAGCCAGCGTGTCTGTTTCCTTGTCGACCCATCCTTCTTTCCTTCTCTCCCTCCCCTCATGGGGGGTTCCCATCAGGGGCTGTGCTCCCTGGGGCTCCCAGCCTTCAGCTTTCACTGCAGTGGATGAAAGTCCTACCAGCACCAAGAGGGCCTCATTCCTCAGCAGCTCACACCCTGCAGATGCCAACTTTCCATTATTCCTTAGGCAACGCCTGGAGTGGCAGATGGCCGGGGGATGGGAACCTCACTAGGGTTCCAGTGGAAATCAGCCCTAAAACTAACCCTGCTCACCTCTCTGAGGACCCTGCCCTGTCCTGGAGACCTCAGGAACAGTGGGGAGGCAGGCAGGCACCCCAGGCACCTCCAATGGGGAGTGCCTGCTGCACAACCACCGAGGGTCTCCACCCTGGAGCCGTGCGACACGACAGGCAGCCTGTGTGAATCCAAACACATGGGAAGCACCTACCGCGTGTCCCTGCCTTGGCTGCTGGGACAGAGCCATGATCAGACCCCACCACCCCTCACCTGCGCTGCATCTGGTGGGAGAAGTGTGTGCGAAGAACAAAGAAGTGCAATGTGGAGCCCTCCAAGGACTCCCAGTGCTACGTGGAGAATCTGAATCGACTCCCAGAGTGGCCAAGCCTCCGGGAAGTGACATTGAAGCTGACAGTGGAATTTGAGGAGGACCGGGCCATGTGGAGATGGTGGGCGGGCACATTCAGCAGGAATGGGAACATAAAGGGGCCAGTGTGGCTGGAGCAGAGTGGGCGACAGAGTGGGCTGGGGAATGGGGTGGCGGGAGGGCTTGGGGAACAGGGACGGGATGAGACTGGATTTGTTCTAAATGCCATATGGAGCCACTGGGGAGATGTGGCCTTTAAAATGAACAAAACACCTCCCCACCAGGTGACCATTTGGGGGCACTCAGCAGGCACCTCTCAGCTGTAGGGCATCAGGAAGTCCAAGGGATGGGGGGCTCCAGAAGGGCTCCACAGACCAGGATGCCTTGTGATGAGAGCTGCCGCCCACCCTGTCTGAGCGGGTCAGAGGTGGTCTGCAGGGCCCGGGGCACTGGACACTGGTCTGGGGTTGTTGGCACACAGAGTGATAGTCCCTGGTACACACCTGTATTGCATTTGGATTGGTGAGTGTCTGTTCCATATCAGTGTTTCAGACATTATTTGAATACCACCTCAGATGTGTCTGAGTGTGAGGTGAATGGGAAGGAAGGTGGAATCAGGCAGGTCAGCTGACTGGCTGGAGAGCTTCAAGGAGGGATAGAGGGGTGGCAGGTGGGTGAATGGATGGATGGATGGATGGATGGATGGATGGATGGATGGATGCCTGAAAGGGAGGGAGGGTGGGTGGATGGGTGGGTGGATGGATGGATGGATGGATGGATGGATGGATGGATGGATGGATGGACAGGAGGATGGATGGATGCCTGAAAGGGAGGGAGGGTGGGTGGATGGGTGGATGGATGGATGGATGGATGGTTTGGTGGGTGGATGGATAGATGAGTGGGTAGATGGATGGATGGATGGATGAATGAATGGGTAGGTGGATGGATGGATGGATGGATGGGAAGATGGTGGATGGATGGATGGATGCCTGGGAGGATGGATGGATGGATGGATGGATGGATGGATGGATAGATGAATGGGTGGGTGGGTGGATGGATGGATGGGAGGACAGTAGATGGATGGATGAATAGACGGGTGGATGAATAGACAGATGGATGAATGGGTGGATGGATGGATGAATGGGTGGATGGATGGATGGATGGATGAATGAATGGGTGGGTGGATGGATGGATGGATGGATGAATGGGTGGATGGATGGATAGATGGGAGGATGGTAGATGGATGGATGGATGGACGAATGGGTGGATGGATGAATGGGTAGATGGATGGATGGATGGATTGATGGATAGATGGGATGACAGTAGATGGATGGATGGATGGATGGATGAATGGGTGGGTGGGTGGATGGATGGATGGATGGATGCCTGGAAGGGAGATGTATGTATGTATAGATGGAGGGATACAAGGGAGCGGGAGACTGGTGTATAGATGAGACTGGTGTATAGATGAGTGGATGGTGGCACTCACAGACTAAGAAGTCCCACTGGCTGTCATTGGTGCTGGGAGAAGGTATGTGGGGTATCTGAGCAGAAAGGTACCAAGATCCCCTATGGCCTTTCTACCTTGGCCCAGGTGGAACTGGAGCAGACAGCCAGACAGGGCAGCTGAGGCTAGGTTTTGAGCCCCTCTCCCTGCCCCAGGAGGTTCCAAGTGAGGGAGACCTACCTGGGAATCGCTGTCACCACACTGCCTGGGACATTCCGGGGCTCTCTGTGGGTCCTGAGAGCAGGATCGCTGCTCACTTACCTTGGCTGCCTGGTGCCCAGCCCAGCCTGGGTGCTCAGAAAATCTCAGCTGTCTGAGTAAGCCCGGCCTCCGCTCAGCTGCTGGTTCCCATCCTGAGCTGCACCTGGGCAAGTAGGACGTGTTTGTTGTGATTGACAAGTAGGGGCAGGACTTCCCATCTGCCTGCTTCCCTGCGGCAGGTTGGCTGAGCCAAGCTGAGACACTGAGTGGGCAGACACTCAGCGGCTGGGTTTTAGGATCGGTTCCACCTGGCTTAAGGACGGCATTGCTGATTGTTAGCTCTGTGACCTGGGCCAAAACGCCAGCCTCTCTGAAGCCAGCTGCCCTGTGTGTAAGATGGCCAAGGTCATGAGCCGAGCCAGGGGCCAGGTGAGGGAGGGGCTGGCCCAGCCTGGCTGCATCCTTGGAGCCCCTCCCCACTCTGACTTCAGGACTGGGGGCACAGAGGGGGCTCTGGGGTGGTGGACAGAAGCCCCCAGGACCACAGACACCCTGGGCCCCCAGCCCACTCCTGAAGCCACAGCAGGAAAGTCTCTGTGTGTCTGAGGCCCCCCCCAGCAAAGCCCAGGACCATGGGAGAAATCGAGGCCTTTGTCCCGGGCTTGGCAGGATGCCACTGGCCTGCCCTGAGGCAGCAGGAAGCAGCCCCAGAAAATTGGGAAAGGAGGAAAATTGACCAGTAGTTTTTAAGGAGCTCGCCCTTGGGAAGTGGACACAAGATGAGAAGCTGGAGGGGATGCTCTGCCAACCCTTGTCAGGTCACGATTACAGGTCGAGGCCTTCCACTCCCTGAGCCATGATTTTCTCATCTGTAAAATGGGCTGAGACCTCAGTGGATCTGGCGCCGTCAACTTCAAGTGCCTGCAAAGGCGTGACTGCAATCAGTTACCCTCTGCTTGGCCCAGCACTACTAGGTGTAGGGCTGGTGGGGAGCAGGACAGAGGGGACCGCCTGTTGTCCTCTCTCCTTCCAGGGGAGGAAACAAGAAACTCGCTTCTGAACCCACAGGGGAAAGGCAGGTCTGCCAGTGGGCGGGGCTGGGAGAGCGAGGCAGGTGGGTGTCAGGGCCTGGCTGTGGGGCCTCCCTCTTTTGTGAAGCAGCAAGGAAGCTCCCACTGGGAATGCAACGTCTTGGGCTGGGCGTGGACGCAGGTGTGCCTGGCTGTGAGCGCCCAGAGCTCCCTCTCTTGCTGGGGTGCATGTGGGTGCAACTGAAACTGTTGGGGCACCCAAGCTTCAGGCGGGCTTAACCAGAGGCGAGGCGCTCCTGGGACCCTTAGATGGATGGCAGGCCAGGCTCCCGGACTGCCCAACACCGTGCCAGCCACTCCCTGGTGCTCAGCGGCCACCTGGTCTCACCCCCGTGCATCTTCTCCATGGAAGCTCTAGACCCCTCCCCACCACAAAGTGCTGTCACGTGGGAGGGAAATGCGGGAGGGAAAACCTGTGTCTACACGTGGGTCTGCCTGGCTGCAGCCAGGGTCTCACAGAACCTGGGGTGGGGGTTCTGAGAAGGACATCTTCCGAGGGTGGTGATGAGCCTCTCTGACCAGGGCTCCGTCCAGCCCTACTGCCCGGCGTGGAAAGGGCTGGCACCAGCCAAAGCCATTCGCCTGAGCTGGGCTGTCCTGGCTGACCACCCACCACCAGGCTCCCAGGGCCCAGGCCCTCCTCACCCTGCCTCAGAAGTCCCCTGAGAGGGGGACTTCTTAGCCAGGGGCACCCCCACCATGTGGCTCTGAAGCCCCTTCCGGGGCGGTGACCTCCTGCTGCCCCTCCTTCCTTCCTTCCAGAAGCCCCCGAGCGCCCACAGCATGAAGGAGGAGGCCTTCCTCCGGCGCCGCTTCTCCCTGTGTCCACCTTCCTCCACCCCTCAGAAAGTCGACCCCCGGAAGCTCACCCGGAACTTGCTCCTCAGCGGAGACAATGAGCTCTACCCACTCAGCCCAGGTAAGTGCCGGCCGTGGGCAGGGCAACCTGGCCCTCAGCTTGGGCCCGGTGGGGTGACCCCGGGCGGCCCAACCCCTCTGTGCCCCTTGAGGTCCACAGCTTCCATGCTGGGGACTGTGTGGGTTTCATGATCAAACGGTTTGTAGCTTGGTAGAGTGCCAGGTAATACGGCTTCTTGGCTTGACCTGCGGGGCCAGGTGAAGCCCATCTGGTTGAGGAGGGGGTTCCCACAGCCCAGGCTTTGGGAGTTATGGAGTGCAGTCATCCCAAAGTCAGCCCAGGCTTTGGGAGTTATGGAGTGCAGGCTCCAGGGACAGGTGGCCTGAGCCCCAGTCCTGGCAGGGTAACCCCAGGCCAGCTACTTGACCTCTCTAGGCCTCAGTTGACTGATCTATAAAATGGGACAATATTAGTACCTACTCCCAGCTATACATGGGTCCTGGGCTCTGAGAGGGGACAGCTGGAACCAGGCCTGCCTTCGTGCAATTGTAGATAAAGCACCCAGCACACAGACTCAGAACCTCTGCCCGCCAATGCTGCCACTCTCCAGGCCCCTCCCTGGCACCTAACTATGCACAACCCCTGCCCCAGCCAAGGCTGAGCTGTGACTGCTGTCCCCCAGAAAACCCAGCCCTTCCTCCCCTGTTCCCCTGAGAGTAGGAGGTAGGGGCAGGCACCTGCCTGGGGGACCTCTCCCCAGCTCTGCCCCCTCTCCTCCCACTGCCTGCTTTGGGGCTGAGGAAGTGGGAGCCCCAGCCCTGCCTGGCCATGGTCATCTCATCTGCCCTGGGGGGAGTGGGAGAGCATTGGGCGGATCCACCACCCAGGCTCGAGGGGCGTGTGGTCGCAGCCAAAGTCCCATCCAATAGATGGAAAAACGGAGTCCCAGCGTAGAGGTGGCCTTGCTGAAGGTGCTATGGCAGGCAGGGGCACTCGACACCCGGCAAGGTAAATCCTACACCTTTTATTCTCTGCTGTCACGTTCACCCTGGCCGGAGGCTTAGAAGCACTTGCAGAGTCAGGGGTGGGGAGGGGAAGGGCTGGGTCCCAGCTGCTGGTCAGTTTCAGAGGGACTCGGACCAACTAGCAACTGGCCCAGGCGGTGCAGAAGACGTGCTGGGAAGGGCCTTTTCCGAGGAATGGAGGCGGTAGGTCCCAGGCCAAGGGAGTGGGGTGGGTGTGGACAGGCTGTGAGGAGAAGGACCAGTGCTGACTTCCCCCTGCCCAGGGCACCTGCACCCTATCCCTTTGAGTGGTCCAAGGGCCCCAGCCTTTGAGTCCTCCCGGCCAGGAGGCAGCATCCACATGGAAAGTAGTTTGCTGGCGGCCACAGGCCAAGCCCCTAGAACTATATGAGAAAGTGCCAGAGGGAAGAGCGCTCCTGCTAGCCTCCCCCCAGCACTCCGGGTCAGGGGCGTAGCACTCTGCAGATGGGGAAGCAGAGGCTCCCAGGTGGGGGAGCAGCCACTGCCGGCCAGGGTCAGCGATGTTCTGTGACTGTGAGTGGCCACGGTCCAGGACCTTTGGACAGAACCACTTCCTCAGGCCACCGTCCTGGCTTTTCCGTTCTTCGTCCCCATCCAGTCCCTGCCCAGGGCTGTCAGGGAAGGACGGCTATAGACCCCAGGCCTTCCAGCTGGTCTGTGGCGTCTGTCCACGCACCCAGCCTGTTGCTGGCCTGTCGCCTGTGGCCTTGGCAGGATGGGGTTCACTCCAGCCCCCAGCCCCTCCGAGTCTCAGTGTCAGGGACCGGGGCAGTCAACCCTCGCCCACCAGCCACAGGAAGCAGCGGGAGCGGCCCTGCTGGGCAGACCTCAGGCTTCCCCTGCAGCCATCCCCTCCTTCCTCCTGTCCAGAAATCGTACCTTGGGAAACTGGCACCAAAGCAAACAGAGCCGGGGGAGGGGAGGCCATTTCCCAAAGGAGCAAACGCAGACACCTCAGGTCTCCCTCCTTTGCCTCTCCCTCCTTACCCAGCCTGCCAGGGTGGGATGGCAGACAGGGCTGACCACCTCCCAGCAAGAGCCCAGCACGCAGGGGCCGGCAGCATCCAGCCAGGGGGATGCACAGTCCAGGGGCCCCAAACCTGCCATGTGTCTTTGAGACTGGATGTCACATTCTTTTTCTGAAAACTGGGGACTCTGGCCTTCACAGACCCCCAATTGCACACTACAGCAGGCCCAGGATGCCGGTTCCTACCAGCTCCTGTCCCAGCTTCCTCCCTGTAGGTCCTGGAGGCCCTGCCAGTTCTCCTGGCACACTCCTCCCACAGTGACGCTTGCTGGCGTTTATTACACCTCTCAGGCAGTGTCCTGTTCCTGCCACCACCTCCGGCTGACTTCCTGCCCCTCCCAGGTCATCCGCACCCACGCTTCGCCTGCCTCACACCAGGCAGCGGCCTGAGAAGCCTGGCCACGCCACCATGCCTGGGTCCTCACTCCCACTGCTCTCTTGCAGGGAAGGACATGGAGCCCAACGGCCCGTCGCTGCCCAGGGATGAAGGGCCCCCGACCCCAAGCTCTGCCACGAAGGTGCCACCGGTAAGAGCCTGGGTATAGGAGGATCCATGAGCCAGAGCCTGGCTCTGGGGACAGCAGGAAACGGCTGGGGAAAAGGACAGCAGGGCGTCCAGCTGAGCCTGCCATTCCAGCCTGTTCGGGGGAAACAGCTCCCAATCCTAGACTGTGCTGCTCCGGGAGGGCTGCTGGTGGATATTTGGGCTGTTTTCACCATATAGCTGTCATGAAAAATGCTTCCGTGAACATGTGTGCACGTGTATTTGACTATCAGTTTTCAGTTCTCTCAGGTATAAACCTAGAGTAATTGGAATTGCTAGGTCACATGGTAATTCCAGGATAATATAGAACTCTCAAAATTGTCTGTTTAACTTTTGGAGGAACTGCCAAACTCCTTTCCCAGCGGCTGCACCATCTTACATGGCCACCCACAGTGCACAAGGGCTCCAGTTCCTCACATCCTCACCAACGCTTGCTATTTTCTGATTTGTTGTTTTCTTTTTTCCTTTTTCTTTGAAATGGAGTCTCCCTCTGTCACCCAGGCTGGAGTGCAGTGGCACAATCTCAGCTCACTGCAAGCTCCGCCTCCCAAGTTCACGCCATTCTCCTGCCTCAGCCTCCCGAGGAGCTGGGACTACAGGTGCCCGCCACCACGGCCGGCCAATTTTTTGTATTTTTTTTTTTTTTTTTTTGAGACGGAGTCTCGCTCTGTCACCCAGGCTGGAGTGCAGTGGCGCGATCTCGGCTCACTGCAAGCTCCGCCTCCCGGGTTCACACCATGCCCCTGCCTCAGCCTCCCGAGTAGCTGGGACTACAGGCGCCCGCCACCACGCCCGGCCAATTTTTTTGTATTTTTAGTAGAGACGGGTTTCACCGTGTTAGCCAGGATGGCCTTGATCTCCTGACCTCATGATCCACCCGCCTCGGCCTCCCAAAGTGCTGGGATTACAGGCGTGATTTGTTCTTTTTTGTGTTATTTTTATAGCTATCCTAGCGGGTATGAAGTAGCATCTCACTGCGGCTTCAGTTTGCATCTCTAATGACGGATAACATTGAACATCTTCGTGCACCCATTAGCCATTTGTATGTCCTGTTTGGAGAAATGTCTATTCCAGTTATTTGTCCATTTTTGGAATGGGTTGTTTGCCTTTTTGTTGCTGAGCTGCAAGAGTTCTTTATGCATTTTGGATACTAGGTCCTTATCCGATACATGATTTGCGACTACTTCCTCCCATTCCGTAGGTGGTTCTAAATTATATTTTTAAGGAATTTTCATAGGTTGCAAAGTTCTGGTCAGCCTGAAGTTCACAGTTCTGAGCAGCACTTCTCATCTCTCAGGTGCCTCCTTATGGCACTGTCACTGATGCACAGTAGCACTGAGGAGTGAGCAGAGGACCTGGCATGCCTGGACGGGGTACCCACCTGGCCTGCAGGAGGGAGGAGTGGGCAGGCACTCTCTGCAGTGCTGGGGCTGCAGGGGCTGCAGTGACCAGACCCAAGGGTCCTGCCCAGTTGGGGAGCAGGGGTTGCAAGTGCTCCATCCCATGCCATGCGGTCTTGCCTCTCTCTTCCCCTGTTGCCTCAAATACACACAGCCCCATTCAGCTGCATCTAGTGGGAAGCTGGGCAGAGGGGAATTGGCAGCAGGTTCATGCGTCCATCCATCCATCCATCCATCCATCCATTCATCCATTCATTCATTCGAGATGCTTGCTAAGCCCCCAGCTGCCGGTGTGAATGGGCAGTAGGGTAGAACCCTCCCCTGGTGGAAGCCACAGACAATCATCAGTTCACCACAGAAACGGCTGCGTGGTTGTATTGCAAAAGTCCTGGGCGGGCCAAGGGTGGTGTGTGTCACCAGGACCTGTGCCAGCAGGGATATGAGCTGTCCTGCTTCTGGGGAAGCAGCTCAGGGAGCCTGAGAAAGAAAGGAGCAGGGGCTACCCAGCCACAGGGAAAAGCATTCCAGGCTGGGAACACCATGTGCCAAGGTAACTAAGGGCATCATGAACAAGATCCTGGCTCAGGGGACTCCCAGGAGGGCAACTTAGGACACCTTCTCTGCCAGCCTGGGTCCCTGGAGGCCTGTCAACTGGCCAGGGTCCAGCATATGCCTCGTCACTCAGATCTGCCTCCTCCTTATCACTCATCGTCAGCCCAAAGACTGCTTCCAAGTCAGAGCCCCCCAGGCACCCCATCTTGTGCCGTTTTCTTCTTGTGATCCTGAATGCTCTTACTTGGCTAAGAAAGTGCCACAATGGAGCAACACTGCCTGGGTTCAGTCCCAGCTCAGCTCCTTATTAGCTGTGTGACCTTGGGCAGGTTTCTGAACCTCTCTGTGCGTAGGCTCTTCCTCTGTACAATGCTGAGAATAACAACGATGACCTGAGCTGTGGGATCTAACGTGCTTACATCCATGCACAGAACGCAGAACCGCAGCGCTCACCTGACCCCTGGCTCCTCCCGCCTCTGCGTGCTGGTGGCTGGTCTGCCTCTCCCTGAAAGAGCAGGACACTGGCATCTTTACTTTCTAACCTCAGTGCCTAAGGCCAAGCCTGGTGCCCAGTGCTGCCAGGACCGCCAGTCCGTGGAACGGTTCCATGCCCTGCCCCTTGCTAGCTCTCCACCTCTCTGTGCCTTGATTTCCCAGGCACAGAAATAAAATAGGGACAATAACCGGCCCCACCTTATGCATGGCTGGAGAATGAGGGGGATGAATACAGGCAGCACCCGAACAGGACCTGGTGCCCCAGCAGACAAGGCTTTAGCTCTGTACTTAGCACCATCATGATTGGGGTGGGGGCAGTCCCCAGCGCCCAGGGCTTCTAGCCAGGAGAAGGCCTGAGGGAGGCTTTCCTCGCCCTAGAGGCTCCGCTGGAAAGTGCTGAGCACCCGCAGACGCCCAGCCAGAGCAGGGCAGGGCGGGCACGCTTTCTCTGGAAAAGGCCAGACGGCATTTAGGCCCCGCCGCGGCGCAGGCTCCGTTCCAGGTACTCAGCACAGCCATCCAAGCACGAGAACAGCCACAGACAACGCCTGCCGGATCGCCTGGCCATGTGCCAAGAAAACCTTATTTATGGACTCCTCATTTGAATTTCATATAATTTTCACATCTCACAAATTATTCTTGTGATTTTTTTTCAACTGATTAAAACTGTGGAAGCTGTTCTTAGCTTGCAGACCACGCGGAAGGAGGCAGCAGGCAGGATTCGGGTCGTAGCTTGCTGTCCCCAGCCTGCAGGCTTTAGACCTGGTTCTGTGTCCCAACTCGCCCCCTACCCTGCCTCAGGTTCCCCATCTGTAGAAGAACCGTGGCCCCCTTCTGCCTCCAAGATATTGGGACTGCCGCCCTGGGCCCGTGCAGTCAGCCACATGCTGGGGTCAGGTTCGGACCTGGACAGTGACCTCTGCCCACGGCTCCCAGGGGATGGGGTGGGCACCCCCACTGCACACCCCCCACCAGTACATTGGCCCTGCCCAGAGCTGGGCACATGCAATGGCCAAGGAGCAGCCATGCTGGGTACCGTAGGGGGAAGACAAGGCAGGGAAGCTGTTCTTTTGGGTGGATGCAGGGCTGGTCCCCAGAGACCCAGCGTGAGTGCTTGTTGCCACCATCTCATGGCCGCCGCCGAGCTCCTCTTCTGCGAACTCCACCCTCTGGCACCCTGACTGCTTTCCTCAGCGGCCTCCCAGGTGTCCCCTCAAAGACGGCTGTCCCTCAGGGCTCAGTCAGACCCGTAGGAAGTCAGCCCTGAACCCTGATGTCCCCACATTTCCCTCCTTCCTGACCACCCTGCCCCATCCCAGCATGTGCCCCGGGGAGGATGGGTCCCCTCCTGTCACTGGCGTGTGCCCATGGAGGGTCTCTCGTCAGCCACCCTTGTTCTTCCATCCCCCCATGGCAGCCCCGGAAGTGCTGGTGGGGGGGATGGAGGGTGCCAGGCGGGAAACGAGTGGAGCGCCCTTCTCTGACTTCTGCCCTCATATCCTTGGCATCAGGCCAACCTGGGCTCCTAGCCCTGGGCCGGCCCCTGTGCCCTGTCCCGCATACCCACCTCTCTCTTTCAGGCAGAGTACAGGCTGTGCAACGGGTCAGACAAGGAATGTGTGTCCCCCACCGCCAGGGTCACCAAGAAGGAGACTCTCAAGGTGAGCCCGGGCCCGGGGAGGGTGCAGCAGTGTCACTGTCAGACCGACGGCCACCTGAGCCAGGGAGGTCACCCTCCCCACCTGTCAAAAGGAGGGGACAAACCGCACCTGGTCGCCTCCACACCCCCTACTTCCTCCTACTTCCTCTCCTGCCCCTGCCCCTGGACCCATCCCTGGGCTGGACGGTGGGAGGAGCTGGGGCAGCTCGGTGCCTTCTCCCATGACCCACCGCGGGTGCCCCGGGCCCAGGCGCAGAAGGAGAACTACCGGCAGGAGAAGAAGCGCGCCACACGGCAGCTGCTCAGCGCTCTGACAGACCCCAGCGTGGTCATCATGGCTGACAGCCTGAAGGTAGGTGATGCCCGGCCTCCGGCCACCCAGGACACGGGTCAGCGTGCTGCTGCCATAACAAAGGACCATAAACCAGGTGGCCTGAAACGATGGAAATTCACTTCCCTGCATCTAGCCGTTATCACTGCAGCCTCTGCTCCTTCCTCATGAGGCCTTTCCTTATCCACCTGTCTCTCCCCCTTTTTATAAGGACACCAGTGGTAGGAATTAGGGCCACCTTACTCCAGTGTAGCCCCATCTTCACCTGATTATGTCTGCAAAGACCCCATTTCCGAATAAGGTGGGGCCTGGCCAGTGGGCGGAGGGCGCTGGGGAGGGAGACATTGCTCTGGCTTCTGGGAGAGGACCCCACATCAGGGCCGGGTGTCCTGTGTTCAGACCTCACGGAGACCGTGGCCATTCACTCGCCTCTGAGCCTCCATTTCCCCTTGTGTACAGTGGAGGTAAAACTGCCCAACTCCGAGGCTGCTGGGCAACGCATACCAGATAAGTGTGCCCAGCCCTGGTGTCTGCAGAGCCCAGGCCCATGTAGGCTCCTTCTACCCGCATACCAAAATGATGAATCAAAAGTTAGGTGCAAAAGTGAGTATTTAGAATGAGAAAAGAAGACAACTACTTTCAGAATTTACAGAGCTGCCAGGCCGGGTGCAGTGGCTCACACCTGTAATCCCAACACTTTGGGAGGCTAAGGCGGGTGGATCACCTGAGGTCAGGAGTTTGAGACCAGCCTGTCCAAAATGGCAAAACCCCGTCTCTACTAAAAATACAGAAATTAGCCAGGCATGGTGGCGGGCGCCTGTAATCCCAGCTACTCGGGCGGCTGAGGCAGGAGAATCGCTTGAACCTGGGAGGCAGAGTTTGCAGCGAGCCAAGATAGCACCACTGCACCTCCAGCCTGGGCAACAGAGACTCTGTCTCAAAAAAAAAAAAAAAAAGAATCTACAAAGCTGCCAGTTACAAGTCACACCACTCATTGCTGGTTCCTCCCTGAGGCCCTTGACCTTGAACTTGACCCACGTGACCCTCACAAGTAAATCTGTCCCTGCTGCCACGTATTTCTTTGCATTCACCATAACATATGGGCTCCTTTTAAAAACTGAACAAGGACCCTGCCCTGAGTTCCACTCTGAGTCCTGGGGCACCGCTTGCCGTGGCTTGGCCCCTGCTCGGGTACACGATAGACACAGGACATCACCCCAGGGAGTGAGGGTGAGGAAGGGGTGAGTTCCGAACTGGTGTGGGGGAGTGAGGGAGGGGAAGGGCCCCTCGGCAGCCCACCCTGGTCTGTGCCTGGCTCCCCGCCAAGCCATCAAGATGCCCCAGGGATGGCGGCCCCAGAGGGTGGGCATCGACGCCAGCATCCTCCCTGCAGATCCGCGGCACCCTGAAGAGCTGGACCAAGCTGTGGTGCGTGCTGAAGCCGGGGGTGCTGCTCATCTACAAGACGCCCAAGGTGGGCCAGTGGGTGGGCACGGTGCTGCTGCACTGCTGCGAGCTCATCGAGCGGCCCTCCAAGAAGGACGGCTTCTGCTTCAAGCTCTTCCACCCGCTGGATCAGTCCGTCTGGGCCGTGAAGGTGCTGCGGAGGGGTGGGGTTGAAGACAGAGGCCCCGTAGGGCCAAGGGGCTCATTCCTAGGGCCCTGGTGGAGGGTGGAGCCAACCAGCTGAATGGCCCCCTTGGGGCCTTGAGCAGGTGTCTCACCTTCTCTGAGCCCCACATGCGGCCAGGGGATCAGATATGGCCACTGGTGCTCCATGTGAAGCACACAGTAGGCTGCAAGGAGGTGGCATCAAGGTCACCCCAGCCCCTCACCCAGCTGCTGTCCAGGAGGGACAACAGTGGCTGCTCCCCAGGGGTGGCCGAGGAACAGCGCCCAGCCCTCACCCCTCCTAACCCGGGGCTGCCCTGCCAGCTCTAACGGGTGGGAAACCAGAGAAACCCTGAACACCTGGTTACATTTGGATTTCAGAGAAACATCAGAGTTCTTTCATGCTAGTATGACCCCAGTCATGTATGGGAAATACTTACACCAAAAAGCTACTCATGGTTTCTCTGGGATTCGAACATCATTGGGCATCCTGGATGTGCCTTTGCTGATTCTGGACAGCCCAAGTCAGGAGGCTCAGAGCTGGAAAGCTGAGGGCAGAGCTGCCAGCTAAGAAAGGGGACAGAGCTCCCCCACCTACCCGCCTCTCTGCAGCCAAGTGTCTACCTGGCCAGGTGCCTGGCCCCACCTGGTGGCCCTGTGGCCCTGGGGGTGTCCAGGTGGTCCCAGGTGTGGATCCGCATGGTTCTGCCTGACCTATCTGTGCAGCTGGCCCTGGGTGTTGCCTCGGGTGACACCCAGATCTCTCTCTCTCCAGGGCCCCAAAGGTGAGAGCGTGGGCTCCATCACACAGCCCCTGCCCAGCAGCTACCTGATCTTCAGGGCCGCCTCCGAGTCAGATGGTGAGTCCCTGCCAGCTTGCGCATCTCCCCAGTGCCCCCACCTGAAGTGGGCCCCCTTTTGAGGTTGTAGCCCAGGTACAGGTGGCCCCAGTTCAGTCCCTTCTACTGTCTGGGGGCAGCCTGAAGTCTGGCCAGGATGAGCCCGGCTCGGAGTCAGGCCTACACTCACAGAGCCCCCATGCCTAGCCTCAGTTTTCCCATGAGTAAAATGTGACATTAAAATACCACCTGTCAAAGGCCAGGCGTGGTGGCTCACACCTGTAATCCCAGCACTTTGGCAAGCCAAGGCGGGTAGATTACTTGAGGTCAGGAGTTCAGGACCAGCCTGGCCAACATGGTGAAACCCCGACTCTACTAAAAAATACAAAAATTAGCCAGGCGTGGTGGCAGGCGCCTGTAATCCCAGCTACTCGGGAGACTGAGACAGGAGGATTGCTTGAACCCGGGAGATGGAAGTTGCAGCAATCCAAGATGGTGCCATTGCACTCCAGCCTGGGTGACAAGAGCAAAAGTCCGTCTTAAAGAAAAAAAAAAAACCACCTGTCACCCCAATGTTATGAGAACCCAGTGACCTTATAAAAGCACCCATATAACAATTACTGAGCTCCAACCACATGCCAGTGTGAACCCCAAACATCTGAGACAGGTCTCAGTTAATTTAGAAAGTTTATTTTGCCAGGCCGGGTGCAGTGGCTCACACCTGTAATCCCAGCACTTTGGGAGGCTGAGGCAGGTGGATCACCTGAGGTCAGGAGTTTGACCAGCCTGATCAACATGGCGAAACCCTGTCTCTACTAAAAATACAAAATTAGCTGGGCATGGTGGTGGGTGCCCGTGATCCCAACTACTCAGGAGGCTGAGGCAAGAGAATCCCTTGAACCCAGGAGGCAGAGTTTGCAGTGAGCCAAGATCACACCACTGCACTCCAGCCTGGGTGACAGAGGGAGACTCCATCTCAAAAAAAAAAAAAAAAAAATAGTTTATTTTGCCAAGGTTGAGGCCGTGCCTGTGACACAGCCTCAGGAGGTTCTGATGACTTGTGCCCAAGGTGGTCCGAGCACAGTTTGGTTTTATACATTTTAGGGAGATATGAGACATCAGTCAACACATGCAAGATGAACATTGGTTCGGTCTGGAAAGGCGGGACAATCAAAGCCGGGAGGGGGCTTCCAGGTCATAGGTAGATTAGAGACAAATGGTTGCATTCCTTTGAGTTTCTGATGAGCCTCTCCAAAGGAGACAATCAGATCTGCATTTATCTCAGTGAGCAGAGGGGTGACTTGGAATAGAATGGGGGGGCAGGTTGGCCCCTAGCAGTGCCCAGCTTGACTTTTCCCTTTAGCTTCGTGATTTTGGGAGCCCAAGATATTTTCCTTTCACATTTCCCCCCTTTTTAAAAATCTTTTGGAGAAAGCATTTTAGAAGAAAACGAGTCTCTGGTCTCAGGTTCCACCTGATCTCTCATGGCTAGGATGGTTTATTCCTACACAGGTAGGTCCCAAGTTATTAGGAAAGCTCATTTTCAGAAGGCTGTGAAGTCTCATGTCCTATGAAGAGAAAATAGTAGGAGGAAGGCAGAAAAACAACAACAAACAAAAGAACAATCCTGGGAAATTGGTATAGGCCACATTACTCTGAAGTCCATACATCAGTAGGCAGGCAAGAAAGTGGCTTATGTATGTAAGTAGGTTGCTGTTATTTTCTTCTGAAGTTTAAGTTGTCTAGTTTCAGTTTGCAGGGCTTTAAGAAAGCACAGCTTAGTCTTCAGCGACTCCAAATTAGGAAAAATGGGAAAAAAATGAAGGAAAAAAATTGAAAACATTATTTTGAAGACCTATAGCCAACAAAAATTAGGATTTCATCCAAAGTGCAGAAAATAACAAAAATTGAAAAACATTAGGGAAGAGTAGAATCTAACAACAGCTGTACTATAGTTTTTGAAACATAATTTTTTCTCTCCAGTTTCCCATTTTAACTAAGGACAAATTATGGTAGGACTGGTTTGCTTTATTATACTTGGACTAATTATTTATATACAGTGCAGCAAGAGTAATTAGTTTTTACATAGGCTTTTAAATTGTCTTTGATGGAACTTTGTTCCATAGAAAGAATCTCAGATAAGACTTTTTTAAAGCTGAGCCCAGTCATGGACTTGTACCATTAAACACCTATAAGTTGGGCGAATTATTATCTTCTTGAGGTTCCAAGATAAATTTGGAGCTCCTGGGCCTGTCAGAAAGTGACATTCTTTACTTACCACAGGTCAGGAACCCTGTACAGGGACTGTGTAGATGAGGTATGAGGCCAGTTTTTCCAAGGGGCTTTCATTGGTTCCATAAGTCAAGTTTGAGTCCTTAAAGGAAAGCACATCATTCCAGGCAAAGCCTTGGTAAAATAACCAATTTCTCCGATTGTGTCCTGTTACAAATGAAAACAGATTCTTACTGCACTTATGCAAATAACTGTATTGTCATAAGTTACGAATACTCACAGATAGTTTTCAAATTCTGTAAAAATTAGGTAGAGAGAAACAAATATGCTCCAAATTTTGTTCACAGGAGTATACTCAATTGTTAAAAGCTGTAAATAGCTTAAAGTTTTCTTGACTCTGAAAAACAAAAGAAAGGATCCACAATGTTTTAAGCAAAAAGTCAAAAAGATTACTTCACACTTCTTTTTTTTTTTTTTTTTTGTGATGGAGTCTCACTCTGTTGCCCAGACTGGAGTGCAGTGGCGCCATCTCGGCTCACTGCAACCTCCACCTCCTGGGTTCAAGCAATTCTCCTGCCTCAGCCTCCCAAGTAGCTGGGATTATAGGCATCCGCCACCACACCCAGCTAATTTTTGTACTTTTAGTAGAGATGGGGTTTCACCATGTTGGCCAGGCTGGTCTCGAACTCCTGACCTCAAGTGATCCGCCCACCATGGCCTCCCAAAGTGCTGGGATTACAGGCGTGAGCCACCACACCTGGCAATTACTTCACACTTCTATTAGTTTAGTCCATGCAGTTAATTCCTGTTCTGCTTCAAATTTATGAACATTTCAGCTCTCCATGAACCCTGAAAGTTTTTCCTCTATTCTGATGTCACAGTCTCTAAAGTTATCAGAAACCAGCATTCAAGAGCACCTGTTAGAGTTTTACAGCTGATTATAAAACCACCTTCTAAAGAGGACCAAAACAAGACAATGATTGCTTGTGGATGATAAAAAGTTTTAGGGCAGCCATACTCAAAGACACAATTGACAAGGAAATTGTTACCTCTGTGGCACAAAATAATTTAACATAACAATTATAATCATTACTGATAATGTATATTAGGTCATATCAGAATTATAGGAGTTTCCTATAATTTTGGAACACATACCAGTAACATATTTGTACAAATATAGCCCAAAGAAGACCAAATACCATTTTATATTTGACACTGCTTCCTGTATAATTTTTTATACCAAATAAGCCAAATATGTCATTTTTGGACTTTAGGGAACCTATTAATAATATCTTCAAGGATTAGGTTAGAAAAAGACATAATTTATAATTTGATTTTGGAAAGTTTGTCAAATTTTAAAGGTTTAAAACACTTGATATTACAAAGTAGGATTACAAGTCATTGTAAAATAATTCACTCATTTGAACAAAGTGATACCTCAAGGATTTAAAAAAAAAAAAAAGGCAAAAGCCTTCATTCTTTGAGACAGGAGACTTAGTTTTCCAAACAATAAGCCCTAATAACATCATGAAGCCAATTAAATTGTTTTCCAAAATTCCAATCTATAAAATTTTCATCTTGATCATAAGATATAACTTCCATAAGCCTTTATAACCTTTATTAAGGAGTCAGTTATTGTTTCAAGAAAACCTTGTTAATCTGACACAGGGGCCCATATGCTAGTCTTGCATCAGTGTGCCTTTGACATTAATGATTAATTTATAGAGGAACTGAACTTACTTTATCTCTCAAAGTCAGCCCTTACAATCTCACATGTCTATCTCTTCTGGGATAGTCTCTGGGCCTTGAGGAGTTGAACAGCTTTAATTTCTGTGTCTCAGGAATGTGGTTTATTTTGATTGGCATCTTCTACCGGGCCTGAAGATGAAGCTTTAATTGCTGTCAGTGTTTAAAATTTAGCAGGACTTGGTGTTCTTTTTAGACCCATGAGTCAAATCCCTGTAACTCAATGTCGCAAGGACTTTAAAAGCACATACAAGAAGATATAAGGACGGAATAACCTTGATTTAAAAAAAATTTTAATATCTGTTTTTCCTAAGCAAACCAAACTTAATAATAATGGCATAGGAATTATTTTGATAAAACATAAAATCTGTTAGGCCACTTACCAAAAGGCAAAAGCAAATACCTTCTGCAGTGTATAGAATATTATGTTAGAAGAAAACATTTTCTTTAAGAAAACATTGTTAGCATCAGGCCACACACACACAAAAAAACAGAACCTGAGGAGGAAAACAAAACTTATATGAGCTGAAAATGAGTTGAAGGGAAGTGTTACTATTTTGTTCCTTTTAAGAGGGAAGAGAAAACTGAAACTGGCAAGATGCAATGAAAGTTGAACTTTGGGTTAAAATTAAAAAATTAAAATATCTTATAATTGATTAAGAGTAAATCAACCTCTTAAGAAAATGTCGGCCAGGTGCGGTGGCTCATGCCTGTAATCCCAGCACTTTTGGGAGGCCGAGGCAGGAGGATCACGAAGTCAGGAGATCAAGACCATCCTGGCTAACATGGTGAAACCCCATCTCTACTAAAAATACAAAAAAAAATTAGCCAGGCGTGGTGGCGGGCGCCTGTAGTCCCAGCTACTCAGGAGGCTGGGGCAGGAGAATGGCGTGAACCCAGGAGGTGGAGCTTGCAGTGAGCCAAGATCACGCCACTGCACTCCAGCCTGGGCAACAGAGCGAGACTCTGTCTAAAAAAAAAAAAAAAAAAAAAAAAAATCATTGTTCTAACCAATTCTTTAGTCTATAACTGTTTTTTTACATCAAACCCAATCTCTAGAAAGACCATTATAATTTCCCTTTAGTCATAGACAACTTGATCATATAAAAGGGTTTTTTTTTAATAGATCCTCTTATTGTGACTTCCATAGACCATTCATGCCACGCTTGGACTTTCTGGTTTGTCCTGAACATCCCTCTTTCTTAAACAACCAGTCATTTTACTCTAGGACTAAATTTACCATACAAGATTCTTTCTCATATGAAATTATTTCTCTTTAAGCTTTCTTACTCTCCACCAAAAAACACTTTTTTATAACTTTCTTTACATCTCTTTTACTCTTTTATTTCCTGGTTCCTTTTACCTTGTTTTATACATGATCTTTAAATAAGCTTTGAATTAGGCAAAAATTGTTCACCTTTTTCAAAAGGACATGCTTTCTTTTAGAAAGCATATTTTCCTACAAATATATTTTTATTGGAAAATATCCAAATAGTGAAATATCTTATTTAATCTAACTTTAAATTCTAAATTATGATGAATTTGTCTACAAGTATTTGTCCTATTACATTTACCTAATTATTTTAATCATTTACCTAGATTATTTATAAAAACTGCAATTGTCATTATTTAAATTATGGAAACACCATTGCAAAATTATAACTGAGACAGTGAAAGAGATTTGACCTAACTGACTCCATCTTGTTTCTAACCTTCAAGCTATCCTTGTTCATTCCTGGGCATAGGTCAAACTAACTTTGGGAGGAACTTAGTTTATAGTTTACCTGAAACAAAGACTATAACAGTCTTTCTCAAAATGAACCTTACTGCCTGTGGACTAGACTACCTAAAGCCACCAGATTAGAAGTTATGGTAATCTTACTAAATTTAAGATGTAGCTATTTTTATTAAACCAATATAAATTTTTTTTTTTTTGAGACGGAGTCTTGCTCTAGTCTCCCAGGCTGGAGTGCAGTGGTGCGATCTTGGCTCACTGTTACCTCTGCCTCCCAGGTCAAGCAATTCTCCTGCCTCAGCCTCACGAGTAGCTGGGATTACAGGTGCCTGCCAACACACCTGGCTAATTTTTGTATTTTTAGTAGAGATGGGGTTTCACTATGTTGGCCAGACTGGTCTTGAACTCCTGACTTTGTGATCCACCCACCTCAGCCTCCCAAAGTGCTGAGATTACAGGCATTATTAAAGATTACACAAGCAAAGATCATTCTGTCTTGGGCTGGGTTTATAGTTTCGTAACTCCTATGCCAAATTTTGACACCTCATGGTATTTGGCAGGGATAAGTATGAAATTGCTTGATTAATAAATGCAAACAAAAATATATGCTGGCAATTCTTAAGACATTTCTAATATTACTTTACCAATAATTTTAAAGCTAGCTTATTTATTAAAGATTTTATTTAAGTTACATAAACTTGAAAAAGCATTTGACTTGTCTTTTCTTTTTTCCTGATCAAGTATTTGATTCAAGTGCATTTACTTTCTTAAGCCAATCAATTAGAGCCCTTTTATATATTTTCAGTAGTGAAACATTGTGTACACGACACATAAATACATAGACATATTAGGCATGGCAATAGAAGTACATCTCATAGGTTTATAAAAATTTTTTTTTCCTGTCTTAGACTTTCAGATTCTTGATAACCTGTTTCACAACCCTAGGCAATTGTCAGCTAAATAGCCTTAAATTTGCATATTAAGGGAAACAACTCAGGTGAAAATCAAATAGCAAAATTTGCATAAGGTACAGAGAGAAAAAGTCTGGTGGTGCTAGAGGGAGACTAAAGATGGATGCCAAATCAAACAAAATTATAGAAATCTATCATAGGATTGCATAAGGAGACCAATTTTATGTAGTAGGGACTACCTATCATTTAACTGGATCTCTGAGCTCTGGGAAGAGCCCACACTGAATCCTAGGTCTCCAGAAAGGGAGAATTATCATGAGGTTAGACCACGTGATGCTTTTATAGTGCACTTACAAATTTTTTTTAAACAAAGACATTTCTAAGTGTCTAAACCACACTCTTCCTTAAAAGCCCAAGAGTAACCACTGTTGCAATAACTACTTTAGTCAAAAAAAAAAAAAAAAAGAAAAGAAAACACAAAACAGGTTACACAATACAAAAGTAAGCAGTTTAAGAGCTGAGACAAACTTGTCTGTTTACATTCTTGGGGTTTCATAAGAAAAAACAAGTTTCTCCCCCAAGGGGAGTCTGGCACCCTCTCCATTTTCTTTAAGGAACCCCAGGCTACTATAAACTATTTTAGGTCCCCCATGCGGCAGAAGGTGCAAGAGAAAGGAGAGACAGCAGAAGTAAATCAAGAAACAGAATTCAGTCAACTGAGAAGAAAAAACCCTTTTGCTCAAAAAAAGACAAGGTCCTAGGAGAAAAACAAAAACAGAAACATGAAGGTCTCTTAAATACAAACACACACATATGCGCACACACACACATGCACACACACATATGCACACACACATGCACACACACATGCACACACACATACACATGCACACACATGCGCGCACACATACACACACATGCACACACATGCGCGCACACACACACACATGCACACACATGCGCGCACACATATGCACACACACACACACAGCTTGGATGTTAGCTTTTCATTAAACTGACTTTTAACCATTGAGCTTCTTTGAAAAAATCTTTTTAAATCTCATTCCATATTTCAACTAGGACAAATTTCAACGAGGACACAGAAGTACAGTCATTACTCTTTCAGTTTGGCCTAGCTAGTGAAAATGTGGCCTTGTTATATGAATAAAGCCCCTTAGTAGTCAAAATCAAAATCTTTCCTCTTTTTTTTTTCCTTTTGCTGGCCGTTTTTCTCCCCCCATCACGCCACCATTGTGTGTGGGGGTGGGGAGGGGAATTCAGCCACTTCAGAGGCCTTGTTCCCCATAATTTGGAACTTCCTTCAGATTTGATCAAGCCAGATAGAGGTCAATGGGAAAAAGACCAAAACAACAAAAACAGAAACAATCAACAACAAAAAAACAGTTAAGCGAAACAAACAATCGCACAACTTACGTGATCACTGAGTGCTCTAATGGTAAGGAGAAATTAAGACCAGCTGGTTGTTAATCTTAACTTTAGCTAAGACAAACCACAATTCAGTTACTTCCCTAGGGATGGGTCTCAGGCTGAAAACTCAGATCTCCACCATCCTGGGAGCAGGAAAAAAAAAAAATTCATCTTCCCTGTTGGAAGCAAGCTCGAACTCCATAAAGGAGTTACCTGCCTTCCATCGTCATGGAAGCAGGGAAAACTTGCCTTCCTTGTATCGGAAGCAAGTAAAACTCCAAAAAGAGAAGTTGTAAAACAAAATAAACTTTAGATCTCGACCAAATTTTGAGAGATCAGGGATTCTCTGTGGCAGGGGGTGGGGGTGGGGCACGGGGGGAGGTGCTTCCAGGCCTCAGCAAATTGTCTTATTGGTTTGAGCCATAAAGTTAGCTCAAGCTGGTACCAAGCACCAATAGGAGACTTGTGAAAAGTCAGGGGCATCTCCACTCAGAATCCTTCAGTGGTTACCAAAATGTTTGAACCCTGAAAATCTGAGACAGGTCTCAGTTAATTTAGAAAGTTTATTTTGCCAAGGTTGAAGACGCCTACCTGTGACACAGCCTCAGGAGGTCCTGACGATGTGCCCAGGGTGGTCAGAGCACAGTTTGGTTTTAGGGAGACATGAGACATTAACCAACATATGTAAGATGAACATTGGTTTGGTCTGGAAAGGCGGGACAACTTCAAGCGGGGAGGGGCTTCCAGGTCATAGGTAGATAAGAGAAAGATGGTTGCATTTTTTTGAGTTTCTGATGAGCTTCTCCAAAGGAGACAATGAGATATGCATTTATCTCAGTGAGCAGAGGGGTGACTTGGAATAGAATGGGAGGCAGGTTGGCCCTAAGCAGTTCCCAGCTTGGGTTTTTCCCTTTAGCTTAGTGATTTGAGGGGCCCAAGATTTTCCTTTCACACCAGGCACCATTGAAACAACAGGTTCTACTGTTATCATCCACATTAGACAGGTCAGGAAACTGAGGCACAGGCAAACTGCCAGCAAGAAAGTGCTAGAACGAGAATTTCCCTGACTCCCAAATGCATTGCACGCTGTTGCTGTTCCCTGAGTGGCCGCTCAGGCAGCTGTGACTGCGATGATCCTCCACCTGGAGGGATTCCCTCTTGGCCGTTCCTCCCTCTAACCTGAGGTTGGGGCCCTACCCCACCTCGCCCTCCAGTGGCTGCTCTGGGTAAATGCGGTTGCTCCACCTCCTCTAACCCCAGGGTGATGCCTCCCAGAGCAGTGGGGTGAAGGGCTCCCATCCCGCCGGTGGTGCAGACCTAAAGCAGTCTGGCCTTGACCACGGGGCTCCGGTGCCTCTCAGGTTGGAGTCTCGGTGCCACATCACCCCTGGTGGTCAGATGCCACATCCATGCTCCTTCCTGGGCCATCCTGAGTGCCCCACTATGTGCCAGGTCCCATGCAGGCCCGGGGATGGCCAGGGCAGCCCACAGCCTCTGTGCTCCTGGGTGAGGTGGATAACCAACCATCAGATAAGGCAGGTTGGGCTGAGGTGTGAGCTGAGCCCCTGATAGGGTGTGGGCCACCATTCGGGAGGAGAGGTGTCTGCAGCCCCTGTGGGTATCAGGGTGGGCTTCCAGGAAGAGGAGGAAGAGGTCTCGGAATGAGCTTCAAAGGATGCATAATATTCAGGATGTCTAGTCCTTTGTGGCAGCTACAAAGCACACGTGTTCAGGCCCTGGGGCCAACTCGGCAGTTGTGACCCCTCCAGCTCCCCACCACCATCCACTGCCATCCCTCCCCCAACCCTGGTGTTCCGCCCAGGCTTGGCCGCTCTGGCACCAACCAAGCCTGCAGTGGAACCAGCAGGATCCCAGATATCCCCCCAACCCAATGAGAAGGGCAGCTCTAGAGACCCAGGAGCCACTGTCTAGGCAGGCCCCTCCCTACACTGGACCCTGAGATGCCCCACGAAGAGCAGGATTTAATGGATCTCAAAGTGAGGGAGAAAAACTCACTGTCTCCAGGAGCTCGAAAAGGCAGAGGCTCAGAGAGGCACAGAACCGCCTTCAATGCTCTTCAGCCCCATCCTCCCACCTGACGTGACCCCAGGAGGCTTTCTTTGAATAACACTTACTAACAGCCCAGGCACAGTGGCTCACACCTGTAATCCCAGCACTTTGGGAGGCCGACGCAGATCACTTGAGGCCCAGAGGTTGAGACCAGCCTGGCCAACATGGTGAAACCCCATCTCTACTAAAAATACAAAAAAATTACAGGCAGGCACCTGTAATCCCAGCTACTTGGGAGGTTGAGGCAGGAGAATCACTTGAACCCTGGAGTCAGAGGTTGCAGCGAGCTGAGATCACCCTACTGCACTCCAGCCTGGGTGACAGAGCGAGACTCCATCTCAAAACAACAAAAAAACAAAAACAAAAAACACACTTATTGACCCGGTGTGGTGGCTCACACCTGTAATCCCAGCACTTTGGGAGGCCAAGGCAGGCAGATCACCTGAGGTCGGGAGTTCGAGACCAGCCTGACCAACATGAGGAAACCCTGTCTCTACTAAAAATACAAAATTAGCCGGGTGTGGTGGTGCATGCCTGTAATCCCAGCTACTCAGGAGGGTGAGGCAGGAGAATCGCTTGAACCCGGGAGGCAGAGGTTGCGGTGAGCTGAGATCGTGCCATTGTGCTCCCACCTGGGCAACAAGAGCAAAACCCCATCTCAAAACAAACAAACAAAAACCTTATTAATAGTGTGACCTGTCACAGGCCACCACGAGATGCTCCTCTGAGTGCGGGGGCCGCTGTTATCACACCAGGACATCAGTGTCACCCAGGTGGACACGTGCCCCACAGGAGGACCCTTGGGTGGTGCTGTCACCCTGCTTAGGAAGGCAGCAGGGCACAGGGCCCAGAGTGGGGCTTGGAGGCGCCCAGCTGTCGACCAGCCCCTGCTCCACCGCTGCCCACAGAGCCTCTGGGCGGCCTCAGGCAGGTCTCCTCCCTGGTGTGCAAGCCCCTCCTCAGCCTTCCCCACCCTCCTCCCTGGACTCCAGGCTGGCAGGAGCCCCTGGCACCCTGACCAGTGCTTCCCAGTGAGGGAGGACCCTCCTCCCTAACTCCACCTGCAGAAACCTGTGGGTGGCCATCAGGGTGGGAGGCTGGTTCCGAGTGTTCTGGGTTTGTGACCTGGAGGGGTCACTTATGCCAGCCCCTCGTCAGCAATGTGGGTGGTGGAGGTGCGTGGGGATGTGCTGTGAGCATCCCCAGGTGCCTCTGCAGGGCTGCCTCCCCTGGCACACCTGTCCCCAGGCCGGGTCTGCCTCCTTGGGAAGTCCTCAATCCTCAGGGGTTCCCGATGTCTGCCCCCACACAATCTGCAGCTGGATGTGGGGGCAGGAAGGGAGGGCATGTCCCTGCTGGGGCAGGGCCAGGGGTGGGTCTGGGATGGAGGGGGTGGGTCCCTGAAGAGTCAGAGTGAGGGGGAGCCTCCTGGTGGCCCCTTGGGGGATGCGGGATATACAGAGGTGGGGGTGGGGCATGCTCATCCCGTGTGCCCCGCAGGTCGCTGCTGGCTGGACGCCCTGGAGCTGGCCCTGCGCTGCTCTAGCCTACTGAGACTGGGCACCTGCAAGCCGGGCCGAGACGGGGAGCCAGGGACCTCGCCAGACGCATCACCCTCATCGCTCTGTGGGCTGCCAGCCTCAGCCACCGTCCACCCAGACCAAGACCTGTTCCCGTGAGTGGGGCGAGGGCACAGGGGCTGGTGGTGATTCACGGGGTCTCCTTGTAGGCGAGGAAGAGGGGAGAGGACAGCCCCAGCCACTGCTCTGGTGGGCTGCAGGCTGCACGCAGGGACTTGTTCGCTGCAGTGTGCCCTGGGAGCCTCGGTTCCTTCCTCTAAAACGGGGCTGATCGTGTCAAATGTGGGTTGTGGAGGTGACGACAGGCAGGAACGTATGTGAAGTGCGGAGCAGCGAGGGGTGGGCAGCCCAGAGGGCTGTGCTGGGCTCTCACCTGTGACAGGGACCCACTGGCACCATCCACCTTCCAGACTGAACGGGTCTTCCCTGGAGAACGATGCATTCTCAGACAAGTCGGAGAGAGAGAACCCTGAGGAGTCAGATACCGAGACCCAGGACCATAGCCGGAAGACGGAGAGTGGCAGCGACCAGTCAGAGACCCCTGGGGCCCCGGTGCGGAGAGGGACCACCTATGTGGAGCAGGTCCAGGAGGAGCTGGGGGAGGTGAGAGCCCCCCAGCCAGGAGCCCCAAGCGTCTCCCCTGCCTCGGCCCCTTGTTCCGGAAGCAGAGGTAGCCATGCCTCATCCTAGGGGGAGCACGCAGGGCCCAGGGGGTAGCTTTTGTCCCCATCACTTGGCAGTGAGTCCAGGAGCTGTCTTTTAGGTAAACAGGCTCCTCCCGTCTTCCAAAGAGGCTGCCCCGCTGGCTGGCTGGCTGGCTGGCATGCAGATGCGGGGATCGGGCAGGGGTTTGCTGCAGACAGGCAACTCCCTCCTTGGGCTGGAATGCGCTGATGGGAGAACAGGAGGCTCAAGAGGGGCCCTTGACCCCATCTGCTGGGCGGCCCCACTTCCTGGAGGAGCGCAGAGGAGGGCGTGTGGACCTGAGTCCCATGCTCACAGGCACCTGCACACCTGGTGCTCTCCTGGGGCCCTGGGAGAGCCATGAATGAGACAGACCTGGGCTCTGGGCCCCCAGTGTATGGGCAGCAGGAAACATAGATGATAAACCCACAAACACAAGAGGAGGCTGGGGAGCAGGTGAGGGAGGCAAACCGGGCCATGGGCTCTTTCTGAAGACGTGAGTGACGGGAGGGAGGATGGCGTTCCAAGAAGAAGGACCACCAGCGCACGAGCTCAAGGGAGGCAGCAGGCGGTGGGCAGCAGTGTCCCCAGAGCATGCCTGCAGATGAACAGCCAGGGCAGCTGACTCCCCGCAGCTGGAGAGAACTCACGTGGCCCTGGGCACCGTGGGGCGCCTCAGGAAGGGGAGTCCGGAAGGAATCACAGGATCTAAGCTTCCGCTGGGTGACGGGTGCAGGCTGAGGAAGCCGGGCTCTGGGGTGGGGGCTGCGCTCTGGGGTGGGGGCTGTCAGGAACGGGGGGCTCTGTGATCTGGGATCTTGTCATTCTCACCCGGGAGGCGAGACAAGAGCAAGGCCGTGGCTGTCACTGAGGGCAAGGGGCAGTCCCGGTTTCAGCAGGAAAGGGGAATTCGTTCCTTGCTGTTGTTTGGACAGCGTCGTGTTCGCATCTTGCTCTGCACAGGGACAGAGGGGGCTCCTCCGTGGTCCGTGAAATCCTTGTGTTCAGTGGAACACCATGGCCTCCCTGCGGGCTGCTGTTCCCACAGAGCTCAGGCTCCTGTGCGGGGATGGGAAGGTTAGGATGGGCCTATGGGGAGTGGACCGAGGGCCCTGGGGGCCTCAGGCTGAGAGTATTGGGGAAGCCACCGGCGGGTTAGGCAAGGGCCTCGGGACAGCCGAGGGGCGGGGGTGGACACTGGGCCACCCGTAGGGAAGACCCATTGTTAGGAGAAAGCTGAGGACACCCTGGACCCAGCTGTGATGGAGAAGGGAGAAGTGGGCAGACTCAGGGTATTTCGGAAGTTGGATTGGGTAGATCTCAGCCAGATGGTGATGAGCGACGCTGCTGTGAGCCAGGCAGAGCGGGCTGCTGCAGGTGCGAGCCTGGGGCTCCGGGCAGAGGGCATGGAGCGGGCAGCCAAGGGGCCCGGGCACCCAACCTTCAGAGGCCGAGCACAGATAAGGCTTCACAGAGGTGGGGCAGGGAGGTGGGAGGATCCAGGAGCCCAGGTGTCTCAGAGCCAGCTGGTCCGAGAGGTGGGGCAGGATGAGAAGCAGGGATGGCTGCTGGACCAGTGAGGAGTGGTGGGGACCTACGGCAAGACAGTCTCAGTAGAGAAGACGGCAGAAGCCTGGTGGAGAGGGTTAAGGAGGACGGGACGGGAGCACATGGACAGAGCAGGATTCCTGACAGCCGAAGCTACCCATGATTTCCAAGCCCCAAAGCTACAGCACTGGGCTCCCCATGACCCCTCATGGGGTCAGACATGGCTCCTGGGTGTCCACACACACTGTCCACTGGGCCAGTGCCACCAGGATCTGTCCGTGGCCATGCGTGCACAGAGAGGCGAAGCCATTTGCCTGAGGAGTCCCAGCAGCGGGGATGAGATCCTGATGCAGGACTCACAGGCCACACTCCATCTTGCCCGCTCCCTGGGGCAGCTGCCGTTGGGCTAAAAATGCAGAGAGCCCTGAGTTCAGATCTGACCTCTGCCGCATAGCAGCCGTGTGACCTTGGACAAGTCACTTGTCCCCTCTGTGGAGGGGGAGGACCAGGGTCCCCGTTCCCTGGGGCTGCGGTGAGGTGCAAGTCTGGAGTGAGTAAGGGGAGCCCCGCCACCCCAAGTCATGTATTCTGGAGCTGTGGTGAGGGTTAGATGTCTCAGAAAAGGAAGAGATGAGGGGGCCTTCGTGAGGGGCACACAGGCTTCGGAAGTGAGGGGTGAGTTCACATGCCCGTGTCGGTTTTGCAGGAGCAGGCTCACCTCCAAACTCACCCAGTTGTCCACATTCAATATCTGAAGGCTTCTGTATATCAATCAGACCTCAATAAAGTGGTTCAAAAACAGAAAAAGAAATGTTACAATAACCTTTTTTAAAAAATGGAAGAGCAGGCCAAATCCCTGCCTCCCCTGGCAGCTGTGAAGACAGGGTGGGCTGCAGTCTCTCTGTTCCCTGGGCCCAGGGTCCCACGATGCACAGACAGGTTTCAACAGCAGGTGTTGGGAGGCTGCACCCTGGACTTTGAGGAGGGCAGGGCATGGGGTCCCTGGGCAAGGAGCAGAGACAGGAGCGGGCCTGGACCTGGGCTGCGGGTGCTCCAGGGGTGGGGTGGAGACGCATTGGGAAGAGTTCACATCTGATGGGGCTGAGTCAGCCTCATGAGGCCATGGAGGCCAGGTCAGGGGTTTACACCCTAAGGGGTGGCAGGTACAGCCTCCTCCAGCCAGAGCTGCCACTGTCCCGCCACCCCTTCCTCCCGGCTCTTCCGGGCAGGGCCTGACTGCAGCCTGTCTGCTGCAGCTGGGCGAGGCGTCCCAGGTGGAGACAGTGTCAGAGGAGAACAAGAGTCTGATGTGGACCCTGCTGAAGCAGCTACGGCCAGGCATGGACCTGTCCCGCGTGGTGCTACCCACGTTCGTACTGGAGCCGCGCTCCTTCCTGAACAAGCTCTCCGACTACTACTACCACGCAGACCTGCTCTCCAGGTGCGCGCCATGCCGGGAGGGGCACCCCACACCTCGTCCTGCATCTGCATGAGACCCTGCAGCACCCCCAGCCCCTACCTGCCCTGTGGGGGCTTCCAGAGAATCCCATGGCTGATCTCAGCCCACTGTTTCTGCAGCTGTAGCCTCCCAGGGGGCCCTGTCTCCAAGATGGGCCTGGGAGGAGCCAGCCATCCGTGGTGAGAGGGGGGTCAGTCCCAAGCACTTGCCATGCACCCTGAGCCCTGCACCCTCGAGCTGGATGGGATGGGCTGCAGAGGCAGGAAGGGGGCTGCAGAGGCAGGAATGGGGCTACAGAGGCAGGAAGGGGGCTGCGCAGACTGGAAAGGGGCTGCAGAGGCTGGAAGGGGGCTGCGCAGGCAGGAAGAGGGCTGCAGAGGCAGGAAGGGACTGCAGAGGCTGGAAGGGGGCTGCAGAGCTGGAAGAGGGTTGCAGAGGCAGGAAGGGGCAGCAGAGCCTGGAAGGGGGTACGCAGGCTGGAAGGGGGCTGCAGAGACTGGAAGGGGGCAACAGAGGCAGGAAGGGGGCTGCAGGCTCAGGAGCCAGGCAGAGGGAGCAGGTGGGAACAAGAGCATGGGCAGGGAGGCTTCCTGGAGACAGGGGCACCCTGGCAGCCCAGGTCAGCAGTGTCCTCTCTGCCCCAGCGTGGGAGCAGCCCTGGCACTTTCTGATTAGAAGAACCCACTTCCCCAGAGAAAATTATCCTGCTTGGGGGTGACCAGAGCGCCTGGGCCAAGTGGCCTGTTTCCAGCTGAGTGGTTGGAGGTCGGGATGGTAGGAGGGAAGGGTCAGGGAAAGGGAGGGTGGCCCACGGCCCCCGGAGCTGGGGTCAGCGTTCTCCTGCCCCATGGCAGGGCTGCGGTGGAGGAGGATGCCTACAGCCGCATGAAGCTGGTGCTGCGGTGGTACCTGTCTGGCTTCTACAAGAAGCCCAAGGTGAGCCCCTGCCAGCCAGGGAGGGTGGGGCTCCGGCCCAGGAGTCTGTCTGCTCAGCCCTCGTCCCTTGGCACTTCCCTGAGTCCCCGGGCCACCCCCTACCCCACATGGCTTAGAAGGATCCTGGTCACCCCCACAGAGGGCCCAGGTCCTTGGTGATGGGGGACAGGGCCCCACTTCCCACAGTTGGGGCCCTGGATGGCTCAGGCCGGGTCCCCAAGGGTGGTCTCATCCCTCAAGGCCCCAAGCTGGACCCCTTCCCCACCCCCCAAGAAAACAGCCTCAGGCCGTATTACAGATGGTGCCAAAAGAAAGGAGCTTTAAACCTTAAACCTCAAGGTACCTTTGGGATCTGTGGTTTTCATAAATTTTTAGCCATGGAAACCCCTTTTAGAACCCCAAACCCAGGACTCCAGTGACAGCAGGGCTGCTCTCGTTGTAGTGAGCAAGAGGGCCCGCAGCTCCCCTGACCCCACCACAGAGCCCTGGGGTTCCATGGGAAGCAAGTTTGAAAACCACGACCGTGGTTCCACTTCTTTATTGTGCAGATGGGGAAACTGAGGCTCAGGTGAAAGGATGGCCTGAGTCGTACAGCAGGTTTGGGGTAGAGGCAGGACTTCTGACTGCCTGGTGCCTTCCATGGCTTTCAGCAGGCTGTGTGCAGGTTACACCCAAGGTCCAAGGAGAGTGTGACAAGGTCAGGGTCTCGTGTCCCTTCTCCGAGCTAAGAAGTGGACAGGATTCCCCTGAGGCTGTCCCCCAAGAATGTAAACCACAGGCAAAGCATAGTCCCCGCAAAGCAGAAGTGAGGTGTTGTTCCCAGATGCTAGCAGCAAACCAGGCCAGCAGGCAGCGGGTAGCCCACCCACGCTGCCCCTCCGTCCACATCCCTCACCTGCTCTGCACAGCGGACCTCTTACCCACCTGGCTCCTCACACAAGTCTCTGTTGTCTGCAGGGAATCAAGAAGCCGTACAACCCCATCCTGGGGGAGACCTTCCGCTGCTGCTGGTTCCACCCGCAGACTGACAGCCGCACATTCTACATAGCAGAGCAGGCAAGAGCACCTCTGCTGCAACCGGCCTGGGTGCTGGGCTCTATGGGGCGGGGCTCTGTGGGGGCGGGGCCCTGGCAGCAGGCAGGGGCAAGCGTGACCCCGAGGGCCGGCTTCCAGGGGACCCCACATCCTGCACACCGGAAGGGCTGTGGACCCAGCCGCTGCCAACAGGGATTCTTGCAGAAGGTGCAGACACCACCATGACTGTGACAGCAGACAGTGTCTCCCTAGGGAGAGGACAGTGTGTCCCATCTCCCGATGGGGACTTCTGGGGCAACTCAGGGCCCGCAAGCCCCACAGCTGAGGCCTACCTGCCCTGGGCGTCGTAAGCGAGAGCCAGGAAGGCCCCTACCCGAATCCTGGGATCGGGGGAGAAGATGTGGCGTCAGGGACAGGGACAGGTTTTTTGGGGGAAGCTGGGCTCTCGCTTCCTGGGATTACCTGTTTCCGGGGCTGTTTACAGAGCCGCCTCCCTGCACGCAGGTGTCCCACCACCCGCCCGTGTCTGCCTTCCACGTCAGCAACCGGAAGGACGGCTTCTGCATCAGTGGCAGCATCACAGCCAAGTCCAGGTTTTATGGTGAGGGGGTCACCCTGGGCGCTCCCTGGGGCCTCAGGGAAATGCGATGGTCGGGAGGACTCCGGGAGCCAGTGGACCAAGATCTGGATGGGGGCCATGTGCCTGTCCCTCCCAACCCCTCCTAGTCAGAGACCATGTGGTGGTCAGGTGCTGAGACCCGGCCATGAGGCAGAGCTGCCCGCAGCTCCCCGAGCTGAGAGTGGGCACCTTTTGTAGGGACGCTGTGGGGACTGAGAGAGGGCACCTACATGGAAAGGTGCGGACTGGGGCTGAGCAGCCCCAGAGCACTGCATGACTATTTGAATTGGCTAAAATGAAATGAAACTTAGTCAAAGCATGGTGGCTCACGCCTGTAATCCCAGCACTTTGGGAGGCCGAGGTGGGTGGATCACTTGAGATCAGGAGTTTGAGACCAGACTGTCCAACATGGTGAAACCCTGTCTCTACTAAAAATACAAAAGTTAGCCGGGCATGGTGGCACGTGCCTGTCATCCCAGCTACTGGGAAGGCTGAGGCAGGAGAATCGCTTGAACCCGGGAGGTGGAGGTTGCAGTGAGCCAAGATGGTGCCACTGTACTCCAGCCTGGACGACAGGGTGAGACTCTGTCTCAAAAAAAAAAAAAAAAAAAAAGAAATGAAACTGAAACTGCAGTCCCTCTATTGCCAAATCACACAGGCTCAGTGTTGGCCCCGGAGTGGGACAGGCAGGAGGGAAGCTCTGGTCTTCAGAGACAGCCCCATTGGACTGCACTGCTCTGGGGCCTGGCAGACTTGGGTGCTCAGAAAAGTGTCCGTTTACATTTCGTCCCATCCGTTGTACCTTTTTCATCAGTTTCATCCATGGGCAGGTGTGCGCCTGTTGCCTCTGTGTGCTCGGCTCTCTGCTGGGTGTGTGGAAGTCTGGGAGGGGGTCCCAGGTGCGACCCTCAGGTTCAGCCCACCTTTCCCAACTCTGTCCTCTCCTCACCAGCAGTACCTGCGACTCGTGGCCCCAAGCGAGGCGTACTCCCTCCACAGGGATGTTTAAAATCTGAGCAGGGCTCAGTCGAGTTTGAAAAAGTTTGCAGCCTCCACCCTGCGAATCTGCAGTTTTGCGACTGCAATAAACCACTAACAAGTCAAAGGTGAAATAACTTCTCAGCACAGATGTCCTGTGCACACTGGACAAGGATTTTACAGAATCTGAGGCCCAGAGAGGTTAAGTGACTCACGCACAGACACACCACTGGAAGTGCCAGGAGCGTGTTCAGCTGTTGGAAGGAGCTCAGACCCTGTGACTTAGGGGTGGCCTCAGATGTGAAAGGGCTGTCCGCACTCACTGGTCCTGCTGTCTCTTGTCTCTGCAGGGAACTCGCTGTCGGCGCTGCTGGACGGCAAAGCCACGCTCACCTTCCTGAACCGAGCCGAGGATTACACCCTTACCATGCCCTACGCCCACTGCAAAGGTGAGAGGCTCAGCCACACACTCCGAGGGCAGAGCCAGGCTCTGTGAGAGCAGCTAGATGCTAAAACCCTTTGGTTATTTGCTTGAAGGTATCTTTACTTCGCCTTCATCTGCCCATGACTTTTTTTTTTTTTTTTTTTGAGATGGAGTTTCGCTCTTGTTGCCCAGGCTGGAGTGCAATGGCGTGATCTTGGCTCCAAGTAGCTGGGATTACAGGCATGCGCCACCACGCCTGGCTAATTTTGTATTTTTAGTAGAGACAGGGTTTCACCATGTTGGTCAGGCTGATCTCGAACTCCCGACCTCAGGTGATCCGCCCGCCTCGGCCTCCCAAAGTGCTGGGATTACAGGCATGAGCCACCGCGCCCAGCCTCGCCCATGACTTTTGAAGGTGGGTAATTCCATGTAGATGCTATTTTACTGCCCTTTGAATATGTGCGTTTTGCTTGCCTTGTGGCTTCCATTGCTGTTGGGGATGATCAGCTGTCAGCCTATTTGTTACCTAATCTGCTTTTCCCTGTAGCTGCTTTGAAGATATTTTCCTTGCCTTGGTGCCCTGTAGTCTTGCTACAGTGTTTCAAAGTTTGGATTTCTTTTTTATTTTTTCATTAACAGACTTTCTTTTTTACAGTAGTGTTGTGTTTACAGAAAAATTGAGCAGGAAGTACAGAGAGTTCCTGTGTGTCCCCTACACAGTTTCCCCTGTTATTAACATCTCACACTGAGGTGCTACATTTGGTATCATCGATGAGCCAATACTCATACATTGTTACTAACTGAGTACACAGTTCACCTTCCTTTTCACTCCTTGTGTTGCTCATTCTGTGGGTTTTGCTAAATACAGAAGGACATGTATCTGCCATTACCACATCTCACAGAATAGTTGCACTACCCTAAAAATCCCTTATGATTAGACGTGACTAGATGGAGCCACATATTCCTCAGTCCCTCCAGGCCCTGGCTTTTTCCGGAATGTCATGTAGTTGGAATCATACGGTGTGGAGCGTTTTCAGATTGGCGTCTTTCACTTGGCAATATGCACTTAAAGATTCCTCCACTAGGCATGATGGCTCATGCCTATAAATCCCTGCACTTTGGGAGGTAGAGTTGGGGGAATCACTTGAGCCCAAGAGTTCAAGACCAGCCTGGGCAACATGGCAAAACCCTGTCTCTACAAAAAGTACCAAAAAACTAGCCAGGCATGGTGGTGCACCTGTGGTCCCAGCCTTGGGAGGTTGAAGTGGGAGAATAACCTGAGCCCAGGGGGCAGAGGCTTTGAGGAGCCATCGTGGCACCAGTGCATGCCAGCCTGGGCTGGCGTGAGATCCCATCTCAAAAAAAAAAAAAAAATCTTTGCTGGGCTCAGTGGCTCACAACTGTAATCCCAGCACTTTGGGAGGTTGAGGCAAATGGATCACCTGAGGTCAGGAGTTTAAGACCAGCCTGACGAACATGGAGAATCTCCGTCTCTAATAAATATACAAAATTAGCCAGACATGGTGATGCATGCCTGTAATCCCAGCTACTCAGGAGGCTGAGGCAGGAGAATCACTTGAACCCGGGAGTTGAAGGATGCAGTGAGCTGAGATCATGTCATTGCACTCCAGCCTGGGCAACAAGAGCGAAACTCCATCTCCAAAAAAAAAAAAAAAAAAAAAAAAAATTCCTTCATGTCTTTTTATGGCTTGATAGCTCTGGATTTCTTTTTAATTTTTGCTGATTGAAGGTTTTTGTTTGTTTGAATTATTTGAACCTGAGGTTTCGTGGCTTTGATGAAGTCCAGAAAATTTTAGCCATTTTTTTTAAGTGCCTCACTCCTGATTTCTCCATTTTTCCTAGAACTCCAATGAGACAGAATTTGAACCATCTCCTCCTTTGCTTTGTCTCTCTTAATGTTTCCATCGTATCTCTTATCTCTTTGCATTCTAGATAACTTATGTAGATGTATCTTTAACTCTAATTAACTTGACGTGTAACTCATCCACTGAGTTTTCCATTTTGATATATTGTTTCCCAAGAAGTTCTACTTGGTTTCATTTCAAACCTGCCTGGTTTTTTTGTTTGTTTGTTTTTATTTTTGTTTTGAGACGAAGTTGGGGTTTCACTCTTGTTGCCCGGGCTGGAGTGCAATGGCATGATCTCAGCTCACTGCAACCTCCACCACCTGGGTTCAAGCAATTCTCCTGCCTCAGCCTCCTGAGTAGCTGGGACTACAGGCGCCCGCCACCACGCCCAGCAAATTTTTTGTATTTTTAGTAGAGATGGGGTTTCACCGTGTTGGCCAGGCTGGTCTCAAACTCCTGACCTCGGGTGATCCGCCTGCCTCGGCCTCCCAAAGTGCTGGGATTACAGGTGTGAGCCAGTGCGCTCGGCCTTGCCTGTTCTTTTTATACTCGTGCATTGTTCCTTGGTCATGTTTCCAATCCTTTCTCATAAATCTTTGAGCATTGTAATAAGCACAGTTGTTTTATCATCTCTAGCTGGTCACTCTCATATTCTGTTTTGTTTGCTGCTGTGTCCTCACTGACCATAGTGTTGCCCTTGAAGGTGCTCGATAATTATTCAAAGAATGGCTGTATTTAGTAAAACCTTGGGATTCTAATTTGCTAGTTTTGTGTTTGTTTGTTTTCGTTTTGTTGGCTGAAATTGTTTTGTTGGCTCTCACATTTTCTTAGTAGGTTGTTTCTGGGACACAGAGGAAGTATAGATTTGAATCCCAAACTTACCCTACACATTCATGGAGAGTTCTGGGGTTTCTTTTTAACCCCGGAGCGCAGGCCCAATACAAATGTTTCCTTGACTCTCCCTCTGGAATGAACGGCCTTTCTGCGACTGTTCCTTCTGTTGAGGGTGTAGCCATGTGAGAGTGCCTGCTTAGTGGAAATGTCTCGGAAAAAATCTCTCCTGGTTACTCTGACCCAAGGACCTGTCTACCACTTTCCACGGCAACCTCAGAAACCAAGATCTCAGATCGACAAATGCCCCTCTTTCTCTTCCCCCCTTTTCCTCTCCTCCTCCTCCCATCTTCCCCTTCTTTCCTCTCCTCCTCCTCCCATCTTCCCCCTCTTTCCTCTTCTCCTCCTTCCATCTTCCCCCTTTCCTCTCCTTCTCCTGTCTTCCCTCTTTCCTCTCCTCCCCCTCCCGTCTTCCCCCTCTTTCCTCTTCTCCTCCTCCCACCTTCCCCCTCTTTCCTCTTCTCCTCCTCCCATCTCCTCCCTCTTTCCTCTCCTCCTCCCGTCTTCTCCCCTTTATTTTTTCTTGTGGGAGAATTCCCATCTTTTCTTGCATGCTCATTGACTCATCCATGCTTCATATATTTTTTCAACTTTTTATTATGGCAAAGTTCAAACATATATCAAAGTACAGTACACCCCATATACCCACAGCACAGCAATGCACCCACCTTCATGCTCTCCCCTGAATTAATTGGAAGTAAATCCCAAATATCATGTCATGTCATTTGTGTATTTTATTTTATTTTATATCACTAAAGTTAAGGATTTCCCTTCTTTCTTTCTTTCTTTCTGTCTTTTTTTTTTTTTGACAGAGTCTTGCTGTGTTGCCCAGGCTAGAGTGCAATGGTGCAATCTCAGCTCACTGCAACCTCCGCCTCCTGAGTTCAAACGATTCTCCTGCCTCAGCCTCCCGAGTAGCTAGCATTACATGCGTGCGCCACCACACCTAGCTAATTTTTGTATTTTTAGTAGAGATAGGGTTTCACCATGTTGGCCAGGCTGGTCACAAACTCCTGCCCTCAGGTGATCAGCCTACCTCGGCCTCCCAAAGTGCTGGGATTACAGGCGTGAGCCCCCACGCCAGGCCGGGATTTCCCTTCTTAACCATAGCCACAATACTATCATCAGATGAAAAACAAACAAACAAACTCTTAGTTGTCATCGAGTCTACAATCTGGTTCATATCCCCAGCTGCCACGTGCCTGTGTCTTGATCCCCCACACACGTGACAGTTGGCCGTTTGGCTGGGTCTCTGCATCAGGCCATGCTCCGTGCATGGATGTCCTATGTTTACATCTCCTTGATGTCCCTCCCTCCTGTTTTTCCCTTGCAGAGTATTACTCATTTCCTCCTAGTCCCCTCTAGCATGGATTTTCCTGGCTGCATTCCTCTGCCCTGGGGATTTCCTATAAACCACGAATTGATTTGATCTCGAGATGCCTGATCACGTTCAGCACAGTTTTTTTCAACACGACGCTTAATGGGGGTTTTGTGTCTTTCCACAGCAGGGTGCACAGGGCCTGTTGTTCCTTGTGACATTAGTGGACATTGATTCTCAATGCCTGGATCCATTCATGTAAAAGGCATTGCTAGATGGTGACGTTCCATCCTCTTTCACTTAATCACCGGAAGGCTTCTCAAAAGAGAAACTTCCCCTTGTCTACTATGTGGTTACCCAACAGGATTGGTTTGTTTTAGGATAAATCCCAGGTTTTTTATATTTTCAAAATAATGATTTTTTTCCCCTGCTGTCTTCCAAAGGTGACTGGCGAAGGTCATTATTGCCACGTATTATTTGATAGGAACGTATTTGGTGATTTCAGAACCTTTCAGTTATTAACTTTATTGATATTGAAATTGCCCCATCTTTGGCCAATGGGGGCCATAGTTGGCTCAGGGGCCCCCTGCACACCCCAGTACCTCTGCTGGTATTCTTCCTTCTGCCCTGACCATGTGTGCACCTAGGACATTTCCTACACTAGACCTCAAATCGACCATTTCTCCCGGGAGCTCCAGGTTCCCTTCACTAGGAAATAATATTTAGTGATCACAATCTGGAGGTCAGACCTGCTTTGCTTTTCTTTCTTTTCTTTTCTTTTTTTTTTTTTTTTTTGAGACAGAGTCTCACTCTGTTGCCCAGGCTAGAGTGCAGTGGTGTGATCTTGGCTCACTACAACCTCCGCCTCCTGGGCCTTCTTCCTCTCCGTGGAGCCTGGAGACCTCCCCCCATCAGAGCTGCACAGAGATGCCGCTTTGTCTTTCTAGGCTGCATAGCTTTCCATCGTGCTCATGGGCCAGGGTGCACTCACACAGCCCCCTCTGGAGGGATTTGGGGGTGTTTCAAGCCTTTGTTGCAACAAGTAGCTTGTTGTTTCTTTTCTTCATTTTTAAGAGACATATTCTGCCACACATTTCTAAGTGGTTTTTAGAGTGCAAATGTTTGGGTTTTGATGGTGGAGGTGGTGGTGCTTCTTTAATTAGATTACCTCCTCCATATGCCAGACATGGAAAAGTTGTTCTTTCCTTCATTAATTGAAAAAAAACAAAACAAAGAAAGACGTATTAATTTTTTTAAACATACGGGATGCCATCATGGGTGCTGGTGCCCTCTGTGTTCTGGGTGCCATCCTGGGACGCAGCAGTGAGCGAGAAGATGCCTGCCCTCAGGAGCCCAATGCCAGAGCGGGAACTGCAGAGTCAAGTGAAGCACGATGCATGTCTCACAGGGCTGGTGGCCTCCCAGGAGGCTGGAACAGGAGGCGACACCTGACATGAGCAAAGGCCCTGGCGAGGACAGAGCCCCCTTAGTGGGGGAGACGGCCCCTGAGGGACCAGGCGTGCCTCCCAGGCTCCGTGCCTCCCAGGCTCCGCACCTCCCAGGCTCCGCACCCCCACCAGCCTCTCCCTGTGGGGTTCTGCTCCCAGCGCCTCCTGTCCTTCTCACCCTCCCAGGGACTGACACAGGCCTCCCAGGGATCGGTGCTGCTGGGTCGGGACTCAGGGATCGGTGCTGCTGGGTCGGTACTCAGCAGGGCCTGGGGCTCAGCAGGGCTGGGGCCGCCTGGCCCCTGACACTGGCTGCATTTCAGGAATCCTGTATGGCACGATGACCCTGGAGCTGGGTGGGAAGGTCACCATCGAGTGTGCGAAGAACAACTTCCAGGCCCAGCTGGAATTCAAACTCAAGGTAGCGCTGGCTGCAGCCTGGGGGAGACGAGGCCAGGGAAGGAACGAAGCCTTGGGGATCCCCCTCACACTCTCCCCAGGCCCCAAGGAAGGTTCCCCAAGGCAGTGCACATAAGGGGAGCAGCTGTTGACATCCCGGAACACAGACAGGGCCCAGAGAAGGGAGGCTGCTGCCTGCAGCCACACAGCAGAGCCAGCCTAGGCCCTGTCTCTGTGGCAGGGACACTACATCCTTGAGCGGAGGCGTGGGGGTCCCGAAGGCCTCGTTGGCGAGGGTTGGGTCCATCCCTCCTGGGCTCCCAGGCACCCCAAGAGAATAACTGTTCCGTGCCCCCATGAGGATGTGATTCTGGAGGCCCCAGCCCCCGCTCACTGGGCTCTGTTCTGGGTGTGGCCCCGCAGCCCTTCTTCGGGGGTAGCACCAGCATCAACCAGATCTCGGGAAAGATCACGTCGGGAGAGGAAGTCCTGGCGAGCCTCAGTGGCCACTGGGTAAGGGGCCGTCCCTCAGGGCAGGCACGGCCGGGCGGTCAACGCCAGGCCAGCCTCTGACCCCGCTGGCCATCTGGGGCAGGACAGGGACGTGTTTATCAAGGAGGAAGGGAGCGGAAGCAGTGCGCTTTTCTGGACCCCGAGCGGGGAGGTCCGCAGACAGAGGCTGAGGCAGCACACGGTGCCGCTGGAGGAGCAGACGGAGCTGGAGTCCGAGAGGTGAGGCCTGTCAGCGCCCAGGGACCCTGCTGACCACAGCCTGACATGGCCAAGCAGGCAGGTCAGCAGGGCTACAGTGCTGTGAGCATGGCCCCAGGATGTCCCTGGCAGGGAGGGCAGGCCTGGTGCACCCCTGGTGGCAGATCACGTGTCCTGGAAAGGACAGATGGAGGGAAGGGGTGTGGCCTGGAGAGGAGCCGGCTGCCGTGACCTCTCACTGCATCACTGCCGGCGAGTGACCAACAGGTGCACAGGGAGGTCCCTGCAGGCGGGAGATGGGAGCTCAGTGTTGGAAAAACCCATCTCATGGACAAAAGAAAAGCTCTCTTCAAAGTAGTGAGCTCCCTGTCACTGTAGGCAATCACGCAGAGGTTGCTCTGTGCCTTCCTTCTGGTGCCAAGGGGCCCTGATTCCTAGCTGCCTAGGGGTCGGGCTGCCCGGGCCACTGGCTCAGGATGGGTCACTGGCCCGCAGGCTCTGGCAGCACGTCACCAGGGCCATCAGCAAGGGCGACCAGCACAGGGCCACACAGGAGAAGTTTGCACTGGAGGAGGCACAGCGGCAGCGGGCCCGTGAGCGGCAGGAGAGCCTCATGCCCTGGAAGCCGCAGCTGTTCCACCTGGACCCCATCACCCAGGAGTGGCACTACCGATACGAGGAGTGAGTGCCGACAAAGCCCTGGGGGCCACAGGGTGGGGCTGGGCCTAGCAGACGGGCTGAGAAGGGCCCAGGGGCTCCTGGCTTCCCTCTCACCTTCAGCCTGTCCCCTGGAGGAGTCGGTGGGGGAGGGTCAGATAGTGACACCCCCCATCATCAGTCCTTACTGCAGGCCCTGCCCATGGGGTGTGGGCAGTGGTCATTCTCCTGGAGGTCTCTGGCCACTGTTGGGGGGCTGAAGACTGGGCCAGGACAGCCCCCTCACCTGAGGGCCACTGCCTGTGCTGATGAACGCCCTCTGGACCCTCCAGCCACAGCCCCTGGGACCCCCTGAAGGACATCGCCCAGTTTGAGCAAGACGGGATCCTGCGGACCTTGCAGCAGGAGGCCGTGGCCCGCCAGACCACCTTCCTGGGCAGCCCAGGGCCCAGGCACGAGGTCAGCACCCCACAGGCCCCACCCAGGGCTGGTCTTAGCTGCACGTGTGGCCACCACCACCCCTCGCTCCTCACCTCACTCCTCCCTTCCCCTCGCTCCGTTTCCCTCACGCCCTCATCCCCCAGCCCCCTCGTCCCCTTTCCTTCTCTGCCGAGCATGGGACTCAGGAAACCGGGATTTGCAGGATGCTCAGTTCTAGGGGCACCTTGGCTTGTGGGACCCTGTGTCTACTGTCTCTGTCCACTGCCCCCAAAGTCTCCCTCTGCCAAGTTAGCAGCCACATTATCCCATTCCACTGATCAGGAAACAGAAGGTCAGGGCAGCCCAGGGCCCTTCCCAGGTAGGAGGAGGAGGAGCCAGCACTTGCACAGATCTTGTGTCTGGAAAGGGGAAGCGGGACAGCAGGAGGCTCCAGGGAGTAACCTGAGGAAGCTGCCTTGGGTGTGTCTTGGTGCCATGCCTTAGGCGGCCACCAGGTGGCGCCAAACCCACACGCCCCCGTTCCAGGTGTGCTGAGCTGCACCGCCCCAGCCGTGCACCTACTGCGTGCAGAGGGTGCAGAGCGCGGCCGGTGCTCACCCGCAGCGGACAGGATGGGGGCGTGTTCCCCAGCTGATGCCGTCTGGGCCAGACTCAGATGAGAGGCCTTGCTTGCCTGATGGCCCTAACTTCTCCAGCAAGCTGGGGGCCGCGGTATCTCCTTGGCTGCATGTCCCATGCTCTGCCTGCCAAGGGACTAGGGAAGAAGCCTCAGGAAGGTAGACAGATGCACCCCCTATGTCTGCAGCACAGTCTCCATCCCCCCGGGCTCAGGCCAGACTGCTAGCTCCTGCCTTCCCTTGGCCCCAGACCCTCGCAGTCCCGCTCCTCAGCCTCTCCCCACCAATCTCCAGCAGATGTCCACCCCCAATGCCCTCTGCAGCCTCCCACCCCGCAGCCCCTGCTGAGGTCAGTCAGCCTGGGCCCTGCCATGCCTCAAAAACCATCCCATGGAGTACCTTGTGGCCAAACCCACCTGCCCCGCCTCTGACCCCACCTGTCCTGGCTCTGACCCCACCTGCCCCGTCGCTGACCACACCCAATGCAGAGCGTCCCTGGCACCTCTCTGGCCCCAAACGCCTGTTGTTACATGGTGGTCCCACAGCCAGGTTCTGCTTTTTCCCCACCCCTGAGCATCAGTTCCTGTCCTGGGTTCCTTGTGAGCTCAAGTAAGGGCTGAATGGATGAGCCCTGCCTGCACTCCTGGGGTTGTGAGCAGCCGGCTGAGTGTGGGGGTTCCCCCCTGGAGATGCCCCTTGACATGGGGAACCCTAGCCATCTGGGGTTCCTATGAACCTCCCAGCTCCCACAGTGGCCTCGGCTTTCATCTGTCCTCATGGCTCAGGGGTCAGAACCACCCTCGGCCCCCCATGCCATCATCTCTGCATTTATTGGATGCAACGCCATGGTGAGCACAGGGCAGGCGTGTCTGCACCACCTTGCAGGCCCTTGCTCACTGTGAGGGGTCAGTAGCTCTGTCTCACCCATGAGGAAACAGGCTCAAAGGGACCATGGCTACTCCAGGCCATGCCGGGGCTGAGACAGACCCCTCCAGCCAGCTCCACAGCCCAGCAGCTGCCCTCCCTGCTGGCTGCCACCTCTAGCACTGTCCTGGCATAAGCATGCCACCATGTCCCTGGGGCCTGGGCAGGGGGCGTGGGTGGCTTTCAGCTGCAGCAGCTCCATTTCTCTGCAGAGGTCTGGCCCAGACCAGCGGCTTCGCAAGGCCAGCGACCAGCCCTCCGGCCACAGCCAGGCCACGGAGAGCAGCGGATCCACGCCTGAGTCCTGCCCAGAGCTCTCAGACGAGGAGCAGGATGGTGACTTTGTCCCTGGTGAGCCCCCTTGGGCCCAGCCCCAAGGCCTCTGTCTGGTGGGGTGCCTCAGATGCTGACCTGGCTGGAGGGGAGGCCAGAGAAGCACCTGCCCAGATGTAGGGCAACCTCCCAGCAAAAGCTCCTCTGCTGCCCTGAGGGGCCCCCCAGCAGGCTCTGCCCTCTCAGAGTCTGGGAGGCAGCCCAAGGGCCAACGGGGGGAATGGTGGGGGTGGGGAAGAAAGGGAGTGGGCCCAGGCCAGGGGCTCCCCAGC